>NW_021160022.1:0-300000 GCF_000001405.40 Homo sapiens | reverse complement strand
AAAAAATGAAATGTGGGGGGCTTCTCATCTCCCCAAGATCCTCTTCCGTTCAGCCAGATGTTTCCTGTATAAATGTTTGGATCTGCCTGTTTATTTTGGTGGGTGGTCTTTCCTCCCTCCCCTACCACCCATGCCCCCCTTCTCAGTCTGCCCCTGGCCTCCAGCCCCTAGGGGACTAGCTGGGTTGGGGTTCCTCGGGCCTTTTCTCTCCTCCCTCTTTTCTTTCTGTTGATTGTCGCTCCAGCTGGCTGTATTGCTTTTTAATATTGCACCGAAGGTTTTTTAAATAAAATTTTAAAAAAAGAAAAAGGGAAAAAAAAGCCACGGAGTCCATTTTATGAATGGGGTGGGGAGAGGGCACTAAAGAGCCTCCTAAGAGAGCCTCAGGTTAGGACAGAATTGTTTGGGGAGGGAGAAAAACAGAAACAATGAATTATAGCTGCCTCACAGCCATGTATAACAATAATTGCTCCAGGAAGGTGGGAATATTTGCTTTTTTTTCTTCTGTAATCTCACCGTGTCCGTGTCCAGAACAGAGCTAGGCACACAGCAGGTGCTCAATTTTTGTTTTTCGTTTAGACAGGTTTCATTCTTTCACCCAGGCTGGAGTGCAGTGGTGCTATCATAGCTCATTGTAGCCTCAAACTCCTGGGCTGAAGTGATCCTCCCACCTCAGCCTCCTGAGTAGCTGGGACTACAGGTGCACTCTGCCATGCCGGGCTAACTTTTAAAAATTTTTGTCCGGGCACAGTGGCTCATGCCTGTAATCCCAGCACTTTGGGAGGCCGAGGTGGGTGGATCATGAGGTCAGGAGTTCAAGATCAGCCTGGCCAAGATGATGAAACCCTGTCTCTACTAAAAATATAAAAAAAAATTAGCTGGGCGTGGTGGTGGGTGCCTGTAATCCTAGCTATTCAGGAGGCTGAGGCAGAGGATTGCTTACACCTGGGAGGCGGAGGGTGCAGTGAGCCAAGATCGTGCCACTGCACTCCAGCCTGGGTGACAAAGTGAGACTCTGTCTCAAAAAAAAATCTTTGTGTGTGTGTGGAGATGAGGGTATGCACTTTGTTGGCCAGGTTGGCCTCGAACTCCCAGCCAAGCAATTCTGCCTGGGATTACAAGCGTGAGCCACCATGCCTGGCCTCAAATATTGTTGAATGGCTAGCAGTTAAGTCCTTGGGTTTATAAGCATTTCCTCAACTGTCCTCCCAAGTCCCCATAAGACAAAAAACTCATAAAATCCCACCTTACAGAAGAGGCAGCTGGCCCGGCACAGAGATGCTGTCTGCCCCGGGTCACACAGGGTGGCATCTGACACCTGTCTGAGTTCTTCACTCAGAGTCTTTAAATATAATTAGCGTATTTGACATAATGTACATTAAAAACTATAAACCTGTCAGCCTTTGTCTACTGCAAAGAATCCACTACAAATATTGGGGCAGGGATCTGTTCTTGGACCATAGTAGTGTCTCCAGACCTCATGGTCCTCTTCATTAAAACAACAGAAAATTCCTTCTGGGCCATCAGATGAGACCATGAGATAGAAGATTTCCAAGTGAAGATTTTGTTTCAAGACAGAGTCTTGCTCTGTCACTCAGGCTAGAGTGTACTGGTGCAATCATAACTGTGGTGACAGCCTCGAACTTTTGGGTACAAGTGATTCTCATGCCTCAGACAACACCCAACTAATATTTTGGTTTTTGTATAGACAGGGTCTTGCTATGTGGCTTAGGCTGGTCTTGAACTCCTGGCCTCAAGCAGTCCTCCCGCTTCAGCCTCCTAAAGTGTCAGGATTACAGACATGAGCCACCAAGTCCAGCCTGAAGATTTTTAAAAATTATTGTTAGTAGTAGTCGCCAGAGTTACTACATCCAAAGTCCCTACTAAGTTCTAAGTAGTCCCTACTAAGTTCTAAGGCAGTTTCTCAACTCATTAGAGTTGTTTTTTGTTTTTAAAGAAAAAAAGAGGCTGGGCACTTTAGGAGACCGACACGGGAGGATCGCTTGAGTCCAGGAGTTTGAGACCAACCTGGGCAACATGGGCCCCCATCTCTAAAAATTTTAAATTAAAAAAATGTTTTAACAACAAAAAGCGTTCTGGGAGTGAGGGGCTGGGGCCTGGGCGGCCTCATTCCATATACCTGTGCCGGGTTGAGGGGTTGGAGACACGTTTAGAGACCCCTCCACTCTAGGAATCCACCTCGAGAGATAAAGGTCCCGGCCCTAGCCACACCCCCAGGACACGGCCAGAGGCCACCTCCCTAGGCGGGTCCCTCCCCACCGCCAGGTTCCTGGAGCGCGTGCGGCGCGTGTGCAGGGGTAGGGGGCCGCAGGCGCGCGGACTGGAGAGGCGCGCCCCTCCCGCGTGTTGAAATTCAAAAGAGGCGAACGGCCCCCGGCGCGGCGGCGCGGCTCCGGTGGAGAGGTCAAGGCAGGGGCCAGTCGGAGGCTCCCGGGGCGGGGTCGAACCCGCGGCCAACCTGAGCAGCAGCGGAAGCTTAAAGAGCTCAGGTTCCCGCCCCCCGGCCCTACCATGGCTACAGAGCAGTGGTTCGAGGGGTCGCTCCCCCTGGACCCTGGAGAAACACCGCCTCCAGACGCCTTGGAACCTGGGACGCCGCCCTGCGGAGACCCCTCCAGGTCGACGCCCCCTGGCAGGCCTGGGAACCCATCTGAGCCGGATCCTGAAGATGCCGAGGGGCGGCTGGCTGAGGCCCGGGCCTCCACGTCTTCCCCCAAACCTCTGGTCCCCCGGCCTGGGCCAGCACCTCCCCGCCTATCCCTGGACACTTTGTTCAGCCCCATCACCCAACAGCTGCGCTACCTACTGAAGAAGGCAGATGATTTCCAGAGCTACTTGCTCTACAGGTGATGCTGGACAGGGTCCCAGGTCCCCATGGGTAAGGAGACTTGGAGGGGAGGCGACAGGATGGGTGACACACACCAGGGTCGCAAAATTACAAGCGCTAGGAGCCAGAGGGAGACAGTGGAAGAAGCTAGCATATTAGAATCCAGTTTAAGAGAATGAGGAAGACTGTAGAATTGCGGGTAGGGGATGGCTGCTATTACTGTCGTGGCAGTGTGGGCCTGGGGTTGTCAAGTCTCTAGGACTTTTTCTCCCAGTTTTTAAGTGCTGTCTTACATTTTGAGCCCTGTGCTGGCTAAACAAGACCCACCTGAGCCAAACTTGGCCTGCAGGACATCAGTTTGAGACTCCAAAGGATAATGTGATTCCCAGACCAGGTTTCCCTGTGACTCTCAATTTCAGTGTCCATTGGAATTTCCTAGGAGGCTGGGTTGGGTTTTGTTTGCGTGTTTGTTTTTGAGATGGAGTCTCACTCTGTCGCCCAGGCTGGAGTGCAGTGGTGCAATCTCAGCTCACTGCAACCTCCGCCTCCCGGATTGAAGCAATTCTCTGCCTCAGCCTCCCGAGTAGCTGGGATTACAGGCGCCCACCAACATGTGTTGCCCGGCTAATTTTTTTCTTTTCTTAGTAGAGACAGAGTTTCACCATCTTGGCCAGACTGGTCTTGAGCTCCTGACCTCATGATCCACCCGCCTTGGCCTCCCAAAGTGCTGGAATTACAGACGTGAGCCACCGCGCCTACCCGAGGCTGGGTTTTTTTGTTTTGTTTTGTTGTTATGTGTTTTTTTGAAATGGAGTCTTGCTCTGTCACCTAGGCTGGAGTGCAGTGGGGCGAACTCAGCTCACTGCAACCTCCGCCTCCCAGGTTCGAGGGATTCTCATGAGGCTGTTTTTTTTTTTTTAATGAGACAGGGTCTCGCTCTGTCACCCAAGCTGGAGTGCAGTGGGGCAGTCATAGCTCACTGCACCCTCGAACTCCTGGTCTCAAGCAATCTTCCCACCTCCACCTCCTGGGTAACTGGGACTACAGGTGCCACCATGCCCAGCTAATTATTTTTGTGTAGAGATGGGTTCTTGCTATGTTGCCTAGGCTTGTCTGGAACTCCTGGCCTCAAGCAATCCTCCAGCCTCAGCCTCCCAAAACTCTAGGATTGCAGGCGTGAGCCACTGCGCCCAGACCCTGCAGGAAGCTCTGGGTCCTAAGTGTTGTGAGACTCAGGTGTCAGCACTTTAACAAGTGTTCCAAATGGGTTTGATGCAGGTAAACCAGAAAGATGTTCAGAAAAGACCTGAAACTGGGGGCTTTTCTAATGGGTCAAAGCCAGGGATACAGGTTGGGATTGAGTAGAATGGGGAAAACTGCGGGGTGGGGAGGGGTTGTGAGGGATTCCAGGCAAAGGCCCCCTTCTTCCTTCAGCAGAGACCAAGTACAGAAGGAGCAGCTGGCCAAGGCCATGCCCACCTTCTTACAGATGTGTGAGCCCTACTTCCTGTACCTGGAGGCAGCCGCGAGAAGCATACCCCCCATCTATGGACCCCTGCAGGAGCTGGTCCGAAAGGGGGTGTGTGGAGGTTTCTTAGACCCCACGCCCCTTTCTTCTCGCAGCTCTGAGCCTGTGGGGATGGTGGAGGGGGAGGCCCACTCCTCGCAGGCCAGCTGATCTCACTGTACCCCCCTCTTGTATGCAGCTGTTAGAGATCTCCCAACAGCTGACCCTGCGCCTGGAACAGCTGGTCCTCATGTACGCTTCCTTTGGGTTCGTGGACCTGGAGGAGATGAACCCCCTTAGGTAAAATGGTAGGAGACTCAGATGGGGGGATGAAGGAGTCCAAGGCCCAGCCTCACCCCTCCATTCTCTCATGTCTCGCCAGCATCTCCTGTTTCTTTTGCGGGAGGTTCTCCATCAGCCTGTCCCATGAGGTCTCCATCTTCAGATACTGTGCCCCAACCGCCTACACTGCCAGCCGCTTCCCCCGCTACCTCTATAAGAAGATGCGCTGGCACCTGGAAGCCACCCCAGAGGCCCCTGGTCGGGGACAAGATTCCCTTGTGGATTAGTAAGTCCTCTTACCCAAATCAAAGTCCTCCCCTTTCTATGATGAATGCCAATATGACCCTCCAAACCGTCACCAGCAAAGTGAAAAGTGAGCCAGGGCCCGAGGCAGTGGCTCACGCCTGTAATCCCAACACTTTGGGAGGCCGAGGCAGGAGGATCACTTGAGCTCAAGAGTTTGAGATCAGCCTGGGCAAGATGGCAAGACCCTGTCTCAACAACAAAGAAATTCGCCAGGCGTGATGGCTGGCACCTGTAGTCCCAGCTACTTGGGAGGCTTAGGCAGGAGGAGCACTTGAGCCCAGGAATCAAGGCTACGGTGAGCTGTGATTGTGCCACTGCACTCCACCCTGAGTGGAAGCAATAATCTGTCTCTTAAAAAAAAAAAAAAGTGAACCAGGAAACTAAAGGCTTTTGAAAGGCTACCTCTATTTTCTTAAAACCCACCCTCCCACCAAAATAAAAGTTCTCATCTTAAAAGTAGGCTGGCAGGGAGAAAAGGCCTTGGAGTCACATTCCTACCTGAGAACTTCAGGGCAACTTCTGATGAGTTCCCACCTCAACTCCAAAATTAAAGCCCTCAACAGAAGTAGCTAGGAAGCTGATCACTTCTAATTACAGCTCCCTCCCCTCCTAGCTACTTTCTGTGCTATCGAGATACTTGGGAAGACACAGGCCAGAGTCCAGCCAATTCGTGCCCACAGATCCAGAAGCTGTGGTCCATCGGCCGATGGGTGCCCCTAGGACCAGCCGAGGATGACCTTTATTCATGGTAGGAGCTAGGGCAATAGCAACGTGGGCCTGGGAGCTGGAGGGGGAGGCAGAACCCCACCAAAGACAATCCACCTTCCCAAACACTTTGCTTCCCTTAGTAGTGATAGCATTTTATTGTGCCCTGAAAAGCACTTCATGCAGACCCCAGTAACAACCCATGGAGATCTATGCTATTGGCCCCATTTAACAAAGAAAACAGGGTGCTCAGAGAAGTTGTTACCTGCCCAAGGACACACAGCTAGCAGAGCGAATGGACAGGTCAGGACCAGTTATTCAGCCTCTAGGAGCCATTACTAAGTCTCTGATCAACAAGGAAACAAGTTTCCCCCGGGGGTTTTTCCCACCCGCAGCTGAAACAAAGCCTCTTTCACCTGAGCCTCTCACTCAAAGGGAGGGACTCCCGAGGGGCAGGGGGCACTCAAGTCCAGGCCTGTCTATCCCTGGCCCCCCCACCCCAGGATTTTGTGCCCGCAGCCGCTTGGGGACTACCAGCAGCTGCTGACCATCGGCTTCGAGGAGCCCACGCCCACGCTGGCCACCGACCTGCTGGTGCAGATCCTCACGGGCCAGGCAGGCCAGGCCCGGCCTCCGAGCGCAGCCGGGCCTGCGGGGTGGGCAGCGCAGGGGTCTTGAACCTGGGGAAGAGGGTAGGAGCTGGAACTTGACAGTTCCAAACTCCAGAATAGGGGGCAGGGGAGGGGCTCACTCGTTCTCGCAGTGCAGCCCGGCCTCGCCTTCCAAAGGGCCAGGCCGAGCTGACCTGTCTGCACCGAGTCCGGCTTGGCCGTGGGGCCCTGAATGCGGACACGTCAGTTTTGTGTTAAATAAAAGAAAGAAAGAGGTCACAGGCTCAGCGTCCGCTGCGAATGCCGCGCCCCTCCCCCGGGGGATTGCCCCACCCACTCGCGTGGCCTTCTGGGAAATGTAGTCTTTTGAAAGAAGCCTGGAATTCGCCAATAGGCGGACGAGAGTTTGGCGCATGCGCATAGGCGCACATGAAGCAAAAAGGGAAGTGGTGCCCGTCAACACCGGAACCCAGAAAACTGCAAGTTTAGGGTACCGGGGAAATTCAACGTCCACTGGAGGAAGAGACTTAAGGCTACGCCCACTCCCATATTTTGACCCGGAAGTTATTTATTTTAGCGTAGAAGACTACTTTTCCCGACGCGCCCCAGGAAAGTGCCCTCGATCAGTTTCCTAAGGGCCCGAGTTAGACTTTTTTTTTCTCTTCCAGCTTTTGGGACTTGGGGGCCGGACAGGTCGTCGTCTTTCTTGGGGTATCCGGGGTGCGGACAAGGTGGGAGAGCCCTACGGTATCCAAGCTTAGGATCTCTCAGCCTCTCTCTAATCTCGGACTGGAGAGGAGACCCTGGCTGAGAGAAATGAACTCACCTGCTCAAAGCTCCTGCGAGCAAGTGGCGGACCTTGGACCTGAACCGGGTACTTGTGATCGCAACCCGGTACTTGTGGCCCGTTGCAAGGAGGAAGGGTGTCCTCCTGAGCCAGGTGTCACTCAGCTGCGGGTTATACCCCTTTAATCCAAGAGGGACCCTTTTGGTTCTCCTCCCCTCCCCTCCCCTCCCCCCGCCCCCGGCAGCATTTTCATAGAGGAGACACCCAGAGCCCTGCCCTTATTTATGATTTTGAGCAAAGCACCTACCTTCCAGTCCCTGGCACATAGTATTAGCCTCCATTTCCAGATGATAAAAAAGGACGTTAGAGGTGAAATGAATCAATATTGAATGCCAACACTAGTTTCGCTCTTGTCGCCCAGGCTGGAGTACAATGGCATGATCTCGGCTCACTGCAACCTCCGCTTCCCAGGCTCAAGTGATTTTCTTGCCTCAGCCCCACGAGTAGCTGGGATTACAGGCTGATGCCACCAGGCCCAGCTAGTTTTTGTATTTCTAGTAGAGACGGGGTTTCGCCATGTTGGCCAGGCTGGTCTCCAACTCCTGACCTCAGGTGATCCGCTCGCCTCTGCCTCCCAAAGTGCTGGGATTACAGGCGTGAGCCACCGCGCCCGGCCACTATTGCTCTTCCATGGGTATTTCTGGTGACAATTTCTGACTGCATCAAGGATGTTTTTTAGTCCACAGCTGTGGTCTGAATGACATCAAGGAAATCCTGATGCTCCCTGATACCGCTTTGAGGGAGTCCCTGTGAGTTTTCCTGTGGCTCTAAGATGTTTTTCGGGGGGAGGGAAGGGTCTTGCTCTGTCACCCAGGCTGGAGTGCAATGGCGCAATCCTGGAACCTCCAACTTCTGCAAACTCTAACTCCTGGGTTCAAGTGATCCTCCCACTTCGGCCTCCTAAGCAGCTGGGAGTACAGGCAGCGACGATGCCCCTATTTTATTATTATTATTATATTATTATTATTATTGTAGAGAAGGGGGGGGTTCTTCCTATGTTGACCAGGCTGGTCTCGAACTCCTGGCTTAAGCTATCCTCCCGCTTCGGCCTCCCAAAGTGCTGGGATTACAGGCATGAGCCACCCTGCCCGGCCTTTAAGATTCTTTAGACTCGTGGGGTCCAATGGAAATATCAAGTGAGCTGCAAACGCAAATCACGTATGTAGTTTCAAATTTTCTAGTAACCACATAAAAAAATTAAGAGGTTAGGGCCAGGCGCCGTGGCTCATGCCTATAATCCCAGCACTTTGGGAAGCTGAGGCAGGCGGATCACGAGGTCAGGAGATTGAGACCATCCTGGCTAACACGGTGAAACCCCGTCTCTACTAAAAATACAAAAAATTAGCCGGGCGTGGTGGCAGGCGCCTGTAGTCCCAGCCATTCGGGAGGCTGAGGCAGGAGAATGGCGTGAACCCGGGAGGTGGATCTTGCAGTGAGCCGAGATCGCACCACTGCATTCCAGCCTGGGTGACACAGCGAGACTCCGTCTCAAAAAAAAATAAAAAATAAAAAATTAAGAGGTTAGATTCATTTTCGTGATATTTTATTTAACCTGTTATACCCAAAATATTATTTCAATGTATAATCCATGTAAAAAAATTATTGAGGTATTTTCCTTTTTTGTACTGTCTTAGAAATCTTGGCCGGACATGGTGGCTCATGCCCATAATCCCAGCACTTTGGGAGGCCGAGACAGGTGGGTCACTTGAGGTCACGAGTTCGAGACCAGCCTGGCCAACATGGCAAAATCCTGTCTCTACTAAAAATGCAAAAAAAAAAAACAAAAAAAAAAAAGGTGGGTGTGGTGGTGGGCGCCTGTGATCCCAGCTATTCAAGAGGCTGAGCCAGGAGACTCGCTTAAATCTGGGAGATGGAGGTTGCAGTGAGCCGAGATCGCACCACTACACTCCAGCCTGCGCAACAGAGCGAGACTCCATCTGAAAAAAAAAAAAAAAAGCCAGATGCAGTGGCTCACACCTGTAATCCCAGCACTTTGGGAGGCCGAGGCAGGCAGATCATGAGGTCAGGAGTTTGAGACCAGCCTGGCCAACATGGCGAAACCCCATCTCTACTAAAACTACAAAAATTAGCCGGGCATGGTGGCAGGTGCTGGTAATCTCAGCTACTCTGGAGGCTGAGGCAGGAGAACCGCTTGAGCCCAGGAGATGGAGGTTGCAGTGAGCCGAGATCGTGCCATTGCACTCCAGCCTGGGCAACAAGAGCAAGACTCCATCTCAAAAAAAAAAAAAAAAAAAAAAAGGAAAAGAAATCTAGCATTTCACATTTACAACATATCTCAATTCAGACTAGCCACAAGCAGCTCTAGACGGTCTCCTTTAAGTCAAATCCACTGTCTCTTAAGACAGGGTTTCGGGTGGGTGGTGACAGTACAGTACTGGAAGGGGAAGGAAACAAGCTTTGTTTCCTGGGTCCTGTTGCTGAGCAGCTTTCTACACCCTTGATTCTCAAACTTCCTAGTGTGCATCAGAATCACATGGAGAGTTTGATCATTAAGTCTGGGATGAGACCCAAGAAAGTGCTTTTTTTTCTCTCTCTCTTTTTTTTTTTTGGTAGAGACTTTGTCTTGCTATATTGCCCACACTGGTCTTGAACTCCCAGACTCAAGCAATTATCCCACCTCAGCCTCCCAAAGTGCTGTGATTATAGGCATGAGCCACCACACCTGGCCCCTGGAAGGCGCATGTCTAGCAATTCCCCAAGCATTGCGGATACTGCTGGTCCTGGTGCCACTACATTGAGAACTGCTGGTTTATATTTACTTCATGGTTCTCAGACTCAGCTGTATATTGTAATCACCTGGGAGCTTCAAAAAATACTGATGTCAAGCCCTTCCCCCATTCTGATTTACTTGACATATGGGGGCCTCAGTTGAGTTTAATATTCAGAAAAGTTAGAGAATCCCTCATCTATACTTAAGTAGTCCTGTCCACTCTTTTTTTTTTGGAGATGGAGTCTCGCTCTGTCACCCAGGCTGGAGTACAGTGGTGCAATCTCAGGGCTCACTGCAACCTCTGCCTCCTGGGTTCAAGTGATTCTCCTGCCTCAGTCTCTTGAGTAGCTTGGACTACAGGCATGCGCCACCATGCCTGGCTAATTTCTTGATTTTTAGTAGAGATGGGGTTTCTCCATGTTGGCCAGGCTGATCTCGAACTCCTGACCTCAGGTGATCCACTCGCCTTAGCCTCCCAAAGTGCTGGGATTACAGGCATGAGCCACTGCACCAGGCCTAATTTTTGTATTTTTAGTGGAGATGGGTTTTCACCATGTTGGCCAGGCTGGTCTCAAACTCCTGACCTCAGGTGATCCACCCACCTTGGCCTCCCAAAGTGCTGGGATTACAGGCATGAGCCACCATGCCCGGCCCCTGTCCACTCATGACATACTTAGTTCTTGGCTCCCCTGCTGGAAATTAAGACCAGCCTCTAGGTGTTTCCATTTTCCACCTTCCCAGGCTCTCTCCGCCTTTCTCTACATAGCTCCCACAGTCACAGTGAAGTATGCTGAGGATGGGGTCACTGGGCTGAGGATGGGGTCAGCTGATGAGCCCTTCATGGGCTGAGCTGCTCTTGGGTGCAGCCTTGTATCAGCATGACCTCTCTGTATTTTATGCATATGGATTTCACTAGACATTTGATGCCCCTATACAAGAGACAGAGTTGGACAGAGCCAAGAATTTGTTTTTGTTTAAGACAGAGTTTCGCTCTGTCACCCAGGCTGGAGTGCAGTGACACGATCTCAAGAGCCAAGAGTTGAAACAGCGATTCTAAAATGTTCCTGGGTTGGGTGTGGTGGTTCACACCTGTAGTCCCAGCTACTCAGGAGGCTGAGGCAGGAGGATCACTTGAGCCCAGGAGATCAAGGTTACAGTAAGCTGTGATCATGCCACTGCACTGCAGCCTGCGTGACAGAACAAGACTTGTCTCCAAAATTGAAAACATTTTTAAATTTAAACTTCCTGGGTCTCCCCTTTTCTGGTCTTAGTGAATTTTTTTTTTTTCTTAGGTTACAGATCTCACTCTCACCCAGGCTGGAGTGCAGTGGTTCAATCATAGCTCACTGTAGCCTCAACCTCCCAGGCTCAGGCGATCTCCTGCTAAGCTTCCAGAGTAGCTGGGACCACAGGCACATGCCACCACACCCGGTTAATTTTTTGTAGAGATGGGGTGGGGCAGTGTCTCGCTATGTTGCCCAAGCTGGTCTTGAACTCCTGGGATCAAGCAATCCTCCTGCCTTGGCCTCCCAAAGTGCTAGAATTACAGGCATGAGTCACCATGTCTGGTCCTCAGTGCACTTCTTTTTTTTTTTTTTAATATGGAGTCTTGTTCTGTCACCCAGGCTAGAGTGCAGTGGTGCAATCTCGGGTCATTGCAACCTCCACCTCCCGGGTTCACGCCATTCTCCTGCCTCAGCCTCCTGAGTAGCTGGGACTACAGGCACCCACCACCACGCCCGGCTAATTTTTTTTTTTTTTTTTGTATTTTTAGTAGAGATGGGGTTTCACCATATTAGCCAGGATGGTCTTGATCTCCTGACCTCGTGATCCACCTGCTTTGGCCTCCCAAAGTGCTGGGATTACAGGCGTGAGCCACCGCGCCAGGCCCTCAGTGCACTTCTAAGACACTGTAAAAATAGTCCCAGAATGTTAACTGTGCAGATACAGTTTTAGAGACAATTTAGGGTGTTCACCCACCCTCTTGAACCCCCATCCAGGGGAGAGAAATTAACCAGAGCTTGCAAATTGACAGCCACAGGCCCTATTGCAAACAGTTGTTGCTTGCCAACTTCCTTCCTTCCTCTCCTCCCGCACAACTTTAAAAGTTTTTTCTAGGCAGGGCGCCTAGAAAAAACTGGGAGGCTGAGGCCGGCAGATCACTTGAGGCCAGGAGTTCAAGACCAGCCTGGACAACATGGTGAAAACCCATCTCTACTAAAAATACAATAAATTAGCCGGTGTGGTGATGTGCACCTGTAATTCCAGCTACTCGGGAGGCTTAGGCAGGAGAATTGCTTGAGCCCAGGAGGCAAAGGTTGTAGTGAGCTGAGATCGCACCACTGCACTCCAGCCTGGGTGACAGAGCAAAACTGTCTCAAAAAAAAAAAAAAGTTTTTCCTAAATAGTCACAATCATAAAAATGCAGATTTCTCTCTTAAAAGCCAGGTTTCAGTTGCCTTTTTTATTTTTTTGAGGCAGAGTCTCACTGTGTCACCCAGGCTGGAGTGCAGTGGCCCGTTCTTGGCTCACTGCAACCTCCGCCTCCTGGGTTCAAGTGATTCTCATGCCTCAGCCTCCTGAGTAGCTGGATTACAGACATGCACCACCACGCCCGGCTAATATTTTGTATTTTTAGTAGAGACGGGGTTTCACCGTGTTGGCCAGGCTCGTCTCCAATTCCTGGCCTCAACTGATCCACCCACGTCGGCCTCCCAAAGTGCTGGGATTACAGGCGTGAGCCACCGCGCCCGGCCACGGATGCTTTTGGAAAGCAGAAACTCTTGACCCAACACCACGAATGAGCACGTCTCATAGTGAGGACCCATGAGGTCAAGAAGAACGGTGATCATTAGGAACTAATAATGTTGAGAAGCCTGAACCCTCACCACCTCTTTTTTTTAGTAGCTATTGTTTACGTTCCCAGGGTAGGAACAGCCTCTTATCACCACTGTCTAGCCAGTGCCCAGCGCAGGGCACATCGTTGGCACCAATAAATGTTGACGAGGAAGCCTGGAAACGAGAGGGTGTGAACTCGGTAAGCGCGCCACATTTTGCGCCCGGGCCGCCAGGGGGCGGTAGGACCTGGGCCAGGCCGTGTCTGGCCGTGCCGGGGGAGGCGGGCAGCCCCAGAGCAGGGCGGTAAGGGCGCATTCCCGCATTCCGGCCCGCACCTCTTGGGGTTTTCTCGGGCCTCCCTCGGCCCGCCGTGCTCCCGCCCCACCCCAGACGAAGAGGACCCAGAAAAAAACAGGCTGCAGTGCCCTGAAAGAAGAGGCTTTATTGGGGGTGGGGGGAGTGGGGCAATCGAGGCGGTAACTCCGGCCCTCTTAACAGTCAAGGGAGAGGGTAGTTCAGTTTGCAATTAGGCAGAGAAGGGCTGGGCAGTTTCACTGGCGGAGTTGTGGGTGGTGGTCAGTTTCCCAATGGGGGACTGTAAGTTTTATAGAGGGGGCTGGTCAATTTCACAAAGGCAAGTCGATTTCATCTTCCCCAATGCAGAGAGCCGACCCTTCTCCAGGCCTAATGCTAGACGCCCCCCGCCCTGTTCCTCTGACGCGTACGTTACTTCCGGCCGGGGGTCCCAGCCTTTTCAAACCTCAAGGTTTGCGCTCCTCCTGGGGACAGAGGACCAGAAGGAAGGCCGGCCTCAGGGACCTGCGCACTGCATCCAGGCTCGGGGTGGCGGTTTGGGCCTCAAGACCACCGTCTCCTCTTCACCCCGGGGATGCGTCCCAGACTGAGTTCTGACCAGAGTGGCCCTCCAGGGAGGATGCACTTTTCCCCACCAAGCGTCCTGGCACCGGAGGGGTGGGGGGACCGACAAGCGCTAGAGGCACACGGGTAAGGGGGCTCCCACCTGCTCCAGGCCGTTCTCCGAGACCTTTCTGCGGGGGGGCCAGATCACCACCAACTTTCCGTCGCCCCTGCTCGCTGCGGGGGAAGGGGCGCTCAGCTCACCAGCTGGCGGCAGCCAGGATGAAAGGCCGGCCGCACCCCTTAAACACACACAGGCGTTCACCCTCCGCCTCCCCATGAAAGCCTCCATTCAACTCCAGGCACCCAGGAACCCGAGGGAGGAGGGAGGTGAACCCAGAATGGAGAAGCAGGAGCCCGAAAATTCAGAGGGAGGACCCAGGAGTGCCAGAACCCAGTCAGGGTTCCCTGGAACCCGACAAAAAGGAAGACATCTGGAATGCCCCCACCCCCGCGCAGCCTGGGTGGTGTGGATCAGAGAGTCCATCACTCCCGGTGGAGGGGTGGATCACAGCGAGTAATGGAGCTCCAGAAGGGGTAGGCAAGAGACAAAATTGAGAGGGGGTCTGGGAGCTTGGAGGGAGAGACCCCGAGAATCGGAGGGCCACAGGAGGGGCCACTGAAGTTGGGCAATCGGTGGGGGCGGCTGGAACCCTGGGGGTCCCGGCGTTGCTACGCCCGCGGCTTACCGGTGAGGCTCGGCGTAGGCTCCTTGAACTCCGCGGTGCCATAGACGCTGCGCCGCTGGCGCTGCAGTTCCTGCTCGCGCTCGCGCACGGCGCGCACCTCCTGCTCCAGCAGTGACGGAGTGAAAGGCGGCGGGGCGCTGCCCAGCACCCGGCACCCGCCCTGCACGGCCGAGCGCGGCCGTCCCCCAGGCTCTGGCAGCCTCTGCGGGCCCGCGCCGTCCCCCGCCCCCGCCGAGGAGCCGCTCCCCGCCGCGGCCTCGAAGAAGCGCTTGAGTTCGCCCAGCGGCTGCGGCGGCGACCGGGCGCGCGGCTCGGGGACCGCGGGGCGCGCCAGCGCCGCCTGCCGGTGGGCCTCCCGCTCGATGTCCCGCTGCATCTGCGCGCCCGCCCGCGCCCGCTCCAGGGCGCGCGGGAGCGCGGGGCCAGGACCCGGCAGGTTGAGCACCGGCCGCACGCGCAGCTCGACGAGTTCACGGCCTGCGCGGCCCGGGCTCAGGCCCCGGCTCCGGCGCAGGCTCTCCTCGCGTTCGCAGCTGCGGCGGATTTCGCGCTCGATGGGCGTCTCCATGAACCGCTCCTCCGGGGGACGCTGGGGAGCCTCGGGGCACGGCGGAAAACGCAGGTGGGGGGCTTCCGAGCCTGACCTGGAGGAGGAGGTCTTAGGGCCTGGAGGGGGATGCTGCCCCTGGACCTCCGCCCTTTGCGCTTCGGACGGCCCAGGGTCGTCTCTGCCTGGCTCAGGACTCTCAAAGCCCGCAGCTGTGGACAGCCCGGGGCTCTCTGCGTCCTGCTCGACTGATGGCTCGAGGACTTCGCTCTCTTGCTCCAGGATCTCCACGTCCTTTGCGGAGGGCTTGGGGACCTCGGTGTTCAGCTCCGCAGCAGCTCTGGGGCTTCGCTGTCTGGCCCTGGGGACTCCTGGCCCTCCTCTTCAGACGACCCCAGGGTTTCGTTCTCCGGCCGGTGGGGGCCTTCGTGTCCAGGGTTGGAAGCAGTTCGGAAGCCTCAGTTCCCAACCGGGGTTTTGATTCCCAGAGCGAGGACAGAGGGCACTGTGAGGCACCTGTGGCGGCAGTGGCGGCCGTGGGTTCCAAGGCGTCGCCCGCACCGGCGGCTTCTCTGACCCGCCTCTGGCCTCCAGGAACGGCCCCCGGGGGCAGGGCCGGGCACCGCCCCCGGCACCTGCCAGGAGGACTCCCGCCCCGCCCTGGCCCCGCCCTCGGGACAGGGGCGCCTCGGTGGGGCACTCAGTTTCATCAACTAGCGCGCCCAGTCACCTCAGGGCACGGGACTTCTTGGAAGAGGGCTTCCCTAGACCCGGCCCCGCTCTCTGGGGGGCCATTCTGGGTGCTGGGTTCTACTGAGCGCACCCTGGCACTTTTTCAGAGCCATGTCCCCGTCATCGTCCCGGAGACTGGGCCCAGCAGCGCGTCGGACTGGGGTTCTGAACCACTAGCCGCTTGGTGAGGTGTCCCCCGAAGCCGTATTTTCGGGACCCGGGCAGTCCCGCTTGGTCGTGCCAGCCGGCAGGCAGCGACTCCTCAGGCCCCTGGGCCCTCCCTCCGATCCAGCCTTGCAGCGCACAGCTCCGGCCCGAGGGGGCGCCAGGAGCCGCCTTACTGGCCGCTGGGGTCTCCCTACCAATGCTTGGGCTCAGCGAGGTTCCCAGCCGCGCACCACTGCCCCCACGCCAAGCCGAGAAGCGGCTTCCCCTCTCCTCCCGGAAAAATCCGGGAGGTGTCCGCTGCCAAGGGCACTCCCGGATTGAGGGAGGAGGGAGAGACGGACACAGTGCGCCGTGGGCGCAGCTTAGCGGTTGCAGTTGAAAGGCGGTCACCTTGGGCCCGGGCGCCTGGGGAGGCCCAGACAGGAAACAGGAGGCGTCCAGGGTAGGGGGAAAGAGCAGCTGGGGCCGGATCATGCGGTTCAAGGGCAGGATCGATGCCCTTGCGCGGGCCACCCTCCCCTAGGGACGTTTTCCACTTTCCCCCTAATGGAAGCAGACTCTTCCCAGAACCTGCCCCCAACCCCACCATTCTGGGGTGCCCAGAAGGAAAAATACAGTTACCGGCCGGGCATGGAGGCTCATGCCCGTGATGCCAGCACTTTGAGAGGCCGAGGCGGGAGGATCACCTGAGGTCAGCAGTTCGAAACCAGCCTGGCCAGCATGGCCAAACCCCGTCTCTACTAAAAATACAAAAAAAAAATTAGCCAGGCCTGGTGGTGGGCGCCTGTAATCCCAGCTACTCGGGAAGCTGAGGTGGGAGAATCACTTGAACCTGGGAGGTGGAGGTTACAGTGAGCCAAGATCGCGCCACTGCACTCTAGCCTAGGCAGCAAGAGCAAAACTCTGTCTCAAAATAAATAAATAAATAAATAAATAAATAAGCTGTATACTTCTGGGAAAAAGTTTTCTCTATAGCACCTTCCCCACTGCATCATCTCCTGGTCCTTCCTCCAGCCATGCCAACTGGGCTGGGTTCTTGGCCCCCTTTCACGGGAACATTTTTTTCTTTTTCTTTTTCTTTTCTTTCTTTCTTTTTTTTTTCTTTTTTTTTTTTTTTTTTTTTTTTGCCGGTCTCAGTCTTTAATCGTGGCAGGGCCTTACGCACGCGCACACATACACACACTCAGGCTTCAGATCTTGTTGAAAGCTGCGATATCGACACTCTGCACGTGCTCCTCAAATTTAGTGATCTCCTCCTCCAGCAAGTAAGTCCCCACCTTGTCGTCCTCCACCACACACTGAATCTGTAGCTTCCGGATACCGTAGCCCACGGGCATCAGCTTGGAGGTCCCCCAGACCAGCCCGTCCAGCTCGATAGAGCGCACACAGGCCTCCAGCTGGGCCATGTCCGTCTCATCGTCCCAAGGCTTGACATCCAGCAGGATGGAGGACTTGGCCACTAATGCAGGCTTCTTGGCCTTCTCCGCGTACTGCCGTAGCCGCTCCTCCCGCAGCTGTGCCGCCTCCTTGTCCTCCTCCTCATTGTCGCTGCCAAACAGGTCGATGTCATCATCCTCGTCATCCTCTGCTGGTGAGGCTGGCTTCTTGGCCGGGGACTCCACTTGGCGCATAGGAGACACGTGCTGGGTCTGCGGGGCCGTGGCCCGGTGGCCAGGCGAGCTCTTCTCCAGCACGTTCAGCTGGGCCTCCAGCTTGGAGATGGCCTGCTGCAGCTCCTGTACCACGCCACGCAGGCTCTGGTTCTCCACTTCCAGACTGGCGATCCGGACAACGAGCTCGCTGTGGTCTCCGCTGGGGCCACTGGAGGCCCCGGGGCCTGAGCTTCCAGCCAGGGATTTCTGGATGTTCTCTCTGGCTCTCACAATGTCATGGAGGATCACGCTGGCGCCGTTCTCCTGGCGGGAGGCACCTGCCACAGGCCTGTTCATCTGCTGATAGAATCTCCTTTCTGCGTCGTCATATTTGAACTTGTCAAACCAGATCTTCTCATGTGCTAGGAAGTTTGTAGCCATTTTTCTGACGCCAGCCAAGGACGCGGCGACCAAGGAGGAGGAATCGGCGGACGCGGGAAGATTGATGAAAGGGCTCTTTTTCTTTTTTGAGACGAAGTCTCACTCTGTTGCCCAGGCTGGAGTGCAGTGGTGTGATCTTGGCTCACTGCAACCTCCGCCTCCTGAGTTCAAGCGATTCTCCTGCTTCAGCCTCTGGAGTAGCTGGGATTATAGGCGTGTGCCACCACGCCCAGCTAATTTTTTTGTAGTTTTAGTAGAGACGGGGTTTCACCATGTTGGCCAGGCTGGTCTCGAACTCCTGACCTCATGATCTGCCCGCCTCAGCCTCCCAAAGTGCCAGGATTACAGGTATGAGCCACCGCGCCCGGCTTCTGGGAGCTTTTTCTGACAAGAGCACCTATGATGTCCGTTTGGCAGATTCAATCACTGACTTCATTCCCTGTCCTCCTCTTCATTAGCTCCTTGGTCTTTGGGTACACCACCCCCTCCTGATTTCCTTCTACTTCACAAGCACCCCTTCTCAGACTTCTGTTTCACCTTCCTTCCCCTCTGGCTTCCTTGGGGTCACCTGATGAAAGAGAGGAGAGTGAAGCCAAGGTGTTTATCCCAGCCAGGCACGGTGGCTCACACCTGTAATTTTAACACTTTGGGAGGCCGAGGCAGGAGGATTGCTTGAAACCAGCCTGGGTAATATAGGGAGACCCTGTCTCTGCAGAAAGGAAGAAAGAAAGAAAGAAGGAAAGAGAGAAAGAAAGGGAGGGAGGGAGGGAGGGAAAGAAGGAAGGAAGGAGGGAAGGAATGAAGGAAAGAAGACATTTTTTAAAATTAGCTGGGTATGGTGGTTTGTGTCTGTAGGCCCAGGCACTTGGGAGCCTGAGGTGGGAGGATCATTTGAGCCTAGGAGTTTGAGGCCGCAGTAAGCTATAATAATGCCAATACACTCCAGCCTGGGTGACAGAGAAAGACCCTGTCTCTAAATAAATAAATAAATAAAATAACACTAAAAAAAGATGTTTAGCTGGGCACAGTGGTTCACACCTGTAATCCCAACACTTTGGGAGGCTGAGGCGGGCAGATGGCTTGAGCCCCAGGAGTTCAAGACCAGCCTGGGTAACGTAGTGAGACCCCATCTCTACAAAAAATGCAAAAATTAGCAGCATGTTGGTGGTGTGTGCCTACAGTCCCAGCTACTCAGGAGGCTGAGGTGGGAGGATCACCTGAGCCCAGGGAGATCAAGGCTGCAGTGAGCTGTGATCACACCACTGCACTCTAGCCTGAGCAACAGAGTAAGACTCTGTCTCAAAAAAAAAAAAAAAAAAAAAATTGGCCACGCACAGTGGCTCATGCCTGTAATCCCAGTGCTTTGAGAGGCCGAGGCAGGTGGATCACCTGAGGTCAGGAGTTCGAGACTAGCCTGGCCAATATGGCGAAAACCCATTTCTACTAAGAATACTAAAAATTAGCCAGGTGTGGTGGCGGGCACCTGTAATCCCAGCTACTTGGGAGACTGAGGCAGGAGAATTGCTTGAACCTGGGAGATGGAGGTTGTAGTGAGCCGAGATCGCACCATTGCACTCCAGCCTGGGCGACAGAGTGAGACTCTGTCTCAAAAAAAAAAGAAAAAGTTTATCCCGTGTCCCCTACCTCCAAGCCCCATTGGTGACATCCCTCTGCTACAGGCAGTAGCTCTACACAGCTCTCTCCAGGGCAAAGAGGTGGTCACAGCTGCCAGGCGTTGCTAACCCAGGGCGTCTATACTGTGCCTTGATGGTTTCCCCTCCAGCTTTATAAACTGGGTTCTATTAAGTTCTCATCAACCACCGTGTTCAAGTGCACAATCTTTTTTTTTTTTTTTGAGACGGAGTTTCGCTTTTGTTGCCCAGGCTGGAGTGCAATGGTGCGTTCTCGGTTCACTGCAACCTTTGCCTCTTGGGGTTCGAGCGATTCTCCTGCCTCAGCCTCCCAAGTACCTGGGATTACAGGCATGTGCCAGCACGCCCACCTAATTTTTTGTATTTTTAGTAGAGACGGGGTTTTACCATGGCCAGGCCGGTCTTGAACTTGTTACCTCAGGTGATCCGCCTGCCTCAGCCTCCCAGAGTGCTGGGATTACAGGCATGAGCCACCGTGCCCAGACTTTTTTTTTTTTTTTTTTTTTTTTTTTGAGAAGGAGTCTTGTTCTGTTGCCCAGGCTGGAGGGCAGTGGCACAATCTTGGGTCACTGCAACCTCCACCTCCTGGGTTCAAGCAATTCTCTGCCTCAGCCTCCCGAGTAGCTGGGATTACAGGCACCCACCACCACGCCCAGCTAATTTTGTATTTTTAGTAGAGACAGGGTTTCACCATCTTGGCCAGGCTGGTCTTGAACTCCTAACCTCATGATCCACTCGCCTCAGCCTCCCAAAGTGCTAGGATTACAGACGTGAGCCACTGCCCCCAGCCTCAAGTGCACAATCTTTCCTATTGGGACTCAGGCTCTGACAAATTTCAATCTCATGTTTTAAACATCTAGGCTGGGCTGGGCACAGTGGCTCAAGCCTGTAATCCCAGCACTTTGGGAGGCGGAGGTGGTGGATCACTTGAGGTCAGGAGTTCGAGACCAGCCTGGCCAACGTGGTGGAACCCCGTCTCTACTAAAAATACAAAAAAATTTAGGTGGGCGTGATGGTGTGGGCCTGCTACTCAGGAGGCTGAGGCAGGAGAATCCCTTGAACTTGTGAGGCAGAGGTTGCAGTGAGCCGAGATCGTGCCACTGAACTCCAGCCTGGGTGACAGAGTGAGACTCAGTCTCAAAAAAAAAAATCTACGCTGGGTGCAGTGGCTCACGCCTGTAATCCCAGTGCTTTGGGAGGCTGTGGCAGGAGGATCACTTGAGGCAAGGAGTTTGAGACCAACCTGGGCAACGTGGCAAGTGGTGAGACTCCACTTCTAATATATATATAATATATTATAAAATATCTATAATATATAATATTATATAATTATATAATATATTAATATAGAAATATAAATATTATATATATATTTATATATATAATATATAATATATAATACATTAATATATAATATATAATACATTAATATATTATATATAATATATGTATTATATTATTATTTTTTATATTTATTAATTTATTAATAATATATCAACAATAAATTATTAATAAATTAATAATATATTTATATTTATTATTATATTATGTATTTATTATTATATATTATTAATATATTATATATAATATATTTATAGACATTATTATAATATATAAATAAATATATTATTATATATAATATATAATACATTATATATAATATATTTATATATAATATATTAATATATATAATATATTAATATATTATATATATATAATCTTTATGCTGATGTCTCCCAAATTTATATCTCTAACTCTAACTGCTCCGCTAGGCTTTGGACTCATATCTAGCAGTCTCCGGTCTAATAGACATTTCAGACTGAACACTTCCAAAACCACATTCTTGGTTCTTCCAACCCTACTCCTCCTCACCATGTGTGTCAATTTCACCCATTCAGTTTTTCGTGCCAAAAAGTACCCCAGGAGTCAGCCTTAATTTCTTTCTTTAGCCACCCTCCAATTCATCAGCAAACTCTCTTGACTCCACCTCCAAACAGATTTTGGATTCATCCACTTCTCTCCATCCTTGTTCCTTCCAGCCACCTCCTCCCTCTCAAAGGTTCCCATCAAGCCACGCACAGTGGCTTGCTCATAATCCTAGCTACCCTGGAGGCTCAGGCGGGAGGATGGCTTGAGCCTAGGAGTTCAAGAACAGCCTGGACAACATAGTAAGACACCATCTCTAAAACAATAATAATAATACAAATAAAACAAAGGCTCCCACCAAATTTAGAATAAAAATACGAATTCTCTACCTTGCCCCAGCAGGCCCTGCCCACTTCTCAGGTCATATCTTCTCACACTGTCACCTTGTGTCACTTCATTTCAGCTTCGTACTTCCCTTAACCCCTCCCCCAACTGCATTCCCACCTCAGGGTCTTTGCACTGCTGTTTTCTCTGCTTGAAATGACAGTCACATGGCTGGTTCCTCTATTCAGGTCTCACCTCAAATGTCACTTCTTCAGGGAAGTGGTCTCTGATAACCCAGCCTACAAGAGCACTCCTTCTTTAGCCCCATTTCAGGTATTCTCAATAACTCACCCCCAATTGCAGTTGCCACCAATTGCTTTCATTTTTATTTTATTCTTTTTTTTTTTTTTTTTTTTTTTTTGACAAAAAGTCTCACTCTGCCAACCAGGCTGGAGTTCAGTGGCGCGATCTTGGCTCACTGCAATCTCTGCCTCCAGGATTCAAGCAATTCTTCTGCCACAGCCTCCCGAGTAGCTGGAATTACTGGTGGCACCACCGCGGCTGGCTTATTTTTCTATTTTTAGTGGAGACGGGGTTTCACCACGTTGGCCAGGCTGGTCTTGAACTCCTGACCTCATGATCCACCCACCTCGGCCTCCCGATGTGCTGGGATTACAGGCATGAGCCACCGCGCCCAGCCTTCTTCTTCTTCTTCTTTTTTTGAGAGGGAGTCTCGCTTTGTCACCCAGGCTAGAGTGCAGTGGCATGATCTCGGCTCACTGCAAGCTCTGCCTCCCGGGTTCATGCCATTCTCCTGCCTCAGCCTCCCATGTAGCTGGGACTACAGGTGCCCGCCACCATGCCTGGATAATTTCTTTTTTTTTTTGTATTTTTTAGTAGAGACAGGGTTTCACCATGTTAGCCAGGATGGTCTCGATCTCCTGACCTCATGATCTGCCTGCCTCGGCCTCCCAAAGTGCTGGGATTACAGGCGTGAGCCACCGTGCCTGGCCCCAGCCTTCTTTTTATTATTTTTTTTTTTTGAGAAGGAGTCTTGCTCTGTTGCCCAGGCTGGAGTGCAGTAGCACCATCTCGGCTCACTGCAACCTCTGCCTCTCAGGTTCAAGCAATTCTCCTGTCTCAGCCTCCTGAGTAGCTGGGATTACAGGTGCATGGCCGGCTAATTTTTTGTATTTTTAGTAGAGTCGGGGGTTTCGCCATGTTGGCTAGGCTGGTCTCGAACTCCTGACCTAAGGTGATTTGCCTGCTCGGGCTTCCAAAGTGCTGGGTTTACAGGCATGAGCCACCAGACCCGGCACCAATTGCTTTTATATTTCTTTCTATTTGTGTATTATCTGTCTCTCTCCCCATACGAGAAAGTGAGCTGCATAATAGCATTTTCTGTTTGTCTAGTTCATCTCTATACCCAATGCCCCCATGCCTAGAATAATGCCTTATTATTATTATTATTTGAGATAGGGTCTTGCTCTGTCACCTAGGCTGGAGTGCAGTGGCGTGATTACAACTCACTGCAGCCTCAACCTCCTGGGCTTAAGCAATCCTCCTGCCTCCGCCTCCCGAGTAGTTGGAATTACAGGCATGAGCCACCATGCCTGGCTCCAACATCTAAATATTTAACAGTTATAAAATCAATCTACAAACAATTAAATAGGCTGGATGTGGTGGCTCACATCTGTAATCCCAGCACTTTGGGGGGTGGATCACTTGAGGTCAGGAGTTCAAGACCAGCTTGGCCAATATGGTGAAACCCGCCTCTACTAAAAACACAAAAAATAGCCAGGCATGGTGGCGCATGCCTGTAATCCCAGCTACTCAGGAGTCTGAGGCAGGAGAATCACTTGAACCTGGGGGGCAGAGGTTGCAGTGAGCCAAGATCGCACCACTGCACTCCAGTCCAGCCTGGGTGACACAGTGAGACTGTCTCAAATAAATAAATAAATAATAAATAGAATATTTTATTTCCTCCAAAAGGTGGAAATAACTCAAATGTCTATCAATGGATAAATGGATCAGCAAAATATAGTATACTCATATGATGAAATATTATTCAGCCATAAAAAAGGAATTAAGGGGGCTGGGCACGGTGGCTCATGCCTGTAATCCCAGCACTTTGGGAGGCCGAGGCGGGTGGATCACGAGGTCAGGAGATTGAGACCATCCTGGCTAACACAGTGAAACCCCGTCTCTACTAAAAATACAAAAATTAGCCAGGTGTGTTGGCGGGCGCCTGTAGTCCCAGCTACTTGGGAGGCTGAGGCAGGAGAATGGTGTGAACCCGGGAGGCGGAGCTTGCAGTGAGCCTAGATTGCACCACTGCACTCCAGCCTGGGCAACAGAGCGAGACTCCGTCTCAAAAAAAAAAAAAAAAGAATTAAGGAACGATAAATACACGCTACATGGATGAAATTTTAAAACGTGATGCTGAGTGAAAGAAGCCAAACACAAAAGACCACATAGTGTGTGAGTCTTTTGTTTGTTTGTTTGTTGAGACCGAGTTTCGCTCTTGTTGCCCAGGCTGGAGTGCAATGGCGTGATCTCGGCTCATCGCAACCTCCGCCTCCCGGGTTCAAGTGATTCTCCTGCCTCAGCCTCCCAAGTAGCTGAGATTACAGGTATGCACCACCATGCCTGGCTAATTTTGTATTTTTAGTAGAGATAGGGTTTCTCCATGTTGGTCAGGCTGGTCTTGAACTCCTGACCTCAGGTAATCCGCCCACCTCAGCCTCCCAAAATGCTGGGATTACAGGCATGAGCCACTGCGCCCGGCCTGTGAGTCCATTTTTATAGAACTATCCAGAATAGTCCGGGCACAGTGGCTGACGCCTGTAATCCCAGCAGTTTGGGAGGCCAAGGAGGATGGATCACCTGAGGTCAGAAGTTCAAGACCAGCCTGGCCAACATGGTGAAACCCTGTCTCTACAAGAATACAAAAATTAGCTGGGCGTGATGGCGGGTGCCTGTAATCCCAGCTACTTGGGAGGCTGAGGCAGGAAAATTGCTTGAACCCAGCAGGTGGAGGTTGCAGTGAGCCAAGATTGTGCCCATCGCACTCTAGCCTGGGCGATAGAGTGAGGCTCCATCTAAAAAAACAAACAAACAAAAAAGAAAAACAAAAAGTCCAGAATAGGCAAATCCATAGAGATGGACACAGATTGGTGGTTGCCAGGCACGGGAGGCAGGGGAATGAGTAGTGATCACTTCCTTTTGGGTTGATGAAAATATTCTGAACCAGTGGTGAGGATTGCATAATATTGTGAACATACTAAATGCCACTAATGGTAAATTTTGTTATGTGTATTTTACCACGATCAAAAAGTAATTTTTTTTTTTCAGACGGAGTCTTGCTCCGTCACCCAGGCTGGAGTGCAGTGGCATGATCTCAGCTCCCTGCAATCTCCGCCTCCTGGGTACAAGCAATTCTCCTGCCTCAACCTCCCGAGTAGCTAGGACTACAGGTGTGCCACCACACCTGGCTAATGTGTATCTTTAGCAGAGGCAGGCTTTCTCCATGTTGGCCAGGCTGGTCTCAAACTCCTGACCTCGTGATCCGCCCACCTCGGCCTCCCAAAGTGCTGGGATTACAGGCGTGAGCCACCGTGCCTGGCTCAAAAAGTAATTTTTTTTTTTTTAGACAGAGTTTTGCTCTTGTTGCCCAGGCTGGAGTGCAATGGTGCGATCTTGGCTAACTGCAACCTCTGCCACCTGGGTTCAAGTGATTCTTCTGCCTCAGCCTCCCAAGTAGCGGAGGTTACAGGCATGCACCACCATGCCCGGCTAAGTTTTTTTTTGTATTTAGCAGAGACGGGGTTTCACCATGTTGGTCAGACCAGTCTCGAACTCCGCCCTCAGGTGATCCACCCACCTGGGCCTCCCAAAGTGCTAGGATTACACATATGCACCACTGTGCCTGTTCTTAAAAAATAATTTTAAAAAATGTTATCTGCCAGATGTGGTGGCTCATGCCTGTAATCCCAGCACTTTGAGAAGCCGAGGAGGGAGGATTGTTTGCGCCCCGGAGTCTGAAACTGCAGTGAGCTATGATCGCACTACTACATTTTAGCCTGGGCAACAGAGTGAGACCCCCATCTCTAAAAAAATAAAACAGTCTCCAGCCTGTGTGCTATGCAATGGTGCTCTCCTGTGGGTGAGTCTTGGCAGGCAGTCAGACTCAAGATGATTGGGGTGCCAAGTAGAAATGCCATTCTCTGGTGGCAGGGGGAGTCACCGACTCAGTACTCTCACCCCCACGCTTGACCACGCGTGTGTGAAAGTGTTTTCCGGGAGGCAGCTGAGTGCAACAAAGAGGCCAGAGGCTGGTGAATAATTTATCAGGACAGCTGATAGTACCTCCCCAGAACTGCCCTCCAGCCCCCAGCCCCCCTCTCTGGTGTGCCTACCGCCTCCCTGGCCCAAACCCGCTGGACCTGCTCTCCCGGTGCCCGCCCGCAGCCCCCCCCCACTCCAGGCAGCCAAGTCACAGCCTCCGGGGCACCTTCAGGCAAGCGGGTGGTGGGTCCAGAACTCGGAGACCAGAAAGTGAACTTCTGGGCAGAGATGGCCCTGCAGAGCCAGGTGTGGTCTCTGGCCACACCCATGTAAGTGTCTGGGGGGTCAGGGGGGCTGGTGGGCAGGGCCTTGGGAGGGGCTCATGGGGGATGCTGGCCTTGTCTGGGAGCCGAGAGCTCCAGTGGTCTCTCCTAAGGGGACCCGGGGAGTGGAGGGGTTGGCTAGCCAACCCCATAGGCTCATCAGTGTCACCCTTCCTTAAAGAGTCAAGGGGTGGGAGAGAGATATAGGCTCCCCCTGCCCCTTCCTCTTCGGGGATTTTCCGCTGCCAGGGCTGAGAACCCAAAGTCCAGCCAGGGGGTGGGGCTACTGCTGTGGTGCAGGGAGTGGGGAAGGTCAGGGTCACTGGGTTCCACGTTTTGCCCCTAAAGTCAGTGTCCAAGGTGGGAGAAAAGGCTTGAGATCCAACAGAAGTTAAAAGCTCCCAGCCTGAGAAAGACAATGGCAACATTGCAAGGATGACCTCCTTCATGAAATGGCCACCAACTCTTGCGGGTGGCCAGAAGCCCAGGCCGCCTACGTTGTTCTTCCAGAGTTAGTTAGAGATAAGCAAGATGGAATGGGGTGTGTGAAGTCTTTTCATAGCTGAGGGGTGAGAGTTTTTTAAGGTTAAAAGGGTAGAGGGGGCTTCAGAGGTTTGGAAAGAGTTTTGGAAAAGGGGCTTCCCCCCACACTAGGGACCCCAATTCGGTTCCTCACCCTTCTAGGTCCTCCATTGCATTATTCACCAACTACAAACCTGGTTGCTTAGCAATGGGAACCCGATCCCCCCCAGCAAGGAAGAGGCAGGGAGATTACATCTTGGGGGTGGTACAGGAGACCACGGGACTTCAGCCCTCCCCCAGGGGCAAACCTATAAGCACAGAATCTGGGCTTCCTTTGGGATATCTTGCAAAGCATGACTTCGTGGCCGGGCACGGTGGCTCACGCCTGTAATCCCAGCACTTTGGGAGGCCGAGGCGGGCAGATCACCTGAGGTCAGGAGTTCGAGACCAGCCTGGCCAGTATGGTGAAACCCCATCTGTACTAAAAATACAAAAATTAGCCGGGCTTGGTGGTGCACGCCTGTAATCTCAGCTACTCAGGAGGCTGAGGCAGGAGAATCACTTGAACCCAGGAAGCGGGGGTTGCAGTGAGCTGAGATTGAGCCATTGCACTCCAGCCTGGGTGACAGAGCGAGACTCCGACTCAAAAAAAGAAAGAGCATGACTTCAATTCCTTGCCCCAAACAGCATTCAGGGTCTCCAGGCTGCTCTCTTAGCTACCTTGATGGGGATTCCTAGACCTGCACCCCCACCCCCCTCGCCAGCTGTGTTCTCAGTATTTTGGATCTGATAGCTTCAAGTTCTGATCTTGGCTCCATGACCTTGGACACTGCTGCCACTTCTCAGAACCTCAGTTTTCCCATCCATAAAATGGACACATTCATATAGCTTACCTCCTAGAGTCGTTGGGAGGATTCAGTGAATTACATTGCACCTGGCACGTGTTACGGGCTAGCTAATGGTTGGCTGATTTTGTTCTTAGCTGGAATGTCAACTCAGCAAAGAGTTGACTCCACTGTGTCATGATAGAGGCAGGGAGGGGGAGGCAGAGGTGGCTGTGGGAACCTAGCGGAAACCCCGTGGGGCACTTAGAACACTATATGCTATATATAGTATATATATATCATATATATAGCACTATAAGTGCTAATAGCCTTCACGTTGTGGCCACAGAAGATCTGGAAGGTCCTAGCTGGAGTTCAGGCAATGAGGCTTACCCAGTAGGGTGACTGTTCAAATTAATAAATGTTTGAGGGTTTGATCAGCGCCCGTCCATGCCGGTGGAGATGACAGGCAGAGAGACATCGCTTTCTAGATACTGGCCTGTGACACGTGGTCAACATAGCAACATAGTCAGGGGTGCCCAATGCATGTCTGTGTTGATAAGGTTGGTGTGACACTGACTGTCCCTAATCATCCTGCAGTATGACAGTCACCCTCCAGCTTCCACGGGAGCCTAAGTGGGTCCAGAGGCCACTCTGGAGGCTGAGAAGTAGAGATGTTTTGAGGAAGACAATGACAGGGGAATCTCGAGTTAAACCTTAAATGGCAAGTCCCCCTCCTCCCAGCTCAGAGTCCAGTCCTAGGCAGAGTGACCCAGTGATCCTTGTCCCCAGGGAGGGGGGTTAGCAGGTGGAGGAGGCAGCTCTGGGGTTACCATGGCAACAGTGGGAGGGCCACAGACTCGCTTGCCCCCCCAGCGCTTGAGAAATTCTGGGTAGGAGCTGAGGTCCAGAGAGGGTGTGGGACTGGGAAGAGAAAGAGGCACACAGCCTGTTAGGGGCCTGGTGGCATTTGAGAGTTTCTGCAGGTTGGACTGGAGATGGTTATTATAATTAATCATACATATTATTCATCATGGAATTATATAAATTATGATTATTCATAAACAATGGGACTATTTTTGTAGCACTGTACCCTAAGCTTTTCCCTGCATGAATAGCTCCTTGCAAGCGTCCTCTGAGATCGGGGGTGGCAAGGACAGGGTGGTCAAGCTATTCCTGCCCATCTTACAGATGAGGAAACTGAGGCTGAGAGAGACAAAGCCAGATTTAGGGAGGGCTTTAGCCTCACCAGTCGTGGTCACTGCTCAGTTCCCCTCCCAAGACCCTCGCCCCCCGCCCAGACTCTTCCCAGGTGCAAAGGGGAAACAGAGGCAAAGTGCTGGGCTCGGGGCAATTTCCATACTGCTCAGGGATCTTGGCCAAGAGGGGGGCGTTCAAGATGGGAGCCCCTCGAAGCCCCTGCCCTCTCCCAACAGGCCCATGGCGGAGAGCTCCCTCTACCGGCAGCGGCTAGAAGTCATCGCTGTAAGTGACGCCCTCCCCGCGCCCTGGGCACCCCCAAACTTTCCACCATGCTCCCTTCTCGTCTCTCCGTCATCTCTGCGGAGAGCGCCCTCAGCTCCAGCCCCGCCCAGGGCTCCCCACACCAATTCTCCAGCCCCCTCTGCCCCCCAGTTCCTGTCTGGTCACTACCACCCTCAGAATGGGGAGCTGTGGCCCCCACACTTCCAGAGCCTGCATCGGCTATGCCTCATTCCTGAACCCCAGCCTCCCAAAAACCCCATGCCTGAGCCGCATCTCTCGGACCGCCTTTTATCAGACCGCTATCTCTCAAATCTCCCTACCTCGGAGCCCCCATCCTGACAGTCCTTCCTTGGGAACTTTCATCCCTGACTTCCTCGTCTCTCTGGACTCCCCCATCTCTGGGTCTCTACCACTCTGATCCTATCTCTGTCCTGCATCCTTCCCTCCTCCATCTCCCTGAACCCCAACTTTCCGCACGCACTTACATACCCCATCTATCCATACCTCCACCTCTGTACCCCATATTTCTGACCCCTATCTCTGTATCCCATCTCCCTGATCCCCACCTCTACACCTCAGTATCTCTGGACCCCGTGGCTGCACTCCCATCTCACTACTCACTAGCATCCTCCTTTTGATCCCCATCTCTGCACCCCATCTCTCCGGACCCCCATGGCTGCACCCCCATTTTGGATCCCCATCTCACTAGCACCCTCCTTTTTATTCCCCATCTATGGAACCCCATCTCCCTGCACCCCATCTCTCTATACCCCACTTCTGTACCCTATCTCTTCGCACTCAACTTCTATACCCCACCTATCTGCACCCCACTTCTGTACCCCATCTCACTGTACCCCACTTCTGTACCCCATCTCTCTGCACCCCCACCTCTGCACCCCATCTCTCTAGATTCCATGTCTACACTCCATTACTCTGGGCTCCCATGGCTGCATCCCCATTTCGGACCCCCATCTCACTAGCACCCTCCCCTCCTTTTTTCTTTTTTTGAGACGGAGTCTCGCTCTGTCGCCCAGGCTGGAGTGCAGTGGCGCGATCTCCGCTCACTGCAACCTGCGCCTCCCGAGTTCAAGAGATTCTCCCGCCTCAGCCTCCCCGGTAGCTGGGATTACAGGCGCCTGCTACCACGCCCAGCTAATTTTTGTATTTTTAGTAGAGCCGGGTTTTCACCATGTTGGCCAGGGTAGGCTAGAACTCCTGACCTCAAGCGATCTGTCCGCCTCGGTCTCCCAAAGTCCTGGGATTACAGGCGTGAGCCACCGCGTACGGCCGCACCCTCCCTTTGATCCCCATTTCTCTTAACCTCGTATCTCGGAGCTCCCCAGCTCTGCCCCTCCCCCGATAGCTGTCCCAAGGCCCCACCCCCTACACCCCCCATCCACAGACCCCCATTGGGCGCGGGCGAGGCCTCCGCAGCATCCCGGGCGCGGCCGGCCCCGCCCCCGCCCCGCCCCCCCCACTCCGCCCGCCGCTGAGTCAGCGCCTCCGCAGCCCCCTCCCCGCCCTGGGTGCAGACCCGCGCTGGGCCACCCCCGCCGGGCTCGCTGCCTCGGGAGCCCCGGGAGCTCCGGTGAGCCCCGCGGAGGAGGGAGGGGAAAGGGAGGGAAGAGGAGGTGGTGGAGGCCGCGCCCGGCCGGCGGGCAGCTCCGGGTCCTCTGTGCGCAGGAGAAGCGGCGGCTGCAGGAGGAGATCCGCGCCGCGCGCCGGGAGGTGGAGGAGGAGAAACTCCGCGTGGAGCGTCTCAAGGTTGGGGGCGGGCGGGGGCGCCTGCCTAGCCTGGGGAATGGAGTGGGGGGTGTCTGTGCAAGTCGGTTTGGGGGACGATAGGAGCCTCTGTCCAATTTTTGGGGGGGAGCGGGCAGTTGGGGGCGTTGGTTCCAGCTTGGCCGGGGCGGGGTATGTCTTTCCCAGCCTGGGAGGGACGAAGTGGGGTGGTCATGGGGACATTTGTTCCATTTGGGGAAAAGTCTGGGACAGTGATGCTGTTTGTCCCAATTTGGGGGAGATGGAGAGGAGCCGAAGTCTAGCTTTGGGGTAGGGAGGGGCCAGTAGGGAGGGACATTGATTTCACTTTGGAAGTGCCCGTTTCATTTTGGAAGGGTTTGGAACAAGGGATGTCTGCCCACTTGCAGCGTTGGGGGGCACTGTGGCCATGTATCCCAGCCTGATGTATGTCGCAACTGGTTGTGAGGTGGTGATAAGATACCTGCCCAGCCTGCAGAGGTCGGGAGGGGACTTTACATGGACCGGGGTAGTCTGTATGCCCAGCCCCAACTCCCTTCCCCTGCCCAGAGGAAGTCTCTCCGGGAACGTTGGCTAATGGATGGGGCAGCTGCAGTGCCAGAGCCATCCGAAGACCCCACCTCGAAGGACCCCCAGTCACCCGAGGGCCAGGCTCAGGCCCGAATCCGGAACCTGGAAGACAGTTTGTTCACGTGAGTGGAGACCTTCTAGCTCTGCCCGAACCCTGCCCCAGCTGGGTGAGATCGAGACCCTGGGCACATTCCAAGGAGGTGGTCGCTTGAGTCTAGGAGCCCAAGGAGCCTGGGGGCCCAGCTCCTAGCAGCCCTCTCTCTTCTTCAGACTCCAGTCCCAGCTGCAACTGTTGCAAAGTGCTTCCACAGGTGCCCAGCACAAGCCCTCAGGCAGGCCCAGCTGGCGCAGACAGGTGAGGGGGGAATCAGGGGAGTGGGATGGGAGGGCATGGCCAGCAGGCCTCAAGGCAGGACATGGAATCAGGAATGCAGCTTTCTCCAAGGGCAGCCTGGCCACTAGGTCTGCATTCAGATCCGCTTCCCGCTTTTACTTTGCTCTGTGGTCTTGGCAAGTCAATTTCCTTTTCCAAGCCTTAGTTTTCCCATCTCTAAAATGGGAATAACAACAGTATAGGCCAGGCATGGTGGCTCACGCCTGTAATCCCAGAACTTTGGGAGGCCGAGGTGGGCGGATCACTTAAGGTTAGGAATTGGAGACCAGCCTGGCCAACATGGTGAAACCCCATCTCTACTAAAAACACAAAAATTAGCTCGGTATGGTGGTGTGTCCCTGTAGTCCCAGCTACTGGGGAGGTTGAGGTAGGAGAATCACTTGAACCCTGGAGACAGAGGTTGCAGTGAGCTGAGATCACACCACTGCACTCCAGCCTGGGCAACAGAGTGAGACTCTGTCTCAAACAAAAATTAGCTGGGCATGCTGGCAGGTGCCTGTAGTCCCAGCTACTAGGGAGGCTGAGACAGGGAAATCGTTTGAAACCAGGAGGCGAACGTTGCAGTGAGCCGAGATTACGCCACTGCACTCCAGCCTGGGCGACACAGCAAGACTCCATCTCAAAAAAAAAATTAATTTGTATTTATGTTGATTGGAATGTAAGTGCCAAAAACAAAAGGCTTAAGTGTCCCTTGTGCATGGTAACCAGTAACTGACAAAGTAGGCCCCTAATACAGATTGGCTATGGGAATGCAGTATTGTTTAAGCACCTACTGTGTGCAAGGCCCTGGAACATAGGGCAATAAGATAGATGAGGAAGGCAGAGGTACAATGTGGAGTTTGATCCTGAAGGTAATAGAGAGCCACTGAGGGTATTTAGGGGTGGTGGGGTGGGAGCCTAGCATGCAGGGAGGCTGGAGGTGGGGATGAGGGCCAGCCTGACCTTGTCTCCGCCATCTCTGCAGGGTCACCGTCCTCTCTCCCAGTCCATTGTCGAGGCAGGTTCTGTAGGTAAGTGTGGGAGCCCCTAGGTCTGGGGGTCAGGTCACCCCAGAGCCTGGGTGTGAGAGGGTGACTCAAGGGGAGTGTGGATGGCAGTCCTTTTGTTCCATCTTAACCCTGTCTTCCCTTTTGTCCTCTCCCCTCCACCTCTGACTCCCCCAGGCCAGACTGATCTGAACAAGAGAGCCTCCCTGCCGGCTGGACTAGTGGGCACGCCTCCAGAGTCCCCCTCTGAGCCCAGGGAGGATGTCTTGGGGTTTCTGCCAGGCCCGAGGCAGGTCCCCGGGGCAGCAGGAGACTCCTCAGAAGCCAATGGCCCATGCCCCAGCCCCATCCCCACTCCAGAGCAGGGGCTAAGTCAGAGGGCAGTGCCATCCGAAGGGCGGGTGGGTGAGGCCAAAGGAGGGGGCGTGGTGAGTGTGGTGTGGGAAGGGCTGAGGGCCACAGAGGACTGTGCCACAGGGGCCACGGGCCCCGAGCTGGAGGCTAAGGTGGAGGAAGTGGTGCTGGAAGCCATCGGAGACAGGAAGGGAGCTGGTAGCCTGGAGCTCCCGGCCTGGGTGAAGGAGGACAGGGGCATCGTGGAGGTGGTCTGGGAGGGGGTGGGTGGCAGTGATGCAGAGGCCATGGGGGAGATAGGCAGGGTCCCTGAGGTCGTGCAGACTAGCTCGCCTAGGCTCCAGGAGAGATTAGAGGCAGCAGCTTCCATAGAAGGGGAAGATGTGCCCCAGGGCAGCCCTGAGGGTGATGGGCAGGGAGGCTCTGGAGGAGAGGAGGGATCCTTCATTTGGGTGGAGAGAGTGACCCTCAGTGAAGAGTGGGAGGAGCTGCTGGTGGAGGGGTTGGAAGGGCCCGAGGTGGCAGGGAGGGAGAGAGGAGATGAAAGCCCGCTGGGGGCCGAGGGGGCCAAGACGGGAGGAGGCGAGGAGACCTGGGAGGCAGAGAAGAGAAAAGCGGAAGAATCCATGGGAATAGGAAGTGAGGAAAAGCCAGGGACAGGGAGGGATGAAGCGGAGATGTCACCAGTGGTAGAGAGGAAAGGAGGAGAGAAGAAGTTGGAGCTGGAGAGCAGAGGAAGTGCAGAAAAGCTGGGAACAGAGAGGGAAGGAGGTGAGGAACCACTGGGCATAGAGAGAAAAGTTGAGGGACATTTGAGGGCAGAGAAGGAAGGAGATGAGGAAAAGCGAGGGGCAGAGGAGGAGGAGGTAGAAGAACCATTGGGAGTAGAGAAGAAAGGAGGTGAGGAAGAGCCAGAGGCAACCAAAGAACCACTGGAGGCAGAGAGAAAGGGAGGGGAGGAGACACTGGAGGCAGAGAAAAGGGGAGGTGAGGAATCATTGGAGACAGAGAAGACCCAAGGGACGGAGGGAGATCTGAATCTAGAACAAGGGTCTAGGGAAGGAAGTGAATCCCAGGCAGAGGAGATGAATGAGGCAGGGCCTCCCCTTGAGGCTAACACGGAGACAAGGCCAGAGAAGGAAGGACCCCAGCCCCAGGAGAAGCCAGTAGGAGCCCTGGAGGAGGAAGGAGTGAAGCCCCAAACCGCTGCTGAGGGCCAAGGCCCCTTGGGGGATGCCACACCTCTTCTGGCAGAGACCCCAGCCCCAGAGCAGCCCGCCGAATGCCAGCCACTGCTTCAGGGGGAGGGGCCCAGCGCCAACCCCAGTGCCCACCCTGTGCCCACCTACGCGCCTGCCCGGCAGCCTGAGCCATCTGCCCCCACCGAGGGTGAAGAGGCAAGTGGCCCTAAGCAAAAGACGTGCCAGTGTTGTGCGGTCATGTGAACCCATGCCCCTCCACCCCATGTCCAGCTCCTCTCACAGCTACCTCGGCCTCTTGGCACCCAGAAGAGGGTCCCAGGCACAGACAGGGACCACAGGACTGGCCATGGCACCTGGGAGCCAGCTAGCCTGCACGTCCACCTAAACCTGGGCTTCCAGACCCCTTGCCCACTGCCTGTAACCCTGGCCTCCTTCTGCGATGAAGCCTTTATACTTGAAAATAAAATGTGAAAGCACTCAAGACGGCTTGAATGTGTGTGTAGTCAGCACAGAATCACAGCGTCATCTCCTGGTGGGAAATTTGAGGCTTAACCCTGCTACAGTCAAAGATTATGAATCAGTGAGAGTATAGATTGAGCTGCTGTAACAAAAAGACCTCAAAGCTACAGTAGCTATAAAAATATAAAAGTTTATTTTTCTTAGTGGTTCTATCCATGCAGTCATTCAGGGATTCAGGTTCCTTTTCATTTCTTGCTCCACCTTCCCCTTGGGTATGACCAAAGCTGGATCATAGGCATGTGTTATGTTCCAGCTCATAGGCAAGGAAAGGATGTGGGGGAGCCCCCACCCAGACCCCGTGTTGGCATATGTCACTTCTGACCACATTCTGTTGTCAAGAACTCAGTCCATGCTGCACCTGGATGCAAGGGAGCTGAGATGGTGCCCAAATGCAGTGTTTTTTCTTTTCTTTTTTTTTTTTTTTTGCTTTTTATTAGTTTGTTTATTTTTGAGATAAGGTCTCATTCTGTTACCCAGCCTGGAGTGCAGTGGTGCAATCAGAGGTCCCTGCAGCTTCGAACTCCTGGGCTCAACCGATCCTCCCACCTCAGCCTCCCAAGTGGCTCGGACTACAGGTGTGTGCCATCATGCCCAGCTAATTGTTTTTGTTTTTGATGTTTTATTTTTGTAGTGAGGGGTCTTGCTATATTGCCCAGGCTGGTCTCAAACTCCTAGCTCTAAGTGATCCTTCCACCTTGGCCTGCCAAAGTGCTGGGATTACAGGCGTGAGCCACTGTGCTGGGGTCCAAATTCAGTTCTGTTACAGCGGAACAGATTTTGGCAGGCAGCTGCCACTCTCAATTTCATGTATTTTCCTTTGCTCCACCTTCCATCCGTGTCTTCCCCATGGGGGCCAAGCCCTTCTCTATAGGGGTCCTTCAATCCCAGCTCTGCCTGGCTGGGTGTCCTCAGGTAAGTGACTCAGCCTCTCTGAGTCCTCAGTGTCTTCATCCATCAAGAGGGCTAATCCAGGACTGGGGTGCAACCTGCATGAGCATCCCTCTAGCCTGGCTGGCAGCCCCCAGCCAGACGTGTGGTTCAGGCCAGAACCTGTGGCCTGGGGGGCCCCAGAAGGCCCAGCTCCTCAGGTGTGGGCAGGAAGTGCTTCTCATACCCAGAGTCAAGCGGGGCGGTGGCCTGGGCGGGCTGGGAGGACTCCATAACCGGCGGGGGCTCCATCTCCTCCACTTCCAGGATGGGCAAGTCCCCAAGGGGCTGGGCCTCAGGTACTTGCTGGGAAGAGATGAGCCTGTAATCCTGCCCCAGCCTCCCCGACCCACACCTCACCCCCTCCCCACTGCCCCAGGACTCCCCAGTCCCCCAGAGGGCTCCGACTAGCCGGCCCTTTGACTCACCTCCATGTGGGGCTGGCCTGAACTGCTGTTGGCAGGATCAGGAACTTTCTCCCAGACCCAGCGGGGCAGCACTTTGTGCCTTAGGTGGTAGCACCTGGCAAGACAGGAGTAGTCAGGGCAGCAGATCCAGATGGCCAGATGCCCCAGCCCAGGGTGCAGGGTTCATGAATGTGACTGCGCCCTGAGGCCTCCCTTCAAGCCCCCTGGAAGCTCAGCAAAATGCCCAGCTGCCTTCCCCACGTGGGTAGAGATGCATGTATCCGACAGCCTCACCTTCCAGAGGTGGCCAGGCTCAGGCCACACCCCAACAGGAACAAGCCCCACAAGAATAGGATGCCCGGCAGAACTTTCCACCTCAGGGTGTTATCTGGTAGGGTAGGGAAGAGATCATTCTTAATTTTTTATTTTATTTTATTTTTTATTTTTATTTTTGAGACAGAGTCTTGCCCTGTCACCCAGGCTGGAGTGCAGTGGTGCGACCTCAGCTCACTGCAACCTCCGCCTCCTGGGTTCAAGCAATTCTCTCTCAGCCTCCCAAGTAGCTGGGATTACAGCCGCACGCCACCACGCCCAGCTAATTTTTGTATTTTTAGTAGAGATGGGGTTTCACCACATTGGCCAGGCTGGTCTCGAACTCCTGACCTCAACTGATCCACCCGCCTCGGCCTCCCAAAGTGCTGAGATTACAGGCGTGAGCCACTGTGCCTGGCAATTCTTAATTTTTTAAAGACAGGGTCTTGCTTTGTTGCCCAGGCTGGAGCGCAGTGGTGTAATCCGTGTACTGCAGCCTCCAACTCCTGGGCTCAAGCGATCCTCGAGCCTCAGCTTCTCCAGGAGCTGGGACCGCAGGCGCATGCTACCACATCCAGCTAATTGTTTTATTTTTTGTAGAGAAGGGGGTCTCACTATGTTGCCCAGGCTGGTCTCGAGCTCCTGGGCTCAAGTGATCCACCTGCCTCAGCCTCCCAGAGTGTTAGGATTACAGGGGTGAGCCACTGCACCTAGCTTCCAAGTAATGACTCCAGATGCTACCTCTCCCCACTGTGGAGTACATCCCCTCCCTGTGGCAATCCCATCCCAACCCCCCTACCTGGTAGATGAAGCCGGAGGATGGGACCAGGAGGGCCCTGTCCAGCGATGGTAGATGCTGTCACCCACAGCTCACAGGGACCCCAAGGAAGGTCAGGCAGGGTGACACTCTGTGTGTTGCCACTCACTGGAGAACACAACCAAAGAAGTTGGGGAGGTGGTCAAGCCTACCACAGGGCCTTTGCATGTGCTCTTCCTGCTGTCTGCAACACTCTCTCCCAGGTATCCACATGGCTCCCTCCTCATCTCTTTTAGGTCTTTGCTCAAAGGTCACCTCTTCCGTGAGGCTTTCCTTGACCCCGCTCTATTTGAAATTGCACCCCCTTCACCACCCACCTTCCTTGTTTGATTCTCTTTTTTTTTTTTTTTTTTTGACATGAAGTCTCGCTCTGTAACACTCTGTTGCCCAGGATGGAGTGCAGTCATGTGATCTCAGCTCACTGCAACCTCTGCCTCCTGGGTTCAAGCAATTCTGCTGTCTTAGCCTCCTGAGTAGCTGGGACTACAGGTGCCCGCCACCACATCTGGCTAATTTTTATATTTTTAGTAGAGACTGGGTTTCACCATATTGGTCAGACTGGTCTCAAACTCCTGACCTCAGGTGATCTGCCCACCTCGGCCTCCAAAAGTGCTGGGATTATAGGTGTGAGCCACCTTGCCCAGCCCCTTGCTTCATTCTCTACTCAGCACTTATCACCATCTCATACACTGCTTAGATATTATTTAGTTTGTCTTTGCATGATCTTGGCTCACTGCAACCTCCACCTCCCGGATTCAAGCAATTCTAGTGCCTCAGCCACCTTCTGAGTAGCTGGACTACAGGCTGTGCCACCATGCCTGGCTAATTTTTGTATTTTTAGTAGAGATGAGGTTTCACCATGTTGGCCAGGCTGGTCTCGAACTCCTGACCTCAAGTGATCTGCCTGCCTTGGCCTCCCAAAGTGCTGGGATTACAGGCGTGACCCACCATGCCGGGCCTTCTATATATATTTTTAAAATTATATATAGGCCGGGCGCAGTGGCTCACACCTATAATCCCCGCACTTTGGGAGGCTGAGGTGGGTGGATCACGAGGTCAGGAGTTCGAGATCAGTCTGACCAACATGGTGAAACTGTCTCTACTAAAAATACAAAAATTAGCCGGGCATGGTGGCATGCGCCTGTAATCCCAGCTACTCAGGAGGCTGAGGCAGGAGAATTGCTTGAACCTGGGAGGCGGAGGTTGCAGTGAGCTGAGATCGTGCCATTGCACTCCAGCCTGGTGACAAAGCGAGACTCTGTCTCAAAAAAAAAAAAAAAAAATGGAACCATACCACGGAATTTTAACATCCTTTTATCTTTTTCACTAATAAAATATGACAAGCATCTTTCAATGTCAATAAATATAGATTGGCATCCTCATTTTTAATGGCCGAATGAAAGCTCGTTACATTGATAGCCAAGAGGGAATTGAGGACACCATGTATGGTCCCTGGGCCAAAGAGGCCCACGTGGGGACAAGGGGTGGGGCTGACTGATGGGTGGGTCTTGTGGGGGCTGGGAGGACAGGTCAGCAGGCAGGGAAGCTCACCATTCATGCAGACGGAGGGGCTGGTTCCACTCTGTGCACACAAGGTGTAGTGGGTGAGGTGGCCTCGAAGCTGGTGCCTTGGGACCTCTCCCCACGCTATGGCGGGGGTCCCTGGAGGGGCATCTTGGAGTCGCCAAAGCGTTGGCCCCACTAGGGGTGCTGGGGAGGAAGGCAGTAGGTCAAGGTCGGCCTGGGTTACAGAAGCCCCCCCATCCTCCAGCCCCACTCTTACCTAATTCCTCCCTGAACCCCCAGACGGAGGATGCAGAGGCCAAGCCTGAAGCAGAGACTGCGGTCACAGTGATTCGATAGGGGACCCCGACAGTGAAATTCCCTGAGTGACAAAGAAATAAAGACCAGTTAGAGTTGGCTCTCCTTCCCATGCTCATTTCCTAGGTGTCTTCACTGGGGTCCCCAGAAGGACACCCTGAGATAAGGATCTGACTGTAAGTCATTTATCTAGGAGGTAATCCCAGAAAACCCCAATAGGGCAGTAGGGGAGTGAAATGGGGAAGGAACAGGTTCTCACTGTGGACAACTGAGACGCAGTCCCATGGGGGACCTCTAGGGGCCAGCAGAGAGCAGGCATCGCAGAGTCAGCCCAGCTCAGGGGGACGGAGCTGGGGTATTTATCCACCAAGCCTCATTAGTCATGCTGAGGGCTGTTCCTGAGGGCTCTTCTCAATATTTCCATCTTGCTTCTCAGGCAGGCAAAATGCCTCAGTGACCAGAAAAAGCCCTTAGGCCAGGAAACAAGTGTGGGCAGCTGGGAGAGAGGCCTAAAACCTCTGAGGTGGTCAAACAGATATGAGCAGGCAACTGACAGCACCTACCATGGTAGCTGAGGGTGCTGCACTCTCTCCCCTAAACCCTATCACATCCACATAGCCTTCCCCAACTGGGAATTTTCCATAATTGGGCCTTCGCTTCTTTGGTTCATATATCCTTGTGGGTCTTGGGACTGTGTCCTAAATTTCTTACCCAACATCTTCACAGTTCTTCCAAGTTCATTAATTAATTAATTTATTTATTTATTTATTTATTTATAAAGATTTCTTGCCAGGTACCGTGGCTCATGCCTGTCATCCCAGCACTTTGGGAGGCCAAGGCAGGTGGATTGCCTGAGCTCAGGAGTTCAAGAACAGCCTGGGCAACATGGAGAAACCCCACCTCTACAAAAAATACAAAAACTGGCTGGGCTTGGTGGCGCATGCCTGTAATACCAGCTCCTCAGGGCGCTGAGGTGGGAGGATTGCTTGAGCCATGGAGGTCGACGCTGCAGTGAGCTGAGATCACGCCACTGCACTCCAGCCTGGCTGACAGAGTGAGACTCATCTCTTAAAAAAAAAAAAATGCCGGGTGCGGTGGCTCATGCCTGAAATCCCAGCACTTTGGGAGGCTGAGGAGGGCAGATCACGAGGTCAAGAGATCGAGACCATCCTGGCTAATATGGTGAAACTCCGTTCCTACTAAAAATACAAAAAAAAAAAAAAATTAGCCGGGCGTGGTGGCGGGCGCCTGTACTCCCAGTTGCTCGGGAGGCTGAGGCAGGAGAATGGCGTGAACCCAGGAGGTGGAGCTTGCAGTGAGCCGATATCGCACCACTGCACTCCAGCCTGGGCGACAGAGCAAGACTCCAAAAAAAAAAAAAAAAAAAGGGCCAGGCATGGTGGCTCACCCCTGTCATCCCATCATTTTGGGAGGCCAATGCGGGTGGATCTCTTGAGGTCAGGAGTTTGACACCAGCCTAGCCAACATGGTGAAACCCCGTCTCTACTAAAAATAAAAAAATTAGCTGGGCATGGCGGTGGGGGCCTGTGATCCCAGTCACTCCCCAGAGGCTGAGGCACGAGAATCGCTTGAACCCGGGAGGTGAAGGCTGCAGTGAGCTGAGATCACACCATTGCACTCCAGCCTGGGTGACAGAGCCAGCCTCCATCTCAAAAAAAAAAAAAAGAAAAGTTAGGCTGGGCATAGTGGCTCATGCCTGTAATCCCAGCACTTTGGGAGGCCAAGGCAGGCAGATCACTTGAGGTCAGGAGTTGGAGACCAGCCAAACCAACATGGTGAAACCCCGTCTCTACTTAAAAAAAAAAAAAAAAAATTAACCGATTGTGGTGGTACGCTCCCATAGTCCCAGCTACTCGGGAAGCTGAGTCACGAGAATCACTTGAACCCAGGAGATGGAAGTTGCAGTGAGCTGAGATGGCACCATTGCACTCTAGCCTGGGCCACAGAGTGGGATCTTGCCTCCAAAAAGCAAAAAAAAAAGTCTTGTGTGAATTCACGCTATTTATTTATTTATTTATTTATTTTTTGAGACTGAGTCTCACTCTGTCACCCAGGCTAGAGTGCAGTGGCGCAATCTCGGCTCACTGCAACCTCCACCTCCCAGGTTCAAGCGATTCTCCTGCCTCAGCCTCCCGAGTAGCTGGGACTACAGGCATGTGCCACCACGCCCCACTAATTTTTGTATTTTTAGTAGAGACGGGGTTTCACTATGTTGGCCAGGCTGGTGTCCAACTCCTGACCTCAGGTGATCCGCCCCTTTCGGCCTCCCAAAGTGCTGAGATTACAGGCATGAGCCACCAAGCCCGGCCATCACGCTACTTTAATCATAGCACTCCCTCTTACAAGTCCACCCATCCGTCTGCTCTAACAGCGGGGATGGAGACCCAGGTGTCCCAGGGCCTCACCTGGTAACAGAGCACTGAGGTTCCCAGGGGGAAGCCGGACCCAGTTGAGTTTCTCCAGGGGGTCCCCATCTCGAGCCCAGTCCACTACATGCTCCAGTGGTTCCCCAGGCCCCGGTTGCCAGGTCACCAGTAGCTCCGTGCTCCCAGCGATGCTGCTGACTGCCACGCTACGGGGGGCAGAGGCTGAATCTGGAGGGTGGAGAGAAGTCTCAGCTGCCCACTCAGGAAGTCACTTCCCACCCCTCCAGGGCACCGAGCTGAGGAAGGTCACAGTCTCTTACCCAAGCAGACCAAAGAGAGGTTGGTGAGAGGCTCCCAGCTTGTGGCGTTGACAGCGGACACCCTGGCCCACTCCGCCCCACTGGGAATTAGGGAGCAGCAGCAGGTAATTCCTTCTGGACTCAGCTCACGACCTCCAACCCAGAACCAGACTTTGTAGCTCACCTGCACACAGGGCCCTGGGGCCTGAGAGATGAAGGGAAAAAGGGGTTAATGTCTCCCATTAATCACGCACATATATGTGTCTCCCTGAGGTCACCTGATAAACCACCGGTCAGTGAAGCATTTTTTGTTTGTTTGTTTGTTTGTTTTTTGAGACGGAGTCTTCATTCTGTTACCCAGACTGGAGTGAAGTGGCGTGATCTCGGCTCACTGCAACCTTCACCTCCCGGGTTCAAGCGATGTTCCTGCCTCAGCCTCCTGAGTAGCTGGGATTACAGGCGCCTGCCATCACGCCCGGCTAATTTTTGTATTTTTAGTAGAGACGGGGTTTCACCATGTTGGCCAGGCTGGTCTCAAACTCCTGACCTCAAGTGATCTGCCTGCCTCAGCCTCCCAAAGTGCTAGGATTACAGGCGTGAGTCAGCAAACCTGGCCAGGTGCAAAATTTAAAAGGGAGTGGGGGATACCAAAAACCCAATAAGTGAGATAAATAATATTTTAATGCAGTATTGTAATAAATGAAAATTAATGCCTAAAAACCCATGACAAACAAAATATCAACTTTTTTTTTTTTTTTGAGACAGAGTCTCGCTCTGTCGCCCAGGCTGGAGTGCAGTGGCGCCATCTCGGCTCACTGCAAGCTCTGCCTCCCGGGTTCACGCCATTCGCCTGCCTCAGCCTCCCCAGTACCTGGGACTACAGGCGCCTGCCACCACGTCCGGCTAATTTTTTGTATTTTTAGTAGAGACGGGGTTTCACATGTTAGCCAGGATGGTCTTGATCTCCTGACCTTGTCTCTTAAAAAAAAAATCCGCCCGTCTCGGCCTCCCAAAGTGCTGGGATTACAGGCGTGAGCCACCACGCCCAGCCATCTTTTTTTTTTTTTTCTTTTTGACATAAGTTCTCACTATTGTACAGGCTGAAGTGCGGTGGTGCAATCATAGCTCACTGCAGCCTCAACATCCTAGGCTGAAGTGATCCTCCCACCTCAGCCTCCCCAGTAGCTGGGACTATAGACGCATGCCACCACACCCCGCTAATTTTTTTTTTTTTTTTTGGAGACAGAGTCTCATTCTGTCACCCAGGCTGGAGTGCAGTGGCGCAATCTGAGCTCACTGCAACCTCCCCGGGTTCAGGAGATTCTCCTGCCTCAGCCTCCTAAGTAGCTGGGATTACAGGTGCCTGCCACCACGCCCGGCTAATTTGTGTATTTTTAGTAGAGATGGGGGTTTCACCATCTTGGCCAGGCTGGTCTTGAACTCCTGACCTTATGATCCACCCGCCTCGGCCTCCCAAAGTGTTGGGATTACAGGCTGAGCCACTGTGCCCGGCCCCTGGTAATGTTTTATTCTCTGTATAGATGGGTAGCTTGCTATGTTGCCCAGGCTGGTCTCGAACTCCTGGCCTCAAGTGGTCCTCCTGCCTCAGACTCTCAAAGTGCTGGGATTACAGGTATGAGCCACCCACTCGGTCCAAAATATCAAGATTTTAAAGTAAAAACAGGATTTGATCCTGCACCTGTGTGACCCTACCCTGCTCACCTCCCTAACCCTGGTCTTGGTTCCAATCAAACTGTATTTCTGAAAACAGGCAGTTGGTCCTTGAACTCTAGTTTGCTGATTTAATTTTTTAAAATATCGGCCAGGCACGGTGGCTCACACCTGTAATCCCAGCACTTTGGGAGGCCGAGTGGGCAGATCACCTGATTTCAGGAGTTCGAGACCAGCCTGGCCAACATGGTGAAACCTCGTCTCTACTAAAAATACAAAAATTAGCCGGGTGTGGTGGCGGGCGCCTATAATCACAGCTACTCAGGAGGCTGAGGCAGGAGAATCGCTTGAACCCAGGAGGCGGAGGTTGCGGTGAGCCAAGATCGCCCCATTGCACTCCAGCCTGGGCAACAAGAGTGACACTCCATCTCAAATACATAAATAAATAAAAGATACTGGATTGTGTGGTCTAAGAAGGTGGAAAACCACACCTGTCATCGTGTTCCTTTGCTTATTTACTGAGAGCAAGGGTCAAGCAATGCCACCTGGCACATAGCAGGTGCTTCACAGATTTGAATCAGTGAGGATAATTGCACCTTGTCAGCCATTTTATAATACCTTTTTTTTTTTTTTTTTTGTGAGACAGAGTCTTGCTCTTGTTGCCCAGACTGGAGTGCAGTGGCTCGAGCTCAGCTCACTGCAACCTCCACCTCCCAGGTTCAAGCGATTCTCCTGTCTCAGCCTCCTAAGTAGCTGGGATTACAGGTGCCTGCCACCAGGCCCAGCTAATTTTTGTATTTTTAGTAGAGATGGGGTTTCACCATGTTGGCCAGGCTGGTCTCGAACTCCTGACCTCAAGTGATCTGCCCACCTGAGCCTCTCAAAGTGCTGGGATTACAGGCATGAGCCACCATGCCCAGCCTATTAATACCCTTTTGATACTAGCATTTAAACTCTTAGCACAGGCCAGGCGCGGTGGCTCCCGCCTGTAATTCCAGCACTTTGGGAGGCCGAGGTGGCTGGATCATGAGGTCAGGAGTTCAAGGCCCCCCTGGCCAAGATGGTGAAACCCCCATCTCTACTAAAAATACAAAAATTAGCCGGGCGTGGTGGGGGGGCACCTGTAATCCCAGCTACTTGGGAGGCTGAGGCAGAGAATGGCTTGAACCTGGGAGGTGGAGGTTGCAGTGAGCTGAGATGAGATGACGCTGCTGCACTCCAGCCTGGGCAACAGAGCGAGACTCCATCTCAAAATAAATAAATGAATAAATAAACTCTTAGCACACTGTGTTATATTTTCTGGAGCTGAGCTCCAGTCTCGCTGTCAGGTTTTTGCATCTGCTGCCCCTGCCCGGAATATCTGCACCCATCCTTATGGCTCAGACCTCTCGGAAGCAGCTGACATTGGTGGAGACTTGCTCCATGCCCCACCCTGTGCTGACCACTTTAGCAACCCATCCTTGAATCTTCGAAGCAACCTCAAGGGGGCAGCATGGTAAACTCTGTCTTGTTTATGTCATTGGGTTTTGTTTGTTTTTTGTTTTGGAGACGGAGTTTCACTCTTGTTGCCCAGGCTGGAGTGCAGTGGTGTGATCTCGGCTCACTGCAACCTTCACCTCCTGGGTTCAAGTGATTCTTCTGCCTCAGCCTCCAGAGTAGCTGGGATTACAGGCGCCCACGACCACTCCCCGTGAAGTTTTGTATTTTTAGTAGAGATGGGGTTTCACCATGTTGGCCAGGCTGGTCTCCAACTGCTGACCTCAAGTGATCCACCCTCCTCGGCCTCCCACAGCAGTGTTGGGATTACAAGCGTGAGCCACTGCATCCGGCCTTATGTCATTGTTATTTAGGGGTTTCCTAACACGTGCAGAGAAATGTAACTGGTGCCTGAAGCTCACCTTCCATAGAAGCAAAGGTTCCTCTCCTCCAGGCGTCCCACAGAGGTTCCCTGATACCCACACATCTTTTGGAGCTGGCAAGGATGAGGAAACGGGGAACAAATGAGTGGGACATGATTGGACAGACTTCTGGGGGTGGGAGGGGCGTGGATTGAGGGCAAGCCCAGATATCCTCACCAGAAGGCGGTGTCTGGAAGGACAAAATGGGGCTCCACTCGCCCCACAAATCCTCTTCTTTCTCCATCCGGCAGCGGCCATACACTTTGTAGCCAGTGGCTAGCTCCAAATCTTGGATCTCAACAGGGGTCAGGGGTATGGTCTTCAGCTCCGGTTCCAGCTGGGGGAGAGACAGGCGAGCGTGATGGGCCCAGGGCCTGAGTCAAGGGTATTTGAACTTATCTTTTTTTTTTTCCTTTGTTTTTCGTTTTGAGACAGTCTCGTTGTGGCCCAGGCTAGAGTGCAGTGGTGTGATCTTGGCTCACTGCAACCTCTCCCTCCTGGGTTCAAGCAATTCTCCTGCCTCAGCCTCCTGAGTAGCTGGGATTACAGGCACCCACCACCACACCTGGTTAATTTTTTTTTTTTTTTTTTTGAGGCAGAGTCTTGCTCTGTCGCCAGGCTGGAGTGCAGTGGCACGATCTCAGCTCACTTCAACCTCTGCCTCCTGGGTTCAAGCGATTCCCCTGCCTCAGCCTCCCAAGTAGCTGGGATTACAGGCACGCGCCACCATGCCCAGCTAATTTTTTGTATTTTAGTAGAGACAGAGTTTCACCATGTTGGCCAAGATGGTCTCGATCTCCTGACCTCGTGATCCGCCCGCCTCGGCCTCCCACAGTGCTGGGATTACAGGTGTGAGCCACCAAGCCCAGCCAATTTTTGTATTTTTAGTAGAGACGGGGTTTCACCATCTTGGCCAGGCTGGTCTTGAACTCCTGACCTTAGGTGATCTGCCCACCTCGGCCTCCCAAAGTGCTGGGATTAGAGCTACTGCGCCTAGCTGGTACTTGAACTTATCTATCAGCAGAGTGAGCAACCATTTGTATTTGCCCAGGACCAAGGGGGTTTCCAGAACATGGGCCTGTCAAAAAAATTGCCACAGTCCCGAGCAGACAGAGAAAAGGTGGTCACTCTATGTGCTAGGTATAGCAGGAAGTGGTAACTTCTATTATTATCTCGTTTTACAGACGAGGGAACTGAGGCCCAGAGAGGGAAAGTGACTAGCCCAAGGTCACAGAGCTGGTGTGCTGGAGCTGAGCACTGAGGTAGTCAGATTCCAAAGTCTGCATCTCAGCCGGGTGAGGTGGCTCACGCCTGTAATCCCAACACTTTAGGAGGTGGAGGTGGGTGGATCACCTGAGGTCAGGAGTTCGAGACCAGCCTGGCCAAATAGCGAAACCCCATCTCTATTAAAAAAAATACAAAAACTTAGCTGGGCATGGTGGCACATGCCTGTAATCCCACCTACTTGAGGGGCTGAGGTGGGGGAATCACTTGAACCTGAGAGGTGGAGGTTGCAGTGAGTTGAGATGGCACCACTGCACTCCAGCCTGGGCAACACAGTGAGACTCCGTCTCAAAAAAAAAAGGGGGCCGGGTGCAGTGGCTCATGCCTGTAATCCCAGCACTTTGGGAGGCCCAGGTGGGTGGATCACCTGAGGTCAGGAGTTCAAGACCAGCCTGACCAACATGGAGAAACCCCGTCTCTACTGAAAATACAAAATGAGCCGGGCATGATGGCACATGCCTGTAATCCCAGCTACTCGGGAGGCTGAGGCAGGAGAATCGCTTGAACCTAGATGGTGGAGGTTACAGTGAGCCGAGATCATGCCATTGCACTCCAGCCTGGGCAATTAAGAGCAAAACGCCATCTCAAAAAAAAAAAAAAAAATTCTGCATCTCAGTGTTGCTCTGAATTGCATGAATAATCACAATTCTGAACTCTTCTTCTTCTTTTTTTTTTTGAGACGGAGTCTTGCTCTGTTGCCAGGCTGGAGTGTGGAGTGCAGTGGCACGATCTCAGCTCACTGCAACCTCCACCTCCTGGGTTCAAGTGATTCTCTCCTGCCTTAGCCTCTCAATTAGCTGGGACTACAGGCACCCACCAGCACGCCCAGCTACTTTTTTGTATTTTTAGTAGAGATGGGGTTTCACCATGTTGGCCAGGCTGGTCCCGAACTCCTGACCTCAGGTGATCCACTCTCCTTGGCCTCCCACAGTGCTGGGATTACAGGTGTGAGCCACCGCACCTGGTCAGATTATTTTTTAACTTCTTAGAGACGAGTCTTGCTATCCTGCCCAGGCTGGTCTCAAACTCTTGACCTCAAACAATCTTCCTGCCTCAGCCTCCCAAGGTGCTGGGATTTTAGAAATGAGCCACTGTGACCGGGTGATAGATTATTTTGGCAGGAGAAAAAAAATTTTTTTTTTTTGAGACTGAGTCTCACTCTGTAGCTCAGGCTGGAGCACAGTGGCCCAATCTCAGCTCACTGCAACCTCTGCCTCTCGGGTTCCAGTGATTCCCCTGCTTCAGCTTTCAGTAGCTGGGATTACAGGCGCCCACCACCATGCCTAGGTAATTTTTGTATTTTTAGTGGAGATGGGATTTCACCATGTTGGCCAGGCTGGTCTCGAACTCTTGACCTCAAGTGATCCATCCCCCTCAGCCTCCCAAAGTGCTGGGATTACAGGCGTGAACCACCGTGCCCAGCCATGGGAGGAGAATTTGTAGCTGAACAAGAGGCACATGCAGGCATTTTGAGTGGGAGGCATACAGGCTCAGGGGCAGGCACAGAATGAGTCCTGGGCTGGGTCTCAGATTAGGAGATGTTGCCTCAGTCCCCGCCCGGAATAGGGTGGGGAGAAAAGGACCCCAGCACTCACCAGGGTCCAGGCCGCCTCCTGACATCTTCGGTAGTGGAACTGGCAGATCAGAACTTTATGAGATGGCCATGTAGGTGGGGCCCAATGGACAGTGGCCTCCAGGGGGTCATCCTCGGAAAAGTCCACGTCAGGGCCCAGCCGGGGGGCGTTTGGCTTCACTGGGGAAGGGGAAACTAGGGTGTAGTGAGCCACGCCCTCCAAGAGCACCCACCCCGCATAGAGCGCCCACCCTCCTGCCACGTTACTTTGGGTTTCTAGGTTCACGAAGACGGGGGGCCAGAGAGGCTGGCCTGCCTTAGTGCCCCAGACAAGGAGTTTGTCAGACATGGTGAGCTGTTCCCGAGGAATGGCCACCCAGCTCCGTCCGGCTGCCACTGCCACAGTCTGGGTTTTGTTGGAACGGCTGTGAGGAGAGAGGCGGGGATGAGATGCACACTCGGCTAGAGCCAGGGCCACTGATAACCACCCTTGTGCCAACAGAGTGGCTGCAGCCTGCTCTGCTTGGGTTCAAATCCCACCTCTGCTGCTTCAGAGCTGTGTGACCTTGAGTAAGTGACTTAACTTCTCTGTGCATCAGTTTCCTCATCTACAAAATGAGGGTAATAAAAGTAACTGCTCTTTTTCTTTTTTTTTTTTAAGACAGTCACCTAGGTTGGAGTATAATGTCGTGATCTTGGCTTACTGCAACCTCTGCCTCCTGGGTTCAAGTGATCCTCCCACCTCATCCTCCCAAGTAGCTAGAATTATAGGCGTGTGCCACCACACCTGGCCAATTTTTTTGTGTTTTTAGTAGCGATGGGGTTTCACCATGTTGGCTAGGCTGGTCTCGAACTCCTGACCTCAAGTGATGCACACACCTCGGCCTCCCAAATTGCTAAGATTACAGGCATGAGCCACCATACCTGGTCATAACTGCTCTTTTCTCTCTCTCTTTTTCTTTCTTTCCTTCCCTTCCTCTCCCTCTCCCTTCTTTCCTCCCTCCCTCCCTTCCTTCCTTGCTTTCTCTCTCTCTTTTTTTTTTCTTTTGAGACAGATTTTTGTTCTTGTTGCCCAGCTTGGAGTGCAATGGTGCGATCTTGGCTCACCGCAACCTCTGCCTCCCAGGTTCAAGCGATTCTCCTGCCTCAGCCTCCCTAGTGGCTGGAATTACAGGCATGCGCCACCACTCCCGGCTAGTTTTGTACTTTTAGTAGAGACAGGGTTTCTCCATGTTGGTCAGGCTGGTCTCGAACTCCCGACCTCAGGTGATCCGCCTGTCTCGGCCTCCCAAAGTACTGGAATTACAGGCGTGAGCCACTGCGCCCGGCCCTTTCCTCTCTCTCTTTTTTTTTTTTTTTTTTTTTAGAGACACGACCTCACTCTGTAACTGGAGCAGTGCGATCATAGATCACTGCAACCTTGAACTCCTAGGCTCAAGCAATCCTCCTGCCTCAGCCTCCAGAGTAGCTGGGATAACAGGTGTGCATCACAATGTTCAGCTAATTTTTAAATTTTTTGTAGAAATGGGGTCTTGCTATGTTGCCCAGGCTGGTCTCCTCTAACTCTTGGCCTCAAGCAGTCACATACTGAGACCCCCATGTCTACAAAAAATGTTTTAAAAATTAGCCAGGGGTAGTGGCGCGCACTTGTGGTTCCAACTACTTGAGAGGCTGGGGTGGGAGGATCGATTGAGCCCAGGAGGTTGAGTTGCAGTCATGCCACTGCACTCCAGCCTGGGTGACAGGATAAGACCCTGTCTCAAAAACAGCAACAAAAGCACCATATATAGAAAGAGAGAGACAGGCCAGGTGCAGTGGCTCACGCCTGTAATCCTAGCACTTTGGGAGCCCGAGGCAGGTGGATCACGAAGTCAAGAGATCGAGACCATCCTGGCCAACACGGTGAAACCCCCGTCTCTACTAAAAATACAAAAATTAGCTGGACGTGGTGGCACGTGCCTGTAATCCCAGCTACTCGGAAGGCTGAGGCAGGAGAATCGCTTGAACCAGGGAGTTGGAGGTTGCAGTGAGCCGAGATCGCACCACTGCACTCCAGCCTGGCAACAGAGCAAGACTCCATTTCAAAAAAAAAAAAAAAGAGAGAGAGAGCGAGAGGGTCTCACTCTGTTGGCCAGACTGGTCTCGAACTCCTGGCCTCAAGCAATCCCCCGCACCATCCCCCTTGGCCTCCCAGTGTTGGGATTACAGGTGCAGGGACATCACGCCCAGCCTGAGGAGACATTTGAATAAAGGCCTGAAGGAGATGAGGACAGAACCATGCAGTAGCTAGAAGAACAGCATTCCAGGAAGAGGAAACACAGGGTGCAAAGACCTGGAGGCCAAACTGTGCCTGGTGTGTTTAACAAATAGTAAGAAGGGGCCAGGCGTGGTGGCTCACGCCTGTAATCCCAGCACTTTGGGAGGCCGAGGCAGGCGGATCACTTGAAGCCAGGAGTTGGAGACCAGCCTGGACAACATCGTGAAACCCCATCTCTACTAAAAATACAAAAATTAGCCGTGTGTCCTGGCAGACGCTTGTAGTCCCAGCTACTTGGGAGGCAGGAGAATCACTTGAACCCGAAAGATGGAGGTTGCATTGAGCTGAGATTGCTCCATTGCCCTCCAGCCTGGGCAACAGAGTGAGACTCTGTCTCAAAAAAAAAAAAAGTAAAAATAAATATATAAATAAGGAAATGAAATCAGTTTGTCCAACGGACGTGTCTTCCCAATGCAGCACTATTCACAACAGCCAATATATGGAATGTGTCCATCACCAGATGTATGGATCAAGAATATGTGGGGCCGGGCACGGTGGCTCATGCCTGTAATCCCAGCACTTTGGGAGGCCAAGGCAGGCAGAGTTCGGGTCAGGAGTTCGAGACCAGCCTGACAAACATGGCGAAACCCCGTCTCTATTAAAAATACAAAAATTAGCCAGGTGTGATGGCGCATGCCTGTCATCCCAGCTACTCAGGAGGCTAAAGCAGGAGAATCGCTTGAACCCTGGAGGCAGAGGTTGCAGTGAGCTGAGATCACGCCATTGCACTCCAGCCTGAGCGACAGAGCGAGACTTTGTCTCAAAAAAAAAAAAATGTGGTATACATACACGATGGAATACTATTCAACCTTAAAAAAGAAGAAAATACACTGTGCGTGGTGGCTCACGCCTGTAATCCCAGCACTTTGGGAGGCCGAGGTGGGTGGATTACTTGAGATCAAGAGTTTGAGATCAGCCTGGCTGACATGGTGAAACTCGGCTCTACTAAAAATACAAAAATTAGCCAGATGTGGAGATGCGCACCTATAATCTCAGCTACTCGGGAGGCTGAGGCACGAGAATCGCTTGGACCGGGGAGGCAGAGGTTGCAGTGAGCTGAGATCGCGCCACTGCACTCCAGCCTGGGTGACAGAGCCAGATTCTGTCTCAAAAAAAAAAAAAAAAAGGAAATCCTGTCATTTGTAACAATGTGGATGGAAATGGCGAACATTATGTTACGTGAAATAAGACACGGAAAGACAAACACCACATGTTTTCATTGATACGTGGAATCTAAAACATCTGAACTCCTCCTAGAGGCAGAGTAAACTGGTGACTACAGAGGCTAGGGGGAGAAGATGATGGCCAAAGAGTACAAAATCTCAGGCTGGGCATAGTAGCACCTGTAATTCCATTATTTTGGGAGGGCAAGATGGGAGGATCGCTTGAGCTCAGGAGTTTGAGACTACCCTAGGCAACAGAGCAAGACTCTGTCTCTACCAAAAAAATTATTTATTTATTTACTTTTAAAATTATTCTTACTTTTTTCCCTCCTCTTCCTCTTCTTCTTCTTCTTCTTCTTTCTTTTTTTTTTTTTTAATAGAGACGGGTCTCACTACGTTGCCCAGGCTGGTCTCCAACCCCTGGGCTCAAGCCATCCTTCTGCCTCGGCCTCCCAAAGTGCTGGGATTACAGACGTGAGCTACCACTACAAAAAATTTTTAAAAATTAGCTGGTCATGGTGACACATTCCTGTAATTCCAACTACTGGGAAGGCCGAGGAGGGAAAATGGCTGGAGCCCAGGAGTTTGAGGTTGCAGTGAGCTATGATCGCACCGCTGCACTCTAGCCTGGGTGACAGAGCAAGACCTCTTCTCAAAATAAATAAAATCAATACATAAATCAATAAAACTAAAATAAAAATAGAAAAGATGTGGCTTCTCTGACTCCCCCTCCCTGTACCAATTAAAACTAGGCCCCCCGCCAGGCTCAGTGGCTTCTGCCTGTAATCCCAGCACTTTGGGAGGCCCAGGTGGGTGGATCACCTGAGGTCGGGAGTTCGAGACCAGCCAGACCAACATGGAGAAACCCCATCTCTACTAAAAATACAAAATTAGCCATGCGTGGTGGCGTGTGCCTGTAATCCCAACTACTCTGGAGGCTGAGGCAGGAGAATTGCTGGAACCCGGGAGGCGGAGGTTGCAGTGAGCCGAGATCGCGCCATTGCACTCCAGCCTGGGCAACAAGAGCGAAACTCCATCTCAAATAAAAAAAAACTAGGCCCCCTTCTGGAGGTGAATGGTAACCGGGATAGCACCATGGGAATGTACTTAATGCCACTGAACTGGACACTTAAAAATGGTTAAGATCGTAGATTTTGGCCAGGCACAGTGACTCACGCCTGTAGTCCCAGCACTTTGGGAGGACAAAGGAGGTGGATCTCTTGAGGCCAGTAGTTCGAAAGCAGTCTGGGCAACATGGTAAAACCCTGTGTCTACTAAAAATATATATTTAAAAAATTAGCTGGGCATGGTGTTGCATGCCTGTAGTCCCAGCTACTTGGGAGGCTGAGGTGGGAGGATCACCTGAGCCTGAGAAGTCGCTGCAGTGAACTGACTGCCCCACTGCACTCCAGCCTGGGCAACAGGAGTAAGACCCTGTTCCCAAAACAAATTTTTAAAAATATCGTTAAGTTTTATGTTGTATGAATTTTTTTTTTTTTTGAGACGGAGTCTCGCTCTGTTGCCCAGGCTGGAGTGCAGTGGCGCGATCTCGGCTCATTGCAAGCTCTGCCTCCTGGGTTCACGCCACTCTCCTGCCTCAGCCTCCTGAGTAGCTGGGACTACAGGCGCCAGCCACCACGCCCAGCTAATTTTTTTGTATTTTTAGTAGAGACGGGGTTTCACCGTGTTAGCCAGGATGGTCTCGATCTCCTGACCTCATGATCCACCGCCTCGGCCTCCCAAAGTGCTAGGATTACAGGCTTGAGCCACCGCGCCCGGCCTTTTTTTTTTTTTAGACAGAGTCTTGCTCTGTCACCCAGGCTGGAGTACAGTGGCGCGATCTTGGCTCACTCCAACCTCTGCCTCCCGAGTTCCAGCGATTCTCCTGCCTCAGACTCCCAAATAGCTGGGGCTACAGGCATGTGCCACCACGCCTGGCTAATTTTTGTATTTTTAGTAGAGACGGAGTTTCACCATGTTGGCCAGGCTGGTCTGCAACTCCTGACCTCAGGTGATCTGCCTGTCTCGGCCTCCCAAAGTGCTGGGATTACAGGCGTGAGCCACCGTGTAGGGCCTGTTGTGTGTATTTTAACCATTAATATTAAAAAGAAAAAAAAATCCAGGACCTCTGTCTCCCATTCTTATCTTTCATTGACTCTTTTCCTCTTCCCTCACTTAGCCCAATTTGAAATTATGAGTTTCCAGGTATGATTCATCATGAAGAAACACATGGAGTCCTTGGACTGTGGGCAGGGCTTTCTGTCTACCTCTTTCACTGCAGCATCCCCAGCACCACACTGAATAATCTTTTAACATGCTCAGAGAGGTTAAGTGACTTGCCTAATGTCACACAGCAATAAAAACCAGGTTCACATTATGAAGCAACTTTCTCCTTGCCAAGCACCTAACTCTTTGAATCCTCAGACTTAACCTTCGGAGGCAGGTTCTGTTATTATTTCCCTTTTTTATTTTTTATTTTTAGTGTTTTTGAGATGGAGTCTCGCTCTGTCGGCCAGGCTGGAGTGCAGTGGTGCGATCTCAGCTCACTGCAACCTCCACTTCCTGGGTTCAAGCAATTCTCCTGCCTCAGCCTCCTGAGTAACTGGGATTACAGGCATGCACCACCACATCGGCTAATCTTTGTATTTTTAGTGGAGACAGGGTTTCACCATGTTGGTCAGGCTGGTCTCGAACTCCTGACCTCGTGATCTGCCCGCCTCGGCCTCCCAAAGTGCTGAGATTATAGGCGTGAGCCACCACGCCAGCTTTTATTTTTTAAAATTTTTTTGAGACAGAGTCTCACTCTGTCACCCAGGCTGGAGTGCAATGGCACGATCTTAGCTCACCGCAACCTCTGCCTCCTGGGTTCAAGTGATCCTCCCACCTCAGCCTCCCGAGTAGCTGGAATTACTACAGCTGGTCTTGAACTCCTGACCTCAAGTAATCTGCCCACCTCGGCCTCTCAAAGTGCTGGGATTATAGGTGTGAACCACTGCGCCTGGCCTATTTCCCTTTATTTATATTATATTTTATATTTTTAAGAGACGGGCTCTCGGCCAGGCACGGTGGCTCACACCTGTAATCCCAGAACTTTGGGAGGCTGAGGCGGGTGGATCACCTGAGGTCAGGAGTTCAAGACCAGCCTGGCCAACATGGTGAAACCTCCCCCCTCTACTAAAAATACAAAAATTAGCCAGGCATGGTGGCACATGCCTGTAATCCCAGCTACTCTGGAGGCTGAGGCAGGAGAATCGCTTGAACCCAGGAGGTGGAGGTTGCAGTGAGCCGAGACCACACCATTGCATTCCAGCCTGGGCAACAAGAGTGAAACTCCGTTTCAAAAAAAAAAAAAAAAAAAAGTGACGGGCTCTCTAAAACTCTGAACTCCTCCTGGGCTCAAGCGATCCTCCCGCCTCGGCCTCCCAAAATGCTGGGATGACAGGTGCAAACCACCTCTCCTGGCCCTATGATTGCTATTTAATAGAGAAATGAAAAGGAGACTCAAAGAGGGAAAGTGACTTGCCCAGGGTGACACAGCAAAGAAACGAGGGAAGCTAGAATTGAAGGAGTGGAGGAGTATTGGGGGAGGGGGGCAGACTCCTGGGACTTTCTTTTCTTTTCTTTTCTTTTTTTTTTTTTTTTTTTTTGAGACAGAGTCTCCCTCTGTCCCCCAGGCTGGAGTGCAGTGGCGAGATCTGGGCTTACTGCAACCTCCGCCTCCCGGGTTCAAGCGATTCTCCTGTCTCAGCCTCCTGAGTATCAGGGACTACAGGCGCGCGCCACCACCCCTGGGTAATTTTTTTTTTTTTTTTTTTTTTGTATTTTTAGTATAGACAGGGTTTCACCATGTTGGCCAGGCTTGACTCCTGGAACCTTTCAACCAAAGCAGCCTGGGGCCTGAGCGGCCACCTCCAAAGCCTGTTTCCCCACGTCACCTCCCTGTACTCACTACTTTTGGCTCTGGAGGTGTAACTCGGAGGGGGCTCCCAGGTCCCCAAGAGGCTCCCACGAGCAGTTCAAGTCGCCCAAGGGTCCAACTCCGTAGCACTGCAGTGGCCCGGCGCTGCCTGGAGAGGGAGTCAGAGGGTCTCAGGAAAGGGGGTCGAATCCCCCCCTTCCGCCTGCACACCCCAGAACTTGGACTTCTGACAATTGCAAGGTGGGGGGGCTTAGGGAAATGAGCAGCAGGAAGGGAGGCGCTAGGCACCCCTGCCCGGGCTCCGTGCAAACCCCCCCTTTCCCTGTGCTCGCCACATCCTGTTAACCACCCAGAGAGCTCCCCCACCCCGCCCCGGGGCTCCGGTTCGACCTCGCTGCCGCCCATTCCCCAGTGTCGCCGGGTCCCTGCCCCGGGAGGAGCCGAGTGGCGCCTGCACCTCTACCGTTCGCTCTGCATACGCGTGGCTTATCCTGGAGCACTGGCGCCTTCGCGGGGAGCGCAGCGGCAGCGCCCGGGACACGAGCTCCCTCCAGCACTCACCCTGGGGACGCGTCCGCTGGAAAAGCACCCACAACAGAGGCAGCAGCGCCAGCTTGGGCAGCGGCCACAGCCAGAAAGGGGCGCCCCTGCCTCCCCGCATGGCGTCCCTCGGGAGCCCCGAGTCCGGCCCAGCCTTGCCGGGTCCGCGCGGCCGCGCTGCTCCTCTTCGAGCTCTGGGTACAGCGCCCGAGGCGGCAACGGGAAGCCGAACCACCCCGGCAGGCCGCCTCCGCACCTTTCGCTCAGGGTCCCCGCCCCTTCCCCGCGACGGAAAGTCCCCGGCTGGGGCTGCTTGAGGGGGAGTGGGGAGGCGGCCTGGGCGTCTGGGGGTGGGGGCCTCCGAGGGGTGGTACCGCGTACCGCGCATCCCCGAAACCTGTCCTACGCCCAACAACCATACACACACACACACACTCTCTGCCAAAGTCTTCGAATTTTTATTATTGGAGTTTGGGAAGATTCGAATGTGCCCAGAGCTCTCCTAGGGGGGCCACCTGCCACCTTCTCTGGGGTCCACAGCCTTGGAACTCTGGCAGGGGAGTTGGAGGGAGAGGGGATGGAAAGCAGGGCAAAGGAAGCGTGCGTGCAAAGGCTGGACTGAGACAGAGGCTTGATTTTAGCTGGTCAGGGGACAATGGCCACAGTTTGGACTGGGAAGGGGGCAGGGGTCTCTGTGTGGCCAGCCTAGGTAGAGTAGGGACCCAGTTGTGGCAGTGGAGTGTGTAGGCCAGGCAAACGCATGGTTAGGGCTGGGGAGAGGTCAGGGGTCAGGATGGGGGGGTCCCCACTTGACCAGGCAGGGGCACAGCTTCCTTAGGGGCCAGGGTCATGATAGGCTGGTCAAAGGGCAGGGTTGGATAGGTGGTGTCGGGAGACTGTGCCTGAGCCCACAGTGCCTCTGTGACTTGTAGATGAATGAATGAATGTGTGAGGCTCGAAAGACAGGTGCCCAGCCAGACACTAGTTGAGTGGATGGCAGGACTGGGGCATTGGTCCTGGTGCCCACGGCTGCCCAGCCCTCAAACTAGCAAAGGCTACTGATTTCACTTTTGCTACACCCCCACTTGCAGCAGCTGCTGGAAAGGCCAGCCAGGACATCTCGGCTGCCCCGAAGAACCCCAGGGGTTCCTTGCCAGCTGGGTCGCCCCCTGTAAAAGGCCTGGGGTGACTTGGTCAGGGCCAGCCACTCGCTGGACCCCATGGCCTCATCCAGCTCGCCTGCCAGACTGTCTTCATCAGCATCTGCATCCGGGAAGGTATCTCCTGCAAAAGATGAACAGAGTTAGTGATCAGGGCTCAGCTGCTGCTGCACCCACAGTCATGGCTCCTGGCCAGTCTAGCTCTGATCTTGTGACAACAGTCATAGACATAGTTCAGAGTTTTTATTCCACCCAGTCCTGGGTTCAAATTCTGGCTCTGCCAGAGTAGGTGGGATTACAGGTGTCTGCCAGCAGGCCTGGCTGATTTTTGTATTGTTATAGAGATGGGGTTCACCATGTTGTTCAGGCTGGTCGCAAACTCCTGACCTCAAGTGATGTGCCCACCTCAGCCACCCAAAGTGCTGGGATTACAGGCGTGAGCCACCGCACCCAGCCCTGTCATTTATTTCTCCTTACTCTTTATTAATTGAGGACCTGGTACATTTGGGAGCTGGGCTGACTGAGCATGAATCCAGCTTCTCTAATCGTGAGCAAGTAAATTTACTTCTTGGAGCCTCAATGTTCTTTTCTGCAAAGTGGAAAAAAATAATTACTCCAACCTTCTCAAGTTTTATAAGGAGTTAATATTCATTAAAAAAAAAAACTTAGAACAATGTCTGGAACATGATGAGCACTCAAAAATGACTATTGAGTCCGGGCACGGTGTCTCACACCTGTAATCCCAGCACTTCCAGGGGCACATGCTGGAGGATCACCAGAACCAGGAGTTCAAGAACAGCCTGGACAACACAGCACTACCCTGTCTCTACAAATAATAAAAAGTTAGACATGTTGGCACAAGCCTGTAGTCCCAGCTACTCAGGAGGCTGAGGCAGGAGAATTGCTTGAGCCCAAGAGGTTGAAGCTGCAGTGAGCTGTGATCACACCACTGCACTCCAGTCTGGGCAACAGAGCAAGACCCTGTCTCAAAAATAATAATAATAATAATAATAATAATAATAATAATTTATTGATCACTTACTTTGTGTCAAACAACGTTTTAAGTGCTTTAGCAGGTTAACTTCTTTATTCTTCTCAGTGATAACCAGTTGAGGTGGGTGCAGTTATCACCCGTATTTTCCAGAGGAGACCACTGAGGCAGGACTCAGTAAAGAATTTGCATGGCTGGGCGCGGTGGCTCATGCCTGTAATCCCAGCACTTTGGGAGGCTGAGGTGGGAGGATCACCTGAGGTCAGGAGTTGGAGACCAGCCTGGCCAACATGGTGAAACTGTCTCTACTAAAAATAAAAAGATTAGCGAGGTATGGTGGCACACATCTGTAATCCCAGCTACTTGGGAGGCTGGAGGCACGAGAATCGCTTGAACCCAGGTGATGGAGGTTACAGTGAGCCAAGATTGCACCACTGCACTCCAGCCTGGGCAACAGAATGAGATTCTGTCTCAAAAAAAAAAAAAATAGTAGCACATGAACACACAACTATTACATTGTAGAGCTACTATCTGAATCCAAGTGGTGTGTCTTCTATGTCCACGCTCATACCTATCCTCCTTCTCACCATCATGAATATCTATTTGCCAGGTCCCTGCCCCTCATGAAGCTAGGTCTTCTGTTCCCTCTGACTCTCCTGATGGATCCCAGATTGTGCCGCTGCCCTGCTGAGACTCTGCCCTAATCTGTTTTGATTTAATCATACCACTTAATCCTGCAAGATTCAGGAACTGTGTCTCCCATTTGAAGATAAAGACACTCAGAGACTCTAATCTCAGCACTTAGGGAGGCCGAGGTGGGAGGATCACTTGAGCCCAGGAGTTCGAGACCAGCCTAGGCAACATAGTGAGACCCCTGTTTCTACAAAAAAAAAATTTAAAACTAGCCAGGCATGGTGTCAGGTGCCTGTGGTCTCAACTACTCTGGAGGCGGAGGCAGGAGAATCACTTGAGCCTGGGAGGTCGAGGCTGCAATGAGCAGTGATTGGGCCACTGCATTCAAGCCTGGGCAATGGAGTGAGACCACATCTCCAAAAAAAAGACACTCAGAGACGGAAGAAAAACCAACTTGCTGGGGAGAGGTCATGCATTAGGTGACAAACCCAGCTATGTGTATACCACACCCTTCACATTACCTGCTGGAAAGGGTTGGAAAACACTTCGGTGTTGTCTTTGCAAATGGCACGCTCCCCGCCCCCACCTGTCCTCAGACTTCCAGCCCCCATGGATGGCTTGCAACACCCCATCCCAGCTCTGCAGCTCTGCTAACTCCTGAGCCCTTGTTTCAAGGCTGGGCAGGTGTCCCTGGCTGAATGTGGCAGGACAGGGACCCTCCTCCTCCAGCAACCTCCTCTTATCTCTGTCCTTAGCTCCTGGGACCCATCCAGCCACCTGTTCCCCTTCTACATCCACTCTCTCCCCAGCCTCACCCATAGCCTCGTGGGCCAGGATGTCTGATCGTCTCCACCGGGAGCCCCCGCAGGTGAAGATGACTGCTCGGATGAATTCTCGGCCGCAAAGCCTGACCCCGTAAGGCGCTGCCCGGGCCTCAGCTCCCGGCCACAGCTCCCCGGTCAGCACCCATACCGCCAGGAGCAGCAGCAGCATGTACCTGGCCATGCTGGACGGAGATGCTTTGAACGTGAGAGTGGGCCAGTGTCTCTGCTGCCTCTTGGCCCCCCATTTATACATCGTGGCTCCCCCACACTCTGCCTGAAGAAAGCTGAGTGCCTCCCTTATCTTCTCCAGCAGAGGGGAGACAGGCACGGCCCCCCCAACCCGACCTTTCTCATGTCCCCAGCGAAGTGATAACCTTTCGCTAGGGACAGGGTGATGTGGCCCAGCTTATTGTCAACATCATTGACAGAGAGGCGAGAAGGTCTCCAACCTGCAGAGACCAGAAACGCATAATCCCAAAAGGCGGGGTAAGGTGACACAACCAGATCCCCACAACGTTAGGGTCCTGGACCTCTTCGAAGATCATAATAGCAGTGAACGCCCAGTGCAGTATGTGCTACGAGGCCAGGCACACTACTGTAAGCATTTTATTGTTTATTTGTTTGTTTGTTTGTTTAGATGGAGTCTCGCTCTGTCACCCAGGCTAGAGGTACAGTCCCAATGGCACAATCTTGGCTCACTGCAACCTCCGCCTCCCAGATTCAAGAAATTCTCCCGCCTCAGCCTCCCAAGTAGTTGGGATTACAGGCGCCCACCACCACACCTGGCTAATTTTTGTATTTTCAGTAGAGACGGGGTTTTACCACGTTGGCCAGGCTGGTCTCGAACTCCTGGCCTCAGGTGATCCGCCTGTCTCAGCCTCCCAAAGTGCTGGGATTACAGATATGAGCCACAGCCCTCAGCTGCTCAAAGCATTTTATATCTCTGTAATGTATTTGATTCTCCCAACAACCCAGGGTAATGGTTCTCAAATGTGAGTGAGCTTCAGAATCTTTGGGTAGGCTTGTTAAAACAGAAATCAGGCCAGGCGCGGTGGCTCACGCCTGTAATCCCAGCACTTTGGGAGGCCATGGCAGGAGGATTACCTGAGGTCCGGAGTTCGAGACCAGCCTGGCCAACATGGTGAAACCCCGCCTCTACTAAAAATACAAAAAATTAGCCGGGTGTGGTGGCTCATGTCTGTAGCCCCAGCTCCTTGGGAGGCTGAGGCAGGAGAATTGCTTGAACCTGGGAGGTGGAGGTTGCAGTGAGCTGAGATGGCGCCACTGCACTTCAGCCTGGGCAACAGAGTGAGACTCTGTCTCAAAAACAAACAAACAAAACACATATCTTTGTGTCCTACCTGCAGAGCTCCTGACTCAACAGGTATGGAACATATCTAAGAATCTGCATTTCCAACCAGTTCCCAGGTGACATTGATCCTGCTGGTTCAGAAACCAGACTTTTTTTTTTTTCTTTTTTTCAGAGACAGGGTCTGGCTATGTTGCCCAGGCTGGATTGTAGTGGTGGCAACATAGCTCACTGCAGCCTTGAATTCCCGGGTTCAAATGATCCTCCCACCTCAGCCTCCTAAGTAGCTGGGACTACAGGTGTGTACCACCATGCTCAGCTAATTTTTGTATTTTTTGTAGAGATGAGACCTCACAATGTTGCCCGGGCTGGTCTCAAACTCTTGGACTCAAGGGACCCAAATGCGTCAGACTCTCGAAGTGCTGGGATTGGCTGGACACAGTGGTTCACACCTGTAATCCCAGCACTTTGGGAGGTCGAGGCGGGTGGATCACCTGAGGTCAGGAGTTTGAGACCAGCCTGGCCAACATGATGAAACCCTGTCTCTATTAAAAATATAAAAATTAGCCGGGCATGGTGGCGGGTGCCTGTAATCCCAGCTACTGAGAAGGCTGAGGCAGGAGAATCGCTTGAACCCAGGAGGCAGAGGTTGCAGTGAGCCAAGATTGTGTCATTGCACTCCAGCCTGGAGCACCACGCCCAGCCCAGAAACCACAGTTTCTTTCTTTCTTTTTTTTTTTTTTTTGAGATGGAGTCTCGCACTGTCGCCCAGGCTGGAGTGCAGTGGCATGATCTCGGCTCACTGCAAGCTCCCCACTTCCCAGGTTCACGCCATTCTCCTGCCTCAGCCTCCCGAGTAGCTGGGACTACAGGCGCCCGCCACCACGCCCGGCTAATTTTTTGTATTTTTAGTAGAGACGGGGTTTCACTGTGTTAGCCAGGATGGTCTCGATCTCCTGACCTCGTGATCCGCCCGCCTCGACCTCCCAAAGTGCTGGGATTACAGGCGTGAGACACTGCGCCCGGCGGAAACCACACTTTTAAGAGCATGGGGTTATGAATTCAGGACTAAGATAATTCTCATATTACAAATGAGGAAACGGAGACACAGAAGGGTGTCCTGAGGCAGCAGATCCTAACGTTTTTGACGCCAGAAACCGGTTTCGTGGAAGACAATTTTTCCATGGATGGAGTGTCAAGTGGATGGTTTCGGGATGATTCAAGCGTATCACTTTTTTTTTTTTTTTTTTTTTTTTTGAGATGGAGTCTTGCTGTGTCACCAGGCTGGAGTGCAATGGCGCAATCTTGGCTCACTGCAACTTCTGCCTCCCAGGTTCAAGCGATTCTCCTGCCTCAGCTTCCGAGTAGCTGGGACTACAGGCATATGCCACCACGCCCAGCTAATTTTTGTATTTTTAGTAGAGACGAGGTTTCACCATGTTGTCCAGGTTGGTCCCGATCTCTTGACCTCATGATCCGTCCACCTCGGCCTCCCAAAGTGCTGGGACTACAGGCATGAGCCACCGCGCCTGGCCAAGCGCATCACATTTATTGTGCACTTTATTTCTATTATTATTATACTGTAGTTGTATATTGAAATAATCATACAACTCACCATAATGTAAAATTAGTGGCAGTGGCCAGGCACAGTGGCTCATGCCTGTAATCCTAGAACTTTGGGCAGCTGAGGCGGGCGAGTCACTTGAGGTCAGGAGTTCGAGACCAGCCTGGCCGACATGGTCAAACCCCATCTCTACTAATAGTACAAAAATTAGCTGGGCATGGTGGCACATGCCTGTAATCCCAGTTACTCAGGAGTCTGAGGCAGGAGACTCACTTGAACCCAGGAGGCAGAGTCTGCAGTGAGCCGAGATTGAGCCACTGTGCATCAGCGTGGGCGACAGAGTGAGACTTTGTCACAAAAAATAATCATCATCATCATAATAAAATAAAAATATATATATTGAGAGGCTGGGAATGATGGCTCACGCCTGTAATTCCGGAACTTTGGGCAGCCAAGGCAGGAGGATTGCTTGAACCCAAGAGTTCCAGACCAGCCTGGGCAACAGGTGAAACCCCACCTCTACAAATAATGTAAAAATTAGCCAGGTGTGGTGGCACACATCTGTGATCCCAGCTACTCAGGAGGCTGAGGTGGGAAGATCACTTTTGCCTAAGCGTTCAAGGCTGCCATGAGCTGAGATTGCATCACTGCACTCCAGCCTGTACAACGGAGCCAAACCTTGTCTAAAAAAAAAAAAAATTGAGGCCGGGCATGGTGGCTCATGCCTGTAATCCCAGCACTTTGGGAGGCTGAGGAGGACGGATCACTTGAGGTCAAGAGTTTGAGACCAGCCTGGCCAACACGGTGAAACCCGTCTCTACTAAAAATACAAAAATTTGCTGGGCATGGTGGCAGATGCCTGTAATCCCAGCTACTCAGGAGGCTGAGGCAGGAGAATCTCTTGAACCTGGGAGTCGGAGGATGCAGTGAGCGGAGATCACGCCATTGCACTCCAGCCTGGGCAACAAGAGCGAAACTCTGTCTCAAAAAAAAAAAAAAAAAGAGAGAGATAACATCCATATAAAATAAAACTAACCAGGCCAGGTACGGTGGCTCACGTCTGTAATCCCAGCACTTTGGGAGGCCAAGGCGGGCAGATCACTTGAGTTCAGGAGTTTGAGACCAGCCTGTCCACCGTAGTGTAAAACCCAGTCTCTAACAAAAATACAAAAATTAGCCAGGTGGGAAACAGGTGGTTTACAAATGTAAACCACTGCGGCCAGTCTTTCTTTTTTAAAGAGATGAGGCCTAACTATGTTGCCCAGGCTGATCTGGAACTCCTGAGCTCAAGTGATCCTCCCCCTTTGGCCTCCCAAAGTGCTAGGACTACAGGCATGAGCCACCAGGCACAGCTATGTTAATGTCAATTTCACCTCGACTTTAAAACACAGCAAAAACAAGGGCTCTGGTAAGGGGGGCAAGCTTGGCTTCAAATTCCACCTCTGCCTCTTTCCTGCTGTGTGACCTTGGCCAAGTCACTTAAACTCTCTGTGCCTTGGTTTCCTCACTTGCAAAATGGGAAAGATTTAATGAGTGAGTCAAATTTTTACAACAATCTCCTGCATGAAGTAAGTGCTGTTTAAATGTTATTTCTACTGGACACGTTCCCTTTGGATTAGAACTTCATCTCTTTGTCCTTTTCTCTGTCACAAACTCCTGGCCCCAGTTGCCTGCTGTGGATGTCACAGGCCAAGGGCAACCTTCCGGAGGCAGAGGTCACCTCTGATTGCTCTGTTTCTAAAGGGCTGGTGAATAATACTCTCTTCCCCTCGGCCTCTTCTCCAGGAACTTCCTGTAGGGAGGTACCCTCCTGCCCTTTTCTCCTGCGCCCCCAGTGCCTGGCCTGGGGAAGAACAAGCATTCAGGAAATATCTGCTGCCTGCCTGCCTGACTTAACTGATGGGCCTCAAACCAGAAGCCTCTTTTTTCTTTTTCTTTTCTTTTTTTTTTTTTTTTGACACAGGGTCTCACTCTGTCGCTCAGACTGGAGTGCAATGGAGTGATCTCGGCTCATCGCAGCCTCTGTCTCCAGGGTTCAAGCTATTCATGTGCCTCAGCCTCCCAAGTAGCTAGGACTGCAGGTGTGCGCCACCATGTCTGGTTAATTTTTGTATTTTTAGTAGAGACGGGGTTTTGCCATGTTGGCCAGGCTAGCCTCAAACTCTTGATCTCAAGTGATCTGCCCACCTCAGCCTCCCAAAGTGCTGGCGTGAGTCACTGCACCCAGCCCAGAAGCGTCTTTTGTGTCTCACATAGAATCAGAGTTTTGGGCCCAACATAGCTAGGTTCAAATCTCTGTTCCTGTGTATCCTTGGGCAAGACCCTATACCTCTCTGAGTTCATTGTGAAGATGGAGATGATAAGTATACCTGCTTCATGAGCCTCTTGGGGACTTTGGTGAAATTCTATAGAGTCCTAAGCATTCTGCACAGCACTCGTCGGTGTGGTGTGTAAATGGTGATCTGCAGAAATCTATGTCCACATCCTAAACCCTGGGATCTATAAATGTGATCTTACTAGAAAAAAGTATTTGAAACCAAGTGCGGTGGCTCACACCTGTAATCCCAGCACACTGGGAGGCCAAGGAGGACGGATCACCTGGGGTCAGGAGTTTGAGACCAGCCTGGCCAACACAGTGAAACCCTGTCTCTACTAAAAAATAAAAAAATTAGTCAGGCACGGTGGCAGGTGCCTGTAATCTCAGCTACTCAGGAGGCTGAGGCAGGAGGATTGCTTGAGCCCAGAAGGTCACGGCTGCAGTGAGCCATGATTGTGTCACCCAGCTTGGGTGACAGAGATCCTATCTTAAAACAAAACAAAACAAAACCTTAGCCAGGTGAGGTGATGTGTGCCTGTATTTCCAGCTACTTAGGAAGCTGAGGCCGGAGGAACACTTGAGCGTAAGAGTTTAAGACCAGCCTGGGCAAAATGTCAAGATCTGGCCTTTAAAAAATAGAAAATATTAGCCAGGCATGCATGCCTGTGGTCTCAGCTACTTGGAAGACCAAGGCAGGAGGATTGCTAGAGGCCAGGAGTTCCACACCAGCTTGGACAATACAGTGACACTCCCGTCTCTACAAATACAAAAATTAGCTGGGTATGGTGGTGTGTTCCTGTAGTCCCCTACACAGGAGGCTGAGGTGGGAGGATCGCTTGAGCCCAGGAATTTGAGACTGTAGTGAGCTGGGATGGTGTCACTGCACTCCAGCCTCGGCAACAGAGTGAGACCCTGTCTCAAAAAAAAAAAAGAAAGAAAGAAAAAGAAAAAGAGCTTTTGCAAATGTAATTAAGAATCTTTAGATGGCCTTGGGGGGTGGCTCATGCCTGTAATCCCAGGACTTCAGGAAGCTGAGGCAGGCAGATCACCTGAGGTCAGGAGTTCCAGACCAGCCTGGCCAACATGGTGAAACCCGGTCTCTACTGAAAATACAAAAATTAGCTGGGTGTGGTGACGGGCACCTGTAATATGAGCTACTCAGGAGGCTGATCCAGGAGAATCGCTTGAACCCGGGAGTCGGAGGTTGCATTGAACCCAGATCGCATGCCACTGCACTCCAGTCTGAGCAACACAGTGAGACTCCATTAAAAAAAAATTAAAAAGAACCTTAAGATGAGCTCAACCTGGATTATCTTCGTGGGCCCTAAATCCAATTATGAGTGTCCTTTTAAAAAACAAAAGAGTTGAAGACACAGACAAAAGAGGAAAGTTCATATGAAGACAGAGGCAGAAATTGGCTTAATGCCATTGAGGAAGCCAAGGAAGGCCTGGAGCCTCCAGAAGCTGGAAGAGGCAAGGAGGGACCCTCCCCTAGAGGCCTCAGAGGGGGCGCGGCCCTGCGACGCCTGCATTTCAGACTCCTGACAACCAGAACAGGAAGGGAATAAATGTTCATTGGTGTAAGCCACCTGGTTTGTGGACACTGGTTACAGCAGCTACAGTGAAATGAATATAGTCAGAACGGGAAATGTCACCTGCTAGGAATATGGGTGTCATGATGATTTTGTTCACTATAAAAATGCAAGCCAATTTTGCCAATTCTAAATAAAGCCCTGATTTCCAAACTTTATATATATAATATATATTTATAAGTTTATAAAATTATTATGATATACATTTATAAATTATAATATATCTATAATATACATAACATCTATAACATATAAATATATTTATATATCATATAATAAACATATTATATAATATGCATATATCATAATAAACATAATATGCATATATCATATATAAACATATTATATAATATGTTTATATATTATATAAACATATATAATATACTTATATATTGTATAATATATATTATATAAGTATACTTATATATTATAGATGTTATATATTATACTATATTCTATTATATAATATACTTATATATTATATAGAAATACATTTATATATTTATATATAAATATATTATAATTATAATAATATAGTATATTATAATATATAAATATATTCTACATAAATATATATGATATATTTATATATTTATATATATAATATAAATAGGTTATATAATATATTATATATATTTATATTTATGTATAATATATATATTTATTTTATATATATAATATATATAATATATATTATAAAATATATAATAAAATATTTATATATTTATTATATTATAATACAATATATAATATATAATATAAAATTATATATTATATTATATTAAGATAAGCTCATCCTGGATTATCTGGGTGGGCCCTAAATCCAATTATGAGTGTCCTTTTAAAAAAACAAAACAGTTGAAGATACAGACTGTATATATATATATATATATAAAATATATAAATATATGTGTTATATGTAATTATTATAAAAATATACATTATATATTAAATATAATTATTATATATCATGTATGATATATAATGTATATGATATATAATGTATATTATATATCATGTATAATCTATTATATGAGATATAATTTTATATTTATGTTATACAATATATCATAGCATTTATATATAACATATTATATAACATATTTATATAATATATAAATATTTTATTTATAGAATATGTTATAATATATTAATATATTATATTATAATTAATATATTATAATGTATTATGATATATAATATATAATATGTAATATAAATATGTTATATAATGTATAATATAGATTTATATTTCCTATCTCTGGGGACATGTTAAAAAAGTATACAAAAAATATATAATATATAATATGTAATATATACATTATATATTATATGTTACATTATGCTATATAAAATAAATACATAGCATAATGTAACATATTTTTATGATATATTATTTATATAATATAAATATAGCACATATAAATATAGCCTAGGACATAATGTAACATTTTTATAATATATTAATATATTGTATACAGAAATATATGTAAATTAATACATCTTATATTAATATAATTTAATTAGTATAATATAATTAATTAATATAATATATTACCTTAATATAAATTAATATGTTGTATACATATATGTATGTATACAATATATTAACATATTATATATAAATATATATTATATATATATTGAGATGGAGTCTTGCTCTGTCATCCAGGCTGGAGTGCAGTGGCACCATCTCAGTGCACTGCAATGTCCACCTCCTGGGTTCAAGTGATTCTCCTGTCTCAGCCTCCCGAGTAGCTGAAACTACAGGCACCCGCCACCACTCCCGGCTAATTTTTGTATTTTTATTAGAGATGGTGTTTCACCATGTTGGCCAGGGTAGTCTCAAACTCTTGGCCTCAAGTGATCCACCTGCCTCAGCCTCCCAAAGTGCTGAGGTTACAGACATGAGCCACTGTGCCCAGCAATACAATAAATATATATATATATATATATATATATATATATATATATATATATATATATATATTTTTTTTTTTTTTTTTTTTTTTTTTAAGAGACTGGAGTCTCGCTGTGTTGCCAGGCTGGTCTTAGTTCCCTTTCCTAAAGTGATCGTCCCACCTCAGCCTCCCAAATAGCTGGGATTAGAGGTCTGTATCACTGCCCTCAGCTTCTCCAAACTATTTAATTTATCTTCGAATAGTTAATACATTTACATGCTTCAAAAAGCAAAGCATATAAGGTTTATGAAGCAGCATCTGCCTTCCAAGTTTCAGTTCCTCCCCTTTCTCTCATGAATAACCACAGCTCTTAATTTCCTGAGTATCTTTCCAGAATTACTTTGTACACATGAAAACAAATATGAATACAGGTTTTTTTTTTCTTTATGAGACAGGGTCTCACTCCGTTGCCCAGGCTAGAGTCAGCAGCAATATCACGGCTCACTGCAGCCTCGATCTCCCGGGCTCAAGTTATCCTCCCACCTTAGCCGCCTGAGTAGCTGGGACCACAGATGCATACCACTCTCAGCTCATTTTTAAATTTTTTGTAGAGACAGGGTCTCAGTATGTGCCCCAGGCAGGTCTCAAACTCCTAGGCTTGCTTTATTTATTTATTTATTTATTTATTTTTTGAGACAGGGTCTTACTCTATCACCCAGGCTGAAGTGCAGTAGCACCATCCCAGCTCACTGTAGCCTTGACCTCCTGGGCTCAAGTGATCCTCCTGCCTCAGCCTCCCAGAGTAGCTGAGACCACAGGCACATGTCACCACGCCCAGCTAAATTTTTTTTTTTTTTTTTTTTGCAGAAACAGGGTTTCACCATGTTGCCCAGGCTGGTCTTAAACTCCTGAGTTCAAGCAACCTGCCTGCCTCATCCTCCCAAAGTGCTGGGATTATAGGTGTGAGCCATTGTGCCCCGCCAGTATGTTAAACCCATTTTTTTCCCTCTTTGGCTTTGTCTGGCTCTGGCTCTGTCACTCAGACTGGAGTGCAGTGGCACGATCATAGCTCACTGCAGTCTCAAACCCCTGGGATCAAGCCATCTTCCCACCTCAGCTCACTACTATGCTTGGCCAATATTTTTCTTTTTCTTGTTTTTTTTTTTCTTTTTTTTTTTAGAGACAGGGCCTCAATATTTTGCCCAGGCATGAGCTGCTGCACCTGGCCTAAACATTTTTTGTTAATGTGGCAAAATACATGTAAAATTTACCGTTTTAACATTTTTTTTTTCTTTTGGCATGGAGTTTTGCTCTTGTTGCGCAGGCTGGAGTGCAATGCCGCCATCTTGACTCGCTGCAGTCTCCACCTCCCAGGTTCCAGCGATTCTCCTGTCTCAGCCTCCCGAGTAGCTGGAATTACAGGCGTGCGCCACTACATCCAGCTAATGTGTTTTGTATTTTTAGTAGAGACGGGGTTTCACCATGTTGGCCAGGCTGGTCTTGAATCCTGACCTCAGGGGATCTCCCCACCTCGGGCTCCCAAAGTGCTGGGATTACAGGCGTGAGCACTGTGTCCGGCTGTTTTAACTATTTTTAAGTGTACGATTCAGTGGCATTACCCATATTTACATTATTGTGCAATCATCCATCTCCAGAACATTTTGTCTTCCCCAACCAAAACTCTGTCCCCATTAAACACTCTCTCCGTCCTTCCTCCTTCTACCCCTGGCAACCACCATACTACTTTCTACCCCTGTGAATTTTTTTTTTTTTCTTGAGGTGGAGTTTCCCTCCCATTGCACAGTCTGGAGTGCAGTGGCGCCATCTCGGCTCACTGCAACCTCCACCTCCTGGGTTAAAGTGATTCTCCTTCCTCAGCCTCCTGAGTAGCTGGGATTACAGGCACCCGCCACTACACCCAGGTAATTTTTTTTTTTTTTTTTTTTTTTTGAAACAGAGTCTCGCTCTGTCGCCAGGCTGGAATGCAGTGGTGCGACCTCAGCTCACTGCAACCTCCGCCTCCCAGGTTCAAGGGATTCCCCTGCCTCAGCCTCCCGAGTAGCTGGGATTACAGGCACATGCCACCGCACCTGGCTAATTTTTTGTATTTTAGTAGAGACGGGGTTTCACCATGTTGGCTGGGATGGTCTCGATCTCCTGACCTCGTTATCCACCCGCCTCGGCCTCCCAGAATGCTGGGATTACAGGCGTGATCCACCGTGCCTGGCCTAATTTTTGTATTTCTAGTGGAGATGGCATTTCACCATGTTGGCCAGGCTGGTCTTGAACTCCTGACCTCAGGCTATCCACTCACCTCGGCCTCCCAAAGTGCTAGGATTACAGGCCTGAGCCACCGCACCCGGACTTTTAAAAATTTTTTTCCGAGATGGAGTCTTGCTCTGTCACCTAGACTGGAGTGCACTGGTATGATCTCGGCTCACTGCAACCCTCGCCTCTCGGGTTCAAGAGATCCTCCTGCCCCAGCCTCCCAAGTAGCTGGGATTACAGGTGGGCACCACTAGGCCCAGCAAATTTTTGTATTTTTAGTAGAGATGGGGTTTCACCATGTTGGCCAGGCTGGTCTCAAACTCCTGACCTTTCTATCCACCCACCTTAGCCTCCCAAAGTGCTGGGATTATAGGCATGAGCCACCACACCTGGCTGAGACTTCATTTCTCCAAAAGAATTTTTAAAATTTGGCCCAGGGTGGTGGCGTGTGCTTGTAGTCCCATCTACTTGGGAGGCTGAGGTGGGAGGATCACTTGAGCCCAGGAGTTGGCGGCTGCAGTGAGCTATGATTGTGCCACTGCACTCCAGCCTGGGTGACAGAGCAAGATCCTGTCCAGTCTCACTAGAAACGAGGTCTTATTATGTTGCCCAGGCTGGTCTCGAACTTCTGGGCTCAAGTGATCCTCCCACCTCGGCCTCCCAAAGTGCTGGGATTATAGGCATGAGCCAGCATGCTTGGCCCAGAATTTCATTAAAAGGTAGCATGTTCTACACATTCTTCTGAATGTTGCTTCTCCCACGTGACTTAACAAGTGTTGGAGATCTCTTAACAAAACTTTATTTTATTTTATTTTAATTTTTATTGAGACGGAGTCTTGCTCTTGCCCAGGCTGGAGTGCAGTGGCGCCAACTCGGCTCATTGCAACCTCTGTCTCCCAGGTTCAAGGAATTCTCAGCCGGGCTCAGTGGCTCACGCCTGTAACCCCAGCACTTTGGGAGGCCGAGGCGGGCAGATCACGAGGTCAGGAGATCGAGACCATCCTGGCTAACACGGTGAAACCCCATCTCTACTAAAAATACAAAAAATTAGCTGGGCGTGGTGGCAGGTGCCTGTAGTCCCAGCTACTCGGGAGGCTGAGGCAGGAGAATGGCATGAACCTGGCAGGTGGAGCTTGCCGTGAGCCGAGATCGCGCCACTGCACTCCAGCCTGGGTGACAGAGTGAGACTCCGTCTCAAAAAAAAAAAAAAAAAAGGAATTCTCATGCCTCAGCCTCCCAAGTAGCTGGGACTACAGGTGCATGCCACCATGCCCAGCTAATTTTTTTATTTTTTAGTAGAGATGGGATTTCACCATGTTGGCCAGGCTGGTCTCAAACTCCTGACCTCAAGTGATAGGCCCGCCTTGGCCTCCCAGAGTGCTGGGATTACAGGCGTGAGCCACTGTGCCTGGCCACATTCTTGTTATTTTTTATTTTTATTTTTTCACAGCTGCATAGCATGCTGCTGTGTGAATGCTTTATGGTTAATTTCACTCTCAGAGATGGACATTTTTTCCACTCGTTTGTTCTTAGGCTGACATCGCCATACAGAACGTCATTTTACACATATGCAAGTGTCTCTGTGGATAAATTTTCCGAAGCGGGATTTCTGGCTCAAAGACTGTGTGCATTTGTAATTTTTACGCATATTGACAAATATTCCCCCTCAGGTGTTAGAGCGATTCACACTCTCTCTAGCAATGGGTAAAAGTTCTGCTGCCTTACAGCCTTACCAACAGAGAGTGTTATCGAACTTTGGTTTCTTGCCAACATGACATGTGAAAAATAGTATCTCAGAGTAGAGAAAATTTGCATTTTCCTGACCACAAGCAAGGCAGGGCAAAGTCCCATGTGTTTAAGGACCATTAGTTTCCTCTGTACTCTCTGGTAACCTCCCTTGCCTAGTATACTTTTGGATTATTGATCTTTTTCCTTCTTTTTTTAATTTTTTTTTTTTTTGAGACAGAGTCCCGCTCTGTTGACCAGGCTGGAGTGCAATGGCATGGTCTCGCTCACTGCAACCTCCAACTCCCAGGTTTAAGCAATTCTCTTGCCTCAGCCTCTCGAGTAGCTGGGATTACAGGCAACTGCCACCACGCCCAGCTTATTTATTTATTTATTTATTTTGTATTTTTAGTAGAGACGGGGTTTCGGCATGGTGGTCAGGCTAGTCTCCAACTCCTGACCTCAGGTGATCTGCTCACCTCAGCCTCCCAAAGTGCTGGGATTACAGGCATGAGCCACCACCCCCGGCCAAATTTTTTTTTTTTTTTTTTTTTTGGATGGAGTCTGGCTCTGTTGTTCAGGCTAGAGTGCAGTGATGCAATCTCGGCTCACTGCAACCTCTGCCTCCCGGGTTCAAGTCATTCTCATGCCTCAGCCTACCGAGTAGCTGAGATTACAAGTGCCCGCCACCTCGCCCGGCTAATTTTTGTATTTTTAGTAGAGATGGGGTTTCACCATGTTAGCCAGGCTGGTCTCGAACTCCTGATCTTAGGTGATCTGCCCGCCTCGGCCTCCCAAAGTGCTGGGATTACAGGCATGAGCCACCGCACCCGGCCTCATCTACTTTTTTTAGCACCTATAGATGATCGCTGTCTGCATCAATGATTTTGCTGGCTTTTGCAACATGGTGATTTTCTAATTCTTTCCTTCTCTTTTTTCTTTGTTTTGAGACAGAGTTTTGCTCTTGTCACCCAGGCTGGGGTGCAGTGGCGCGATCTTGGCTTACTGCAGCCTCCGCCTCCCAGGTGCAAGTGATTCTCCTGCCTCAGCCTCCCGAATAGCTGGGATTACAGGCGCACAACACCATGCCTGGCTGATTTTTGTAATATTAGTAGAGACGGGGTTTCACCATGTTGGTCAGGCTGGTCTCGAACTCCTGACCTCAAGTGATCCACTCACCTTGGCCTCCCACAGTGCTGGCATTACAGGTGTAAGTAAGTAAGTAAGTAAAAATGCCTGGCCTTTTTTTTTTTTTTTTTTTTTTTTTGAGACAGACTCTCACTCTGTTGCCCAGTTGCCCAGGCGGTAGTCCAGTGGTGTGATCTCCGCTCACTGCAGCCTCTGCCTCCTGGGTTCAAGCTATTCTCCTGCCTCAGCCTCTCAAGTAGCTGGGATTACAAGGGTGTGCCATCACACCTGGCTAATTTTTGTATTTTTAGTAGAGACGGGGTTTCACCATGTTGCCCAGGCTGGTCTTGAACCCCTGACCTCTGGTGATCCACCCACCTCAGCCTCCCAAAGTGATTATAGGCATAAGCTACCATGCCCAGATAATTGCTGTATTTTTAGTAGAGACAGGGTTTTGCCATGTTGGCCAGCTGGTCTTGAACTCCCAACCTAGGTGATCCTCCCACCTGGGCCTCCCAAAGTGCTGGAATTACAGGCGTAAGCCAGCATGCCTGGCCTGTTATTATTTATTTGAACTTTTTTCCATTACTTTTTTTTCTTTGTAGAGATGGAGTTTTGCTATGTTGCCCAGGCTGGTCTTGAACTTCTGAGTTCAAGTAATCCTCCCACCTTGGTCTCCCAAAGTGCTGGGATTACAAGCATGAGCCACCAAGCATGGACTGTTTGAGTTTTTCTTTTTTTTTTGAGATGGAGTCTCGCTCTGTCACCCAGGCTGGAGTGCAGTGGCACGAACTTGGCTCACTGCAAGCTCTGCCTCCTGGTTTCACGCCATTCTCCTGCCTCAGCCTCCCGAGTAGCTGGGACTACAGACGCCTGCCACCATGCCCGGCTAATTTTTTGTATTTTTAGTAGAGACGGGGTTTCACCGTGTTAGCCAGGATGGTCTCGATCTCCTGACCTCGTGATCCGCCCACCTCAGCCTCCCAAAGTGCTGGGATTACAGGCGTGAGCCACCACGTCCGGCCTCTTTTTTTAAAAAACTTTTTTTTTCTTCCATAGGTTATTGGGGAACAGGTGGTGCCTGGTTACATGAGCATGTTTTTAGTGGTGATTTGTGAGATTTTGGTGCACCCATCACCTGAGCAGTATACACTGCACCCTATTTGTAGTCTTTTATCCCTCAGCCCCTTCCCACCCTTCCCCCACTGAATCCCCAAAGCCTATTGTGTCATTCTTATGCCTTTGCATCCTCATAGTTTAGCTCCCACTTATGAGTGAGAACATACGATGTTTGGTTTTCCATTCCTGAGTTACTTCACTTAGAATAATAGCCTCCAAGTCCATCCAGGTTGCTGCGAATGCCATTAATTCATTCCTTTTTATGGCTGAGTAGTATTCCATTGAATATATATCCACAGTTTCTTTATCCACTCGCTGATTGATGGGCATTTGGATTGGGTCCACGTTTTTGCAATGACAAATTTTGCTGCTATAAACATGTATGTGCAAGTATCTTTTTTGTAGAATGACTTCTTTTCCTCTGGGTAGATACGCAGTAGTGGGATTGCTGGATCAGATGGTAGTTCTACTTTTAGTTCCTTGAGTACTCCCCACACTGTTTTCCATAGTGGTTGTACTAGTTTACATTCCCACCAGCTGTGTAGGAGGGTTCCCTGATCACTGCATCCATGCCAACATCTACTGTTTTTTTTGATTTTTTGATTATGGCCATTCTTGCAGGAGTTTAAGGTGGTATCACAATGTGGTTTTGATTTGCATCTCCCTGATCATTAGTGACGTTGAGCATTTTTTCATATGTTTGCTGGTCATTCGTATACCTTCTTTTGAGACATGTCTATTCATGTCCTAAGCCCACTTTTTGATGGGATTATTTGTTTTCTTCTTGTTGATTTGTTGAAATTCATTTTAAATTCTGGGTATTAGTCCTTTGTCAGATGTTTACATTGTGAAGATTTTTTCCCACTCTGTAGGTTGTCTGTTTACTCTACTGACTGTTACTTAGCTCTTTAGTCTAATTAAGTCCCAGAAATTTATCTTTGTTTTTATTGCATTTGCCTTTGGGCTCTTGGTCATGAAATCCTTGCCTAAGCCAATGTCTAGAAGGGTTTTTCCAATGTTATCTTCCAGAATTTTTATAGTTTCCAGTCTTAGATTTAAGTCCTTCACCCATCTTGAGTTGATTTTTGTATAAGGTGAGAGATGAGGATCCAGTTTCATTCTCCTACATGTGGCTAGCCAATTATCCTGGCGTTACTATTGAAAAGGGTGTCCTTTCCCCCCTTTTATGTTTTTGTTTGCTTTGCTGAAGACCAGTTGGCTGTTAAGTATTTGGGTTTATGGTCTATGTGCTTTTTTTTTTTTTTTTTTTTTTTTAGACAGGGTCTTACTCTGTCGCCCAGGCTGGAGTACAGTGGCGCGATCTTGGCTCACTGCAACCTCTGCCTCCCGGGTTCAAGCGATTCTCCTGCCTCAGCCTCCCTAATAGCTGAGATTACATGTGCCCACCACTGCGCCCACCTGATTTTTGTATTTTTAGTAGAGACGGGGTTGCACCATGTTGGCCAGACTGGTCTTGAACTCCTGACCTCAAGTGATCCACCTGCCTTGGCCTCCCAAAGTGCTGGGATTACAGGCTTCAGCCACCACGCCCGGCCTATGTGCCTATTTTTATACCAGTACCAGAGCACGGCCTATTTGAATGTTTGATTTGCAGTTAGTTGAATCTTCCAATGAATGTGTAACCTGTGGATACAGGGAGGGCTGACTATATGCTGTACAACCTCCACCAGATAAAAATATAGAACATTTCAGCCTCCACCTTGCATTTCCAGCCACAAAGTCTTATAATGAATTTTTTTTGAGACAGAGTCTCTCTCTGTCGCCCAAGCTGGCGTGCAGTGGCGCGATCTCGACTCACTGCAACCTCCACCTTCCAGGTTCCAGCCATTCTCCTGCCTCAGCCTCCCAAGTACGTGGGATTATGGGCACACACCACCATGCCCAGCTAACTTTGTATTTTTAGTAGAGACGGGGTTTCACCATGTTGGCCAGGCTGGTCTCAAACTGCTGACCTCAGGTGATCCGCCAGTCTAGGCCTCCCAAACTGCTGGGATTACAGGTGTGAGCCACCACGCCCAGCTGAATATTTTTGATGGACGACATGGTCTCTGGGCTTGGTCCAGCTACTTCTGGGCATTGGAGAAATGGGTAGGAGGTGGAAATAGGGCTTCTAGTTTCCCTCCCCACAATGAAGTCCCCATGGCTGGTCCTGGGACCCTGATGTGACTTGTATTGCCAGCTGGGATTCATTCTTGGGCACTGCCTGCCTGGAAGTCTCATTAATTCTTGCAGGTACTGTCAGGGCTGGGACTCAACCGGCAATTCCAGGCAGACTGGAGCTGCTGCTTCTCCTCTTCTCCCATCCAGGGTCACACCCAGGGCACTGGAAAGTCCCATGAAAAGAGATGGGCTCTGGTTCCTCCAGCTTCGTGATCTTGGGGTGGAGATGTTACAGGAAAGGGGGGTCCGATCCAGAGTCCAAGACAGGGTTCCTGGATATCACGCAAGAAAGAATTCAGGGCCTGGTGCGGTGGCTCACGCCTGTAATCCCAGCACTTTGGGAGGCCGAGGCGGGCAGATCACGAGGTCAGGAGTTAGAGACCAGCTTGGCCAATATGGTGTAACCCCATCTCTACTAAAAATACAAAAATTAGCCAGGCGTGGTGGCGCTCGCCTGTAGTCCCAGCTACTCGGGAGGCTGAGGCAAAAGAATCGCTTGAGCCTGGGAGGCGGAGGTTGCAATCAGTCAAGATCGTGCCACTGAACTCCAGCCTAGGTGACAGAGAGAGACTCCGTCTCAAAAAAAAAAAAAAAAAAAAGAATTCCAGGTGAGTCCGTAAAGTGGAAGCAAATTTGTAAGGAATAAAAGAATGGTTACTCCATAGAGCAGCCTCGAGGGCTGTATTTTTTTTTATTTTTTTTGAGATGGAGTCTCCATGTTGCCCAGGCTGGAGTGCAGTGGTGTGATCTTGGCTCACTGCAACCTCTGCCACCCGGGATCAAGCAATTCTCTTGCCTCAGCCTCCTGAGTAGCTGGGATCACAGGCATGCGCCACACGCCCGGCTAATTTTTGTATTTTAAGTAGAGACGGGGTTTCGCCATGCTGGCCAGGCTGTTCTTGAACTCCCGACCTCAAGCGATCTGCCAGCTTCGGCCTCCCAAAGTGCTGGGATTACAGGCATGAGCCACCACACTCAGCCTTATTTCTTGATGATATGCTAAACAAGGGGTGGATTATTCCATGCCTCTTGTTTTTAGTCCATATAAAGTAACTTCCTGGCGTTGCCATGGCATTTGTAAACTGTAATGGTGCTGGTGGGAGTGTAGCAGTGAGGACCAGACGTTACTCTCATGGCCATCTTGGTTTTGGTGGGTTTGAGCCAGCTTCTTTACTGCAACCTGTTTTATCAGCAAGGTCTTTATTTATGTATTTTTCTAAATTATTTTTAAAATTTTTATCTTTTTTGAAACAGAGTCTCACAATGTCACCCAGGCTGGAGTGCAGTGGCGCGATCCTGGCACACTGCACTCTCCACCTCCCGGGTTCAAGTAATTCTGCCTCAGCCTCCCTAGTAGCTGGGATTACAGGCGCACGCCACCACACCCGGCTAATTTTTGCATTTTTAGTACAGATGGGGTTTCACCATGTTGGCCAGGCTGGTCTCAAAATCCTGACCTCGTGATCTGCCCACCTTAGCCTCCCAAAGTGACGGGATTACAGGCGTGAGCCACCACGCCCGGCGAGGTCTTTATTTTTATTTATTTATTTATTTATTTATTTATTTATTTATTTATTTATTTGAGATGGAGTCTCACTCTGTCACCCAGGCTGGAGTGCAGTGGGGTGATCTCGGCTCACTGCAACCTCTGCCTCTCGGGTTCGAGCGATTCTCCTGCCTCAGCCTCCAAGTAGTTGAGATTACAGGTGCCCACCACCACGCCCATCTAATTTTCGTATTTTTATTAGAAATCGGGTTTTGCCATGTTTTCCATACTGGTCTCGAACTCCTGACCTCAAGTGATCCGCCCACTTCCGCCTCCCAAACTGTTCGGATTATAGGCATGAGCCACTGCACCCAGCCAGCAAGGTCTTTATGAACTGTATTTTGCGCTGACCTCCTGTCTTATCCTGTGACTAAGAATGCCTTAACCATTTAGGAATGAAGCCTAGCAGGTCTCAGCCTCATTTTACCCAGTTCCTGTTCAAGATGGAGTTGCTCTGGTTCACACGCCTCTGGCAGAGAGGGCACCTACTTCCTCTCTCTGGGCATCCATTGCCCACCTGTCAAGAGCGGGGAGCGTCCCACTTTGCTGGGTTCGCTGGGAATTATGTGGCTATTATTACCTCTACAACCTTATCTCTCCTGGCTTTAGCAGAAGTTCCTGTTCCCAGCTTTGAAGGCAGTTCTCTCCCCCCGTTTTTTTTTTTTTTTTTTGAGACGGAGTCTCACTGTGTTGCCCAGGCTGGAGTACAGTGGCGCGATCTTGGCTCACTGCAACCTCTGCCTCCCAGGTTCAAGTGATTCTCCCACCTCAGCCTCCCCAGTAGCTGGGACTACAGGCACGTGCCACCACACCGACCTATTTTAGTATTTTTAGTAGAGACAGGATTTCGCCGTGTTGGCCAGACTGTTCTGGAACTCCTGAACTTGGCCTCCCAAAGTGCTGGGATTACAGGCATGAGCCATCATGACCGGCCCCTCCACCTGGATTTATGAGGCTTGCTTCGTCTCTCACCACTCAGGCTCATTCTGTGGGACATCCCCCCTCAGATAACACTGGCTACAGCATCCTCTCATTCTCCTACCCCACTCTCTTATGTTGCTCTCAGGACTCTAAGGAGCCTATCTTACAATTTATCTGTTTATTGTGTATCCCATCCTAGAATGCAAAGGGAGTTGTTTGCTTTCTTTTTTTTCCTTTTTTTCTTTTTTTTCTGAGACTCAGGCTGGACCACACAATCATTGCTTACTGCAGCCTCTACCTCCGGAGCTGAACCAATCCTGCCAGCCTCAGCCTCCAGAGTAGCTGGGACCACAGGCACATGCCACCACGCCTAGCTAATTGCTTTTTTTTTTTTGAGACAAAGTCTCGCTCTGTCGCCCAGGCTGGAGTGCAGTGGCAGAATCTTGGTTCACTGCAACCTCCCCCTCCCGGGTTCAAGCAATCCTCCTACCTCAGCCTCCGGAGTAGCTGGGATTACAGGCATACACTACCATGCCCAGCTAATTTTTGTAGAGACGGGTGTCTTGCTTTGTTGCCAAGGCTGGTCTTGAACTCCTTGGCTCAAGCAATCTTCCTTGCTTGGCCTCCCAAAGTGCTGGGATTACAGGTGTGAGCCACCATAAATGAAGTCACCTTTCTTCACTTGTATAGCCCAGGGCCTTGCACCGAGGAAATATAATGTTGGTTGAATTAGGAAACAAACTTAGGTGGAGTCACTTTCTGAATGCCACACAGCAGGGCTGGCATTAGACTTCAGGGCTGTCTGAGCCTGTTTTCTTTTCCCCTTGCTGTTCTAGGGCCTACCTGGGATGAGAATGCAAAATTTAAGAGAAGGCCAAAGAGCTCAGTCATAAGATAATTGACATTTAAAACATAAAAAGTAGGCCGGGCGTGGTGGCTCACGCCTGTAACCCCAGCACTTTGGGAGGCCGAGGCGGGCGGATCACGAGGTCAGGAGATCGAGACCATCCTGGCTAACACGGTGAAACCCCGTCTCTACTAAATATACAAAAAATTAGCCGGGCGTGGTGGCGAGCACCTGTAGTCCCAGCTACTCGGGAGGCTGAGGCAGGAGAATGGCGTGAACCTGGGAGGCGGAGCTTGCAGTGAGCCGAGATTGCGCCACTGCACTCCAGCCTCAGCGACAGAGTGAGACTCCGTCTCAAAAAATAATAATAATAAATTTATTTTAAACACAAGATCTGACCCTGAGCTTGCATAACGCATCTCACCTTAATCCCTGTGTTGGCGGATCCTGTCTTTATTTAAAATTGTGATGTTTTGTTCATCATAGATTTATTTTTTCCCATTAATTTGGATATTTAACAAATATTGAATTAGAAGATTATTTATCTTGATGACTGAGTTTTTGCTCCCAAGATGTTCACCCTAGTCCGGGCCCTGTTTCTGTCTCTTCTCGTCCTGCAGCACCCAGACAGTCCCTTGAGGAAACTGAGGCACAGAGGAGCGTATGTGTGGGAGGTGTGTGTGTGTGGCGGGGGTTGTGGTGAGCTCTCCTGGGCGGACCAAGCTCCCTGGGCTGGGTCGGGGCTGACCTTTGCTTATCTACCGCGGTTGAAGCCGCGAATGAAGTCCCCCGCCTTGCAGAGACCTTTCCCAAGGCGGCCGCACCGCCTGCGGGGCAGAGATAGCCGCGGTCACCCCGGCAGCGGTGACCTTTTCCGGCTGGAGGGGACCGGGAGGCGGGAGAAGGCGCGGCGGCCGCGCTGTCTGGCCGGCTTGGGCGGAGGAGGATGTCACCCCAGCGGGTGGGAGCTGGGATCGAACCCCGCCGCGGCCTCCCGCTTCCACCCAACCCCGACGGGGCCATGGGCAGTGGGGAAGGGGGACGCGCGCCCAGTGACGTCATCGAATCCCGAGTCCGGCCTTCGCCGCTGTCGTCACAGAGGGGCTGCGCTGCGTCACTGCATTCCTCCCCTGACGTCAGCGCAAGAAGCCAGAAACTGGCCCACCGAGCGAGAGAGAAGTCTGGAGCGGAGTCTTCCTTTCTCGCCTTTTTAATTTGGTAAGACATGTAAAGTGTACGCAAGAGCGGACTACAACTCCCAATCGGCCTTGCGTGCCGAGCATGCGCACGGCCTCCAGCCAGAGAGCGCGGCAAACCTTTGGTAGATTGACGTCCCTTTAGTCGAACCAGGAGGCCGGTTTTACATCGGCAAACCAATCCCGTCCTCACGAGTCCTACCCCTTTATTCTTAACCAGCTGCTTCCCTGCCGGAGTGACGGGCCCGGCTGCCTTTGAGGGTTCAGTTTCTTTTGATGGACATTCATACTGATAAATCAGATCGCCGGGAAGTCCAGAGGGTGTTGAAAAGCGTGCATCGGAACTAATAGTTTAGCTGCAAGGCCTGGCGCCGTCCAATCACTTCTCCGGCCGCCGCCAATCACCCCGGGCCCCGCCCCCGCGCGTGACGTAACTAGGGTGGGTAGCAACAGTTGCCCCGGTGAGGGAAACGGAGGCGCCATAGCCACGGTAGTCGTGGCGACCAAGCAACCCGGCAACGCGAGTCAACAACAACAACCGCCCGGCCGACCCCCACCCCCACCCCCCAGGCCCGGCCCGGGGACCCCAGCACGTCCCGTCCCCTTCCCAACATCGACTCCGAGACCTCCGAAAAGCGTTTCCGCAGACAGAAGTGGGGAGAAGCGGAGGTAACCAGGGCGGCCCCGGGGTGGCTGGCCGGGCCGGGGTGGGCGGCGGGGCCGGGGCAGTAGGTGTCTCTGTAATCACAGTCCGGGGGGAAGGGGCGGGCGGTCAAAATGGCGGCGGCGACTGTCTGGACCGTGGGGGAGGGGGCCGGGGCCCGGCTGGAACGACACCACCCGCCCCCGTCCCCGCGGCCCGGCCCCCGCGAGGGGCGGGCGCTCGCAGGCCCGCGGCGAGTGGAGGTCGGCAGGCCGGGGCGGGGGGCTTTTATATGTCGGGAGCGCGAAGGGGCGGGCCTGGGGAGGCTGGGCCAATGGGAGCGAGGGAGGTACGAGGCGGGGCCAAGGTGGGTGGGCGGGACCAGGAGGGAAGGTATGGGCGGGGCCGGCTGGGTCTCCCCAACCTCCACCTCGGGAACCAGGGTGGGCAGCCACCACCCGGTCCGCCTTCCAGATCCTTAAGCGACTCCCTTCTTCCTTAAGAGCTTTGCAGTTGTCCCAGGACTCAGAACTTGGACAAGTGCCTGTCCATCTGAGGCCTCAGTTTTCCATCCTGTAAAATGGGGAGAATCATTGACATCGCCCTTTTCCTGCAGTACCGGGACTCCTCATTCCTTCCAGGAATTTTACTTACGGCTTATCTTTGAACCTTTTCCTCGTATCTACCGTTTCTGAATGTGGTTTGATAAAATAACTGTCAGCTAGTCCTGATTTCAACACTGCAGCCCACTCCTAAACCTGCCACCTTCTCTCTGGGAGGAAGCAAAGAGGAAGCAAAGTTTCATGGAGGAGCTAGGAGTCGATTTGGCTTTAGCGTGGAGGATCTGGTTTGCAGAAATCAAAGTCCATGGTAGGGAGGAGTGACCATGAGGGAATGCTTTAGAGGAACAGAAACCTGAGTGCTTTTCTCTGGGCTGCTGTTTGAGACCTGATGTTTCCTGGTTTGAGGTTGCGGGGGTTTGTTCCTGGAGATGGAACGTTTCTGGGTCCTGCCCATCGAGGTCTCCCCTACTGGGAATGGGGGAGCAAATGAAGCCTGAGGAAGTTTCTTAGATTTTTTAAACCCGCTTCTCTTGGCCAGACACATGTTTTTGTGTCAAACGAGTGTCAACCGAGTCACATGTCACTGACAAGGTCCCAGCCTCTAGGGCCACGTGGGCAGGAGCGGTCAGAGGGAAGGGGAAGCTATCCATGTTTGTGAGAGGAGAATCTTTGCCACTGCTTTTTAGGGTGACAATATCCTGCCAGCTCGGGGAGGAATTTTTTTTTTAAGTAGCCAGCCAGGCCAAGTCTAGTTGGCTTATTCTCCGTCTTGCTTTTGAGCTTAGTGTCGGTGTGCAAACTGCAGCCATTTCCTTTTAAATCAGTCAATACATTCCAAGGAAAAGGATCATTTCAGGCTTTTTCCCAAGAGTTTGAGATTGGTCTGGTGGGGGTTGGCGGGTCCTAACTTCTCCAGGTACTTTTTCTAGGCCTGGCCCTTTTTAGAGGAGGCAGGGACTCTTTGAAAGTTAGGACAGGTGGAGATTAATTTTCAGTAAAACAAACAAAAAAGCTAGAAATGCCAAGTTGCTAGACGGATCATCAGCACTTTTTTTTTTGGAGACGGAGTCTCACTCTGTGGCCAGGCTGGAGTGCAGTGGCTTGATTTTGGCTCACTGCAGCCTCCGCCTCCCGGGTACAAGTGATTCTCCTGCCTCAGTCTCCTGAGTCGCTGGGACTACAGGCGCTCGCCATCATGCCCGGCTGATTTTCGTATTTTTAGTAGAGACGGGGTTTCACCATGTTGGTCAGGATGGTCTTGATCTCTTGACCTCGAGATTTACCTGCCTCGGCCTCCCAAAATGCTGGGATTACAGGCGTGAGCCACCGCGCCCGGCTAGCCCTTCTTAAAAAAGCTAACTGAGCAGGCTGGGCGTGGTGGCTCACACCTGTAATCCCAGCACTTTGGGAGGCTGAGGTGGGCGGATCACCTGAGGTCAGGAGTTTGAGACTAGCCCGGCCAACATGGTGAAACCCTGTTTCTAAAAAAATTAGCCAGGCGTGGTGGCACATGCCTGTAATCCCAGCTACTCGGGAGGCTGAGACACAAGAATTGCTTGAGCCTGGGAGGCGGAGGTTGCAGTGAGCTGAGATCACAGGCCACTGCACTCCAGCCTGGGCAACAGAGTGAGACTTGTCTCAAAAAAAAAAAAGCTAACTGAGCAGAAAGTGATGTTACCAATTATCTGGTCATGTTGACTGCCTCAGTCACCAGTTACATTTACAGATGAAGGGCCTGAGGAGTCATTTGACTAGGAAGAGAACACTAGGGTGATTTGAAGCTGACTTGAAACAGTCAGCTTTTCTAGCTGTGTGCTCTTAGGTGAGTTACTTAAGTTTTCTGGGCCTCAGTTTCCCTTCCTTTCATCTAGGGGCAGTAATCCTTGGTAGTCCTTTCAATCTCATGTTTCTGTGCTATGGATCCCAGAAAATAATACCTGTTGAATATCAAATACATAGGAATTGCTGAAACTAACTAAATACAAAGTAATTGCTAATGTAGTTATGTTAGCCTCTGCTGTTACGGTGATTGTCGCTTCCTGTTCAACCCTCGGAAATACACCGTTGGCTTTTATTTTTATCATTTTGAATCCAGTGAGAGCCCTCGTGGCTTTAAAGGTTGACTTGCTTCTCGCTTGCTGGGCTGTGTGGGTCGATGACAGGGATCCAGGAAGCTGGATACCAGGGATCCAGTTTGTAGTGGGAAAGTCACTCCCCTGGCTGCTGAATGGCTGTTCTCTGGCTTTAGGAGAGTCACTAGAAAGAAAAATCCTGGCCGGGCACAGTGGCTCAATTTGGGTGCTCACTCCCCCAGCACTTTGAGAGGCCAAGGTGGGTGGATCACTTGAGGTAAAGAGTTGGAGACCAGCCTGGCCAACACGGTGAAACCCTATCTCTACTAAAAATACAAAAAGTAGCCGGGCATGGTAGCACATGACTGTAGTAGTCCCAGCTATTTAGGAGGCTGAGGCAGGAGAATCCCTTGAACCGTGGAGATGGAAGTTGCAGTGAGCCAAGATCGTGCCACTGCACTTGAGCCTGGGTGACAGAGCAAGACTGTCTCAAAACACACACACAAAATGCTACTTGGGCTCAGGCCCAGACACAGTCCCAAGCCTTCCAGGAGGCAGCTGGGTGAGCGGGGATGTGGACATTGTGGGAACGGTGGGGAGCTTGGAATGGCGTCTCTGGAGCCGAGGTCCTCACCCTTCTCCTCTGTCATGTACCTGAGCATCTCAGGGAAGGGGATGGCCAGGCTGCCCCGCCCGCAGAGATGCTGCCTTCAATAGCAGCTGTACAGGACGTGGTCTTCCTAGGCGAGAAAGACTTTCTCCCACCTGCTTCCCAGGCCTGTTCTGGACCAGAAGGCATTGCCTGGCTCTGTAGCACAAGCAGGCTTGTGGCAGGAAGTAACTTTCTCACACGGTCTCAGCAGTTGATAGACTGGAACCTGCCTTTGATGCTCACTAGCAGTGTGTTCTGGTGCATCATTTATGCTGCCTGGACAGTAAGAGTCAAAACCCCCACTATTTGCCTGTCAGTTTTCTTTTCTTTTTTCTTTCTTTCTTTCTTTTTTTTGTTGAGACAGAGTCCTACTCTGTCGCCCAGGATGGAGTGCAGTGGCGTGATCTCAGCTCACCGCAACCTCCACCTCCCCAGTTCAAGCAATTCTCCTGCTTCAGCCTCCCGAGTAGCTGGGATTACAGATGCCTGCCACCATGCCTGGCTAATTTTTTTTTTTTTTTTTTTTTGAGACAGAGTCTCACTCTGTCATCCAGGCTGGAGTGCAGTGGCACGATCTTGGCTCACTGCAACATCCACCTCCTGGGTTCAAGCAGTTCTCTTGCCTCAGCCATCCGAGTACCTGGGAATACAGATGCCCGCCACCATGACCGGCTCATTTTTGTTTTGTTTCGGTTTGGTTTATTTGAGACGGAGTGTCTCTCTTGTTGCCCAGGCTGGAATGCAATGGCGCAATCTTGGCTCACCGCAACCTCCACCTCCCAGGTTCAAGAGATTCTCCTGCCTCAGCCTCCCGAGTAGCTGGGATTACAGGCACCCACCACCATGCCCGGCTAATTTTTGTATTTTTAGTAGAGACAGGGTTTCACCATGTTGGCCAGGCTGGTGTCGAACTCCTGACCTCAGGTGATCCACACGCTTTGGCCTCCCAAAGTGCTGGAACTATAGGTGTGAGCCACCGCAGCAGCCTAATTTCTGTATTTTTAGTAGAGACAGGGTTTCACCATGTTGGCCAGGCTAGACTTGAAATTCTGACTTCAGGCGATCTGCCCGCCTCAGCCTCCCAAAATATTGGGATTACAGGCGTGAGCCACTGCTCCCGGCCTTGCCTGTCAGTTTTCTAGGAGCTGAGACAGAGACCAGGCCCACCAGGTCTCTGCCTGTGGGGCCCTTACCTTTCCAGTCAGGGAGGGAAGAGGAACTAGGAGGAAGAAAATAAATCCAGCCAGACTCAGTGGCTTATGCTTGTAATCCCAGCACTTCGGGAGGCTGAGACATGAGGATCACTTAAGCCCAGGAGTTTGAGACCAGCCTGGGCAACATAGCGAGACCCCATCTCTTAAAAAGATTTAAAAATTAGCCAGGTGTCGTGGCACAGGCCTGCGTTCCCATATACTGTGGAGGCTGAGGCCGGAGGATCACTTGAGCCCAGGAATTCAAGGTTACAGTGAGCTGTGATTGTGCCACTGTGCTCCAGCCTGGGCAACAGAGTGAGACCTTGTCTCTAAGAAACGAAAAAGAAAGAAAATAAACTCAACAGGGAAACACAGTGTCAGGAAGCAAATAAAATAGTAGTATGTGCTTGAGGGTACCTTCAGACCCAAGGAAGTGTGTACGAGCTGAGACCTGAATAAGGAGGAGAAGCCAGCCGTGAAGGTGGCGGTGGGGACAGCATGCCAGGTGGGAGGAAGAGGTGGGGCCGAGGCCATGAGAGGCAGGAATGGATCTGCAGCATTTTTTTGTTTTGTTTTGTTTTTTGTTTTTTTTGTTTTTGCAGAGAGGCTCACTGCAACCTCTGCCTCCTGGGTTCAAGCAATTCTACCTCAGCCTCCCGAGTAGCTGGGATTACAGGCACACGCCATCACGCCCACCTAATTTTTAAAATTTTTTTGTCGAGATGGAGTCTCGGCTATGCTGCTAAGACTGGTCTCAAACTTCTGGCCTCAAGCAATCTTCCTGCCCTGGGCTCTCAAAGTGCTGAGATTACAGGCGTGAGCCGCCATGCCTGTCCAGGATATATTTTAAAGAGACAGGGTCTTGTTCTGTTGCCCAGACTGGAGTGTGGCGGTGTGATCATAGCTCACTGAAGCCTGGAACTCCTGGGCTCAAGTGATTCTCCCACCCCAGCCTCCCGAGCAGCTGGGACTTCAGGTGTCGGGTACTATGCCTAGCTGATTTTTTCACTTTTTTATAGAGATAAGGCGTCACTTTGTTGCTTAGGCTGGTCTTGAACTCCTGGGCTCAAGTGATCCTCCAATCTTGGACTCCCAAAGTGGTGGGATTATAGATGTGAGCACTGCGCCCAGTCATTAGGAGATGTGTGCGAGTGTGTGTGTGTGTATGTGTATGTGTATGTGTGTGTTTGTATGCATGCAGTGGCACAATCTCAGCTCACTGCAACCTCTGCCCCGCCAGACTCAAGCGATCCTCCTGCCTAAGCCTCCTGAGTAGCTGGGATTACAGCCACACACCACCACACCCAGCTAATTTTTGTATTTTTAGTAGAGACGGGGTTTCGCCATGTTGGCTAGACTGGCTTCAAACTCCTGACCTCAAATGATCCGCCCGCCTCAGCCTTCCAAAGTGCTGGGATCACAGGCATAAGCCACCACGCCCGGCCTCTAGGATATATTTTGGAGGAGTAATTGACAAATCTTCTAAATGAATTGGATATAGAGGATGAGAGAAACACACATCATCCCATTTAATTTTGCCATTCTTCTGCAAGTTCATTATTGAAGCCATTCTATAGATGAAGAGAGTGAGTTTTCTTTCTATATCTTTGGGAGGGCCTTGCTGAGGATGTAAACCATTTGATTAGAGAATCTGGCATCCAAAACAGGGGTCAGGCCAGTCGCGGTGGCTCATGCCTGTAATCCCAGCACTTTGGGAGGCCAAGGTGGGAGGATCACCTGAGGTCAGGAGTTCGAGACCAGCCTGGCTAACATGGTGAAACCCCATCTGTACTAAAAATACAAAAGCTAGCCAGGCATGGTGGTGGGCACCTGTAATCCCAGCTCCTCAGGAGGCTGAGACAGGAGAATCACTTGAACCCGGGAGGCAGAGGTTGCAGTGAGCAGAGACTGTGCCATTGCACTCCAGCCTGGGCAACGAAAGAGAAACTTTGCCTCAAAAACAAAAAAAAACAAAAAAAAAACACAGGGTTCAACAAACTATGGCCTGCTGCCTGTTTTTGGCTGGTGAGCTAAGAATGATTTTTACATTTTTAAATTATTGGAAATATCAACACCGGAATTATATTTCATGATATGTGAAAATTACATGAAGTTCAAATCTCAGTGTCTAGAAATAAAGTTTTATTCGCACACAGCCTGCTCATTTGTTTACCTATTGTGCATGGCCACTTTCACATTACAGTGGCAGAGTTGAACAGCTGCTGCAGAGACTAGCCACAAAACTAATAACGTTTACTGCTTGGCCCTTACAGAACTTTGCCGAGCCCTCATTTAAAGTAATAGATTTAAACAGTCTCCATAAGCAGCTGCTGGCTTTGAAGGTAGGTGCAGCCACTAGTGCTTTTCTTGGCAGATTCATTGCCAAGGAACAGTTTGTTAAGTAATTCCCTTGTTTTGTGTGCCAGGCTCCATAAAGAAAGGGTTCTCACGCTCAAATATATGGGCAATACCTCATGCTATGTATGTATATGTGATTTATTTCTCTCTAGGGAACAAACCTGTATAATTGCTTAATGTAGTCTCCTTAAAAGGTAGAAAAGGGCTCTTTGGTCAAATAATTGTAGGAAAAAGATTGACAATCACAGTGCTGAGAAGGCCTCCAATAGAGAAGTTGGTTTAGTTGTTCCTCGATCTCCCACCTCCTCCTTTTGAGCTCAGCCTTTTAGAAATTAATCATTGCCTCCTCTTCTTGCCCCTGAGTGGAAGGGATGAGGCCCATGGGCTTTGTATCCCTAGGAGGAGAAAGAGCCAGTAAGTGAGGAGCTTTTAAAGCCCTTTCTTTGTGGGAGGGGCCACAAGGGGCCAGGTCTCTTAGGGCTGAGAAAGCCAAGGCCAGCATTTCTCAGAGTGCTGTCAGGACTGTCTGCCTCAGAATCATCTAAGGGACCAGCTAAAACAGACTCTGGGGCCATTTCAGACTCACTGGGCAGTAGAGCTCAGGAATCTGCATGATGTTGCTGACGAAAGCTTAGGTTGGATTTCCTCTTGGTGTCCCCTCCCAAGAGCTTGAAGATCCTGTCTCCTTCCTCCTCTGTCCCAACCTGGCTTGGATATTTGTTGAATGAATAATAACACCTGCCACTTATCAGTGTTTATTGGGTGCTGAGCTGATCTCATTGGATTTTTTTTTTTTCTTGAGACAGAGTCTTGCTCTGTCACCCAGTCACCCAGGCTGGATTGCAGTGGTGTGATCTCTGCTCACTGCACCCTCTGCCTCCTGGGTTCAAGTGATTCTTCTGCCTCAGCCTCCCGAATAGGTGGGGCTACAGGCACACGCCACCATACCTGGCCAATTTTTGTATTTTTATAGAGACGGGGTTTCGCCATGTTGGCCAGACTGGTCTCGAACTCCTGACCTCAGCTGATCCACCTGCCTAGGCCTCACAAAGTGCTGGAATTATAGGTGTGAGCCACCGTGCCCGGCCTGATCTCATTGGATCTTTGCAGCAATTTGATGAATTGGGTGTTCTCGTTATCCCCAGGTGACAGGCAACTGAGGCCCAGAAGAAGGTTGGTAATATGTTAATGAGTTAAGACATAGCGCCAGGGTTCATGTGGGTGAGGGTCTGACACCAGACAGATGAAGGGTCGTCGGCTACAGTGACTTGAGTACCCGAGCTGGGCCAGATTTGGACCCGATGGTGTGAGGAACCTCCACCCCTCTAATGCTGGCAGAAAGGAGTTTGGGGAGGGCAGGGGCTGGAGGAGGATGGTCTTCGCCTTGTTCAAGGCAGGCAGCAGCCTTTTCCCTCTCACGGTGGGCAAGTTTCTCTGCTGCCCGAGTCCCTGGGCCTCGGAGCACTAAGGCTGGCCACCTGCTAGGTGGGAAGGCCCCAAACGGCTTCTCATCCTGCCTGCCTCCACTCCTACCAGAATGACCTCACCTGGCAGGGAGGGTGGCCCCAGGGCCCTGTCAGCTCTGTTCCTGCCAGCCAGGAGGGTCCTGGAGTCCCTCCCAAGCCTGCCGCAAGCCCAGAGGGCACATCCAAGAGGCAAGTGTAAGCTCCTGTTTCCTTCATCCTCAGCAGCACAAAGCTCTGGAGGCTGGAAGGCAGCAGGCAGGGCCAGAAGGTATTTTCATCTTTCCTGGAACTGCGTTAAAGGGCCCTGGGCAGTGAAGGAGCCAGAGCCATTTCCTGCGTGCTTACAGCATGCCAGGTGCCTGGCCACACACTGCCCACAGGATCAGCTTGAACCCTCAGCAGCCCCGCCTGGTAGGGCCAGCCGTCCTCCCATTTCACAGATGGAGCCGTAGGGGCTCTCCTCAAAAGTCACACAGTTAGGAGATAGCCAAATTCAAATCGTGGTGCATCCATCCCCGTCCAGGGCTCGTTTCTTACCTACCTTGCCCCCCTGCTAACTCGGACACCTCTTGAGTTTGGCATCCAAGAGCAGAACCTGGATCCCGGGGGAGGGAGGCACAGGGAGGCGTGAAGGATGGGAACCAGCCTCCCCTGGGCTGCTTGGGCCGGCTTCCCCCTTGCCAGTTCTGCTGCCCTTAACTGCGGCCTTGGGCAGGGGGCGTAACCTTTGCAGGTGACGCTTGGGTCTCCCTGTTGGAAGACCGGCAAGATGCCGTGTACTTACTTTAAGAAGCAAATGAAGGTTGGGCGCGGTGGCTCACGCCTGTAATCCTAGCACTTTGGGAGGCCGAGGTGGGCGGATTACTTGAGGTCAGGAGTTCAAGACCTGCCCAACCAACATGGTGAAACCCTGTCTCCACTAAAAACACGAAAATTAGCTGGATGTGGTAGTAGGCTCCTGTAGTCGCAGCTACTCGGGAGGCTGAGGCAGGAGAATCACTTGAACCCGTGGGGGCAGAGGTTGCAGTGAGCCAAGATCGTGCCACTGCACTCCAGCCTGGATGACAGAGTGATACTCCATCTCAAAAAAAAAAAAAAAAAAAAAAGCAAATGAGCCCTGTGCCTGGCATCCTAAGTAGGGTTGGGGACTGACAGAATGTATCTGGGGGTCAGAGAGACCTGGGTTCAATCCCCCCTCACCAGTTGCTCGAGGCTTTCAGCAGCCTACCCCTCAGCCTCGCTCAGCTCATCTGTAAAATGGGCATGATGATGCCTCCCTCATACGACTGCCAGGAGGAGGTGACCTCAGTGGAGGGGTCTGGGGGCTCCTGGTCAACCAACAGCAGTTGTTTTTTACCTCCTCCTTCCTTTGAGGGTCACCCTGCGGCTGGAGGGCCATCTGGGCACATCGTGGCACATGGGTGCTGAGTGTTAGTGCAGAAGAGGCTCTGGTCCAGTTGCTAGCCAGGAGGCAGTACTGCCCGGAGTCATGGCCAGCTGCAGGCAGGGCTCTCAGACCCAAATGCCTTCTGGGGCCAGGCAGGAGCCACAAAAGCACGGATCTGGAGCCTTTCCTCTTAACCACTCGTGCCTCTGTCCCACTGTCCCTCAAATGCTTTGGACCTGGGGATAGGGCTTATGAGTACAAGGGTCCCCAAACCATCTGCCGATCCCCTGCTACAGTGGGGCTGAGCCGGAGGGAGGCCATGCCCAGCCCAGCACCTGGGAGAGGAACACACCCTTTAACAGCCAGGCCTGCCCTGTTCTTTCCTTTTGTTTTGTTTTGCTCTGAGACAGGGTGTTGCTGTGTCACTGAGGCTGGAGTGCAGTGGAACAATCTCGGCTCACAGCTCTCTGCAACCTCTGCCTCCTGGGTTCAAGCAATTCTCCCACCTCAGCCTCCTGAGTAGCTGGGATTACAGGTGCGCGCCACCACTCCCGTTTAATTTTTTTTTTTTTTTTTTTTTTTTTTTGGAGACAGAGTGTCACTTTGTTGCCCAAGCTGGAATGCAGTGACAAGATCTCGGCTCATTGCAACCTCCGCCTCCCAGGTTCAAGTGATTCTCCTGCCTCATCCTCCTAAGTAGCTGGGATTACAGGCATGTGCCACCATGCCCAGCTGATTTTTGTACTTTTAGTAGAGACTGGGTTTCGCCATGTTGACCAGGCTGGTCTTGAGTGCCTGACTTCAGGTGATCCAGCCACCCTGGTCTCCCAAAGTGTTGGGATTACAGGCGTGAGCCACTGCGCTTGGCCAAGGCCGGCCCTGTTCTGAAGTCAGCCGCAGCTGCCAGGTTCTCAGTGCAGCCTGGGCCTGCTCCCAGCCCTGTCACCCCTGGCCACAGAAGGGCACTGTCCCACTGATGAGCTTACATCTGGTGTCAAGACCCATAACTGCTCCCAGACAGAGGGCCCAAAAAGCCCCTGTGGCCCCATGCAGCTCACAGGGGCTTTTTGGACTCAAAACACCTTCCCACTGGGAATGCTACTCAGCCGAGAATCCCAAGTCCAGATGGCAGGCACGTAGGGAACTGGCACGGGTCCCTGGGAGGCAGCTTTCCCCATGACTCTGCTTTCCGGCAATAAACTGACGAGTCAGGAGCATAGAACACCCAGAGTTCAAATGCAGCCCTGCCACCACTTCCCCGCTGTGTGGCCTGGGGCAAGCACCTTAACCTCTCTGAGCCTCAGCTCCCTATCTAGCAGACAGAACCCAAACCCAGACATGGTTGTTGGAAAGTTTAAAATGAAATAGGCCGGGCGTGGTGGCTCACACCTAGAATCCCAGCACTTTTTGGGAGGCTAAGGCAGGAGGATTGCTTGAGCCCAGGAGTTCAAGACCAGACTGGGCATGATAATGAGACTCCCATCTCTGAAAAAAATGATTATATATATATATATATATATATATATATATATATATATATATATGTATGTATATTTCAATATACATATACAATATATATACATGTGTACATATATGTATACAGTGTATATGTGTGTGTATATATATACTATATATGTATATATATGTACATGTAGATTTCAATATATAAGTAAAAAAATACACACACACACACACACACACACACACACACACACACATATATATTTAGACAGAGTCTTGGGTCTCCCAGGCTGGAGTACAGTGGTGCAATCTTGGCTTACTGCCACCTCCGCCTCCCAGGTTCAAGTGATTCTCCTGCCTCAGCCTCCTGAGTAGCTGGGACTACAGGCATGCACCACCACGCCCAGCAAATTTTGTATTTTTAGTAGAGACGGGGTTTCACCATGTTGGCCAGGCTGGTCTCGAACTCCTGACCTCAAGTGATCCGCTCACCTCGGCCTCCCAAAGTGCTGGAATTGCAGGCATGAGCCACTGTGCCCGGCCTAATAGACATTTTAAAAAGATGAACTAACATAGGGAAAGTGCCCAGCCCTGTGCCTGGCCTACAAGAGCCCTCAGGAAGTGCCCACTTGGGGTCCTCAGCTAAGGAGATGGAGGCAAGGGAGGGGGCAGCCCCTGGTAGTTGAGAGTGACCCAGTGAGAACCGTACCATTTTTCTCTGGGTGAGGGCACAGAGCAACCACACAGGCCCAAGTTCCCCCGCAGTGTGGGGAAATGCGATCCTATGTGGATGTGGGGGTCTCTGGGTACCAGGGACTGGGAAGGCAGGAGTCCTGGCTTGGGGTGAGTGGGGGTGCGGAGTGGGGCTCCAGCCCTGGTCTACAGCTGGTCCCCCTGCAGTGACGGGTTGGATATTTCTGGCCACCAGCCTGGGGATTTAATTAAGTTAGTGATGAACCCAAGCACATCTCCAGGGAACCCAGAGCTGTCCCTGCTTTCTCTGCCTGTGGATTAATTCCTGTTTTTCCTTCTTTTGTTTTGTTTTGTTTTTCTCTCCCCCATCCCCGTCTTTCTTCCCAAGGAATTAAAAAAAAAAAAAAGCCTTATTTATTATCATTTTCCCCACCGTTGGCATGGCAACACAGGCGTATACTGAGCTACAGGCAGCCCCGCCACCATCCCAGCCGCCACAGGCCCCGCCACAAGCCCAGCCCCAGCCGCCACCGCCACCACCCCCAGCGGCACCCCAGCCCCCGCAGCCACCCACCGCTGCTGCCACCCCTCAGCCCCAATATGTCACCGAGCTGCAGAGCCCCCAGCCCCAGGCACAGCCACCGGGTGGCCAGAAGCAGTACGTGACGGAGCTCCCGGCTGTACCCGCACCCTCGCAGCCAACCGGTGCACCCACCCCTTCGCCTGCACCCCAGCAGTACATCGTGGTCACTGTCTCTGGTAAGTGCCGCGCTCGTGTGTCCTGAAAACTCCTCTCAGAGTTGTTCAGATAGCCTAGACCCTGGGTGTGAAGGCACAGGGCTGCCATGCCCCCCAAGGTTTCTGGATGGGACTTGGGGTATCACTAGGGCAGGGGTGCTTAAGCCATGCAAGGAGGCCTCTGTCCCCCCAAACTCCTTCCCACCAGAGCAGCTCTTAGAGCTTCTTTTTTTGGTTTTATTTTATTTTTTGAGACAGAGTCTCATTCTGTTGCCCAGGCTGGAGTGCAGTGGCACAATCACAGCTCACAGCAGCCTCAACCCTCCAGGCTCAAGCAATCCTTCCACCTCAGCCTCCCAAGTAGCTGAGACCACAGGTGCCCACCACCATGCCTGGCTAATTTTTAAAATTTTTTGTAGCTATGGGATCTTCCCATGTTGCTCAGGCAGGTCTCAAACTCCTGGCCTCAAATGATCCTCCCGGCCTCAAATGATCCTCCCACCTCGGTCTCCTGAGTTGCTGAGACCACAGGTGTGCAGCTGTGCCCAGCTAATTTTTTTGTTTTTTTGTATTTTTTGTAGAGATGAGGTCTCGCCATATTGCCTAGGCTGGTCTCAAACTCCTGGACTCAAGCGATCCTCCTGCCATAGCCTCCCAAAGTGCTGGGAATACAGGCATGAGTCACCATGCTCAGCCTCTTAGAGCTGTTCTGACCTCTCTTTGCAAATAAGATGTCACTGGAAGAAGGGTTTGGGCAGTGGCATCAAAGTTTGCATGCACCTGTGGGAGACAGAGGCCTGGCCTGGCTACACACCAGTCTTTTGGCCTCCCTGCTCTGGTTTCCTCATTTGTGATGGGATCATCATAGCTCCTCTCTCTCAGGGGACGCATGCGAGGGTCTCATAGCCAGGATGGCCTTGAGTGGGCACTTCAGGGAGGTCAGCTGGGGGTGAGGGCCTGGACATGTCACCTCCCCTTCCTAGAGCAGCCGCCCTGTTGTTTTGGGCAGGATCCAGGGACTGGCCCTTTTCTTTATTTTTGCTTTTCTTTCTCATGACATAAGCTAAGGCACGCAGGACCTGTGTTGAGAGCAGGCCATCTTGGACAGACCTGTTGCCCTCTGAGCATTTCCCACAGTAAACATAGTGACGATGTTTTGACTGGTTTAGGGTCTGCCTGAGGGCTGGGTCTCTGTCTCGACTGACTCAGTGCTCTGGTGGGAATGGCAGCACAGCCTGGGCATTAGGCTAGATTCGTGTGTTTTTTTGGTTTAGAGATGGGGTCTTGCTATGCTGTCCAGACTGACCTCGAACTCCTGGGCTCAAGTGATTCTCCTGCCTCAGCCTTGTAGGTAGCTGGGACTACAGGCGCCTGCCACTGTGCACAGCTAGTGTGTTTTTAATGTGCTCTGTGGTGGACGGAGGCCTCAGTGGGAGCCCGGATCAAAGCTGGCCCTGGTCCTTCTCAGAGTGGGAATGGAAGGGGTGAGATCATCAGGGCATCCTGAGGGGCTGTGGAAGGGGTGGGTCAAGATGGGATTGGGGACCATCAGGTCATAAAGAGTCATCAAAACATGTAGCAATTGGCCGGGTGTGGTGGCTCACACCTATAACCCCAGCACTTTGGGAGGCCGAGGCAGGTGGATCACTTGAGGTCAGGAGTTCGAGACCAGCCTGGCCAACATGGTGAGACCCCATCTATACTAAAAATATAAAAATTAGCTGGGCGTGGTGGCGCGAACCTGTAATGCCAGCTACTCAGGAAGCTGAGGCAGGAAAAATCACTTGAACCCGGAGGCAGAGGTTGCAGTGAGCTGAGATCGTGCCACTGCGCTCCAGCCTGGGTAACGGAGCGAGAATCCATCTCAAAAAAAAAGTAATGAAAAGTGTAGCAATTGGCCCCGTTGTGGAACAAAGCAGATGGGGCTGGAGCCCTGGGCAGTGTCCCAGAGGCTTCTGGCAGTGTCTGCGTGGGAGGTCCAGGGTCTCTGGCAGAGGTTTGGGGCGGGAACATGCAGGGACTCAGGGCAGTGACTCTTTACTATATGGACGGAGTGGAGGTGTCCGCATGAGCGCCACACTTAGTGCCCCCCCGCCTGTGTAGACACAGCCCTGCCCTGGTTGAGGTCGGGCTGCAGTCATGGGCAGGGTCTTCAGGCCACAAACCTCTGGTGGGTTCTCAGCACCCCTCAGAAATCCTGCAGCATTTCCTTAACAGTGAACTTCATGCTCCAAGAAACCCATTCTCCCTCTGCCCCACCTTCACCTCCATCACCTTTGTCTTATACTATGATCCTGGTCCCTGACCCTGCAGGCAACCTTACTGGGGACAGAGTACCATCAGGCAGCCACAGGGACCCCTTCTCCTGCCCAGCTCCTGGGGTGCATCTGCACCCACCACCTTTGCCTTCTTGGATTAAGCAGCACCACCCATATCCAGAACACGCTCCTGCCATTGCTCCTTCTAGTTCCTTCTGCATCACTTAATCCCCCTCTTGCAGATCTTCCCATCCACCCATCAAGGTGGAACAGCACCCATTTTGTTTATTTTTTATGTATTTATTTTTTGAGACAGGGTCTTGCTCTGTCGCCCAGGCTGGAGTGCAATGGTGCAATCATGGCTCACTGTAACCTCCAACTCCTGGGCTCAGTGATACTCTCACAGCCTCCCAAGTAGCTGGGACTATAGGCATGTGCCACCACACCCAGGTAATTTTTTTTTTTTTCTTTGAGACAAAGTCTCGCTCTGACACCCAGGCTGGAGTGCAGTGGCAGGATCTCGGCTCACTGCAAGCTCTGCCTCCGGGGTTCACACCATTCTCCTGCCTCAGCCTCCCAAGTAGCTGGGACTATAGGTGCCCGCCACCATGCCTGGCTAATTTTTTGTATTTTTAGTAGAGACGGGGTTTCACTGTGTTAGCCAGGATGGTCTTGATCTCCTGACCTCGTGATCCACCCGCCTCGGCCTCCAAAAGTGCTGGGATTACAGGCGTGAGCCACCGCGCCCGGCCTAATCTTTTAATTTTTTTGTAGAGACAGAGTCTCACTATGTTGCCCAGGCTGGTCTTGAACTCCTGGCCTCAAACAATTCTCCCACTTCAGCCTCCCAAAGTGCTGGAATTACAAGTGTGAGCCACCGCGCCCAGCCAAGCCCCCATTTTCTCCAGGAACCTCCAGCTGCTGGACCCCCTGCAGCTGGCCCCCTTTTTCCCAAAGATCCCCTCTTGTGAGGCCTCCAGGAGCCCACACTGCCCTGGTCTCCGCCCACCGCCCGCAGCCCCTCCGTGGTCCTCTCTGCTGCTTCTCCCCATCTCCCTGACCTTGTCAGCAAAGGACGGGGAGCCCCAGACTCAGACCTGGGAACCTCTCTTAGCTCCTGTAGTTCTCCCTTAACGATGGCCTCATCCTGTGTCCCAGCTCTCATTACCCACACTGAGGTCTCCAGCCTGGGCTGCAACCCTGAACCGCAGGACCCCACATCCAGCCCCTCCTGACTCATCCACTTGGTGTTGAATTTGATGCAGGCCAGTGCAGCCACATTGAATTCTGCATTTTTCCCTCTTCAAATCTCTCCTTCAAGGCTTTCTCATCCTCCCAGGCCCACGGTCAGTCTTGTTTCTGTCCTACTCCTCCTTGAGTAAGACCTCTCGGCTCCACCTCCTAAACTCTTCCAGAACCCCCCCCGCCTCTTCCACTTCTATGACCCCAATCCTGGTCGAGCCTCCGCCCTCACAGTCTGACCCCTCCCAGCAGCCAGAGGGAGCAGGTTCACAACTGTCCATTAGGTCCCGTCACATCCTAGCTCAACCCTGATGGCTCCAAGCCAGGTGGTTCCATGGGCACTCTTTGAGAAACCCCAGCCTAGGCTTTCTCAGCTCTGGGAGAGCAGGCTCCTTCCCCTCCCCCGATACCTGACAAAAAAGGACTTTAAAAGCTACACACACAGACACACACTCTCTTTCTCTCTGTCTGTCTGTCTGTCTGTCTGTCTGTCTCTCTCTCTCTCTCTCTAAGCTGGGTGTGGTGGTGGGCGCCGTAATCCCAGCTACTTGGGAGGCTGAGGCAGGAGAATCGCTTGAACCCAGGAGGTGGAGGTTGCAGTGAGCCAAGACTGCACCATTGCACTCCAGCCTGGGCAACAAGAGTGAAACTCCGTCTCAAAAACAAAAAAACAAAAACAAAATGCAAAAATGCTCCACACACCCTGTGCCCCTACTAGCAAATGTCAAGCCCCTTCAACTCTGGCCTGCCAGCCTCCCAGCCTCGCCCACTTCCACCCATCCCCTCACATACCTGGTCCAGCCCCTCTTGCCTTCCTACAGCTCCACAAACCCGCCAGGCTCAGTCCTGCCTCCTGACCTTTGCACTCTCGGTACCCTCTGCCAGGAGCACTCCCTGCCCCAGACCCTCTGGGAGCTTGCCTCTTGTCTCCCTTAGGTCGCTGCTCAGACACTACCTTTCTGACTCCACACCTCCCTGCCCCTACCCCCATTGCTCACTCTCTGTCTTCTTGTTTGTTTGTTTTTGAGACAAAGTCTCGCTGTGTCACCCAGGCCGGATGCAGTGGTGCGATCTCAGTTCACTGCAACCTCTGCCTCCTGGGTTCAAGCGATTCTCCTGCCTCAGCCTCCCGAGTAGCTGGGATTACAGGGGCGCACCACCACACCAGGGTAATTTTTGTATTTTTTGGTAGAGATGGCGTTTTGCCATGTTGGCCAGGCTGGTCTCAAACTTCTTACCTCAAGTAATCTGCCTGCCTCGGCCTCCCAAAGTGCTGGGATTATAGGTGTGAGCCACTGCGCCCCGCTGGTCTTCTTAACACTTAACACTACTTGAAGTTACAATAATGGGATGGTGGGGGTGCCCACCTGCAGGCAGGGCTCTGTCAGTGCTCAGTCTCTGTGGAATGACTGAGGAGCACCAGCCTGACCCAGAACAGCCTAGAGGAGCACCTAGCACAGCCATCATGTCCCATCAGCTCCTGCATGGCTGACTGTTTGCAGGAGGCCTCGCATGTCACCAGTGGATGGCTCTGCTTGGCGCCCAGAGTGTCTGATGGGTCCTGATCCACGCCCTGGGTGTGGGTCTTACCTGCTTCAGGGTCCAGGCTCCCTAGAGCCAGGGTCTGGAGTGGGCACACAGCTCCAGGCTCCACCACTCCCCAAGTCCTTCCACTCTTGACCTTGGCTTCTCCAGCTCTTCCCGCACTCCCTCAGGGGGGCCCTGGTGCTTCAAAGTCAAGACCAAGTCCCCGCACTTTGGGAGGCTGAGGCAGGCGGATCACCTGAGGTCAGGAGTTCAAGACCAGCCTGGCCAACATGATGAAACCCCGTCTCTAATAAAAATACAAAAATTAGCCCGGCGTGTTGGCGTGTGCCTGTAGCACCAGCTACTGGGGAGGCTGGGGCAGGAGAATCGCTCGAACCTGGGAGGTGGAGGTTGCAGTGAGTCGAGATCATGTCATTGCGCTCCAGCCTGAGTAACAGAGCAAGACTCTGTCTCAAAAAAAAAAAAAAAAAAAAGAGCAAGAAGTCAAGAGCAAGTCAAGAGCAAGGCATGGTCTTTGGGTCAGACAGAGCTAGGCCGGACTCTAAGTAGCTGTTAGGCATGGGGAGGTGGCCTCTGTCTCCCCCATCTTGGTAGTGTTCCCAGGAGGGTACTCTGTACCCATGAGGGCAGGCTGTAGCAACCCTGCTGTCCACAGAACTCTCTGGGGCTCACTTTGGTCAGGCGGTAGCTTAGTCGCCTTTCACAGTGGTCCCAGGGAATTTCATTTCCCTGCCACTCCACATTCTGGCAGGTGCCAGCCTGTCCCCAGAAGGGTCACTGGGCAATGCTTCCTGGATTTGTTCTGAGGAAGAGGAGGTTGGCTTGTGCCCTGCCAGCTGTCCCCTCCCCCACCCCTTGCAGTAACTCCCCAGCCTTCCTCCCTGACCCTCTGCCAGGTTAGCGTCCTTCCTCATCTAAGGGTGGCCGGGGCCACGTGAGCGCCGGGGAAGCAGGAGTAACTGACACCAGTGAAGGCTGCCACAAGGCACCTAGGACTTCTCCCAAGCCAGGAGCAATCGGAGCTGACCAGGGACCCAGGGAGGTGGCAGGGAAGAGGAAGGGAGGGGCCTGGACCCAGACTTGGAGCCTGGGGCTGGACACCAGCCGACACCAAACCAGACACAGCTCACCCAGCCCCGGTCCCTGCCTGCCCTGCCTAAAGGTGACTTTGGAGGTGGTAGGAAGGAAGATCAAGTTTCCCTGGTCAGGAACAATACTAGATCCATAAATCCCTGTCCTCAGAGGCCATCAGACTCTCCCAGAACCCAAGGCGGAAGGAGAGTGCTGTGGGCTCTGGCAGCCACTCCTGGGAAGGTGAAACCGAGCCGGCCTGCAGGGAACAGGGGCCGCCCCGAAGGAGGGGCCGAGTCCGGCCCTTCTTCCCTGCTTCTCTCTCACTTGGAGTTCTAGGGGGGCCAAGAAGACTTGTGTCCAGACAGAGAAGTGGAGTGTGTTTGTCAGCATTCCCAAGCACAGATGGGGAAACTGAGGTTGGAGCAGACAAGGGATAGAGGACACTGGGGGCAGCAGGGGCCCCTCCAGGAGCCCCTGACTGACATCATCCCAGGGAGCCCAGGGGCAGGAGGCAGAGGGTCAGGTGGCCCCATCTGTCTATGGGGAAGGGGGCCAGGCCCCCAGGGTGGATGCCAGGAGTCCAGCCTCTAGGGCCTCCCCTGGGCTCCCCCAAGTAGCTCATTTAAGGTTTGAGTAGGTCTAGATGGGGAAGTGCGGGGCCCGGGGAGGATGGGTGCCCACTTGTCAGAGTCATTCCACTGCTCAGAGATGTTAATGTGTCAGATTCAGAGACAGGAAATCGGCCGCCGTTTCCTGAGACAGTGGGGGCCTCCCTGGCCTCCTGCGCATGCCCAGAGTGGCGATCTCCGGCAGATAGATGCAGACGCTCGCTCGCAGACTCAGTGCCACCCCCCACTTCCCCTCCTGGCTTCTCCTCCCTGAAACACAGCGAGGGCCAGACCCAGTGGTGGAGGGGCCCTGCCCCGGCCGCAGGCAGACAGGGATGGCTGCACAGGAAGCCCTCATCCGCATGAGTCACTCAGGCTCACCTGTTAGCCTCGTGGCGCATCCCCTGGCGCCCTCCTGGGCTGGCAGGCGGGGTCCCAGCCTTGAGGGCTACCCCAGAGGCAGGAGACGGGCAAGGCTGCTTCCTGGAGACAGCCACCTGGTCTCAGCAGGTCCCCAGGCCTCCTCCTGCTGTAGGTCCTGCTCAGCGACCAGCCCCTGAGCCCTGGAGAGGGTGGGGGGCCAGCCCCCCACTCCCTGCCCACCTTGAGCTTCCTGGGTGAGACACCATCCCTTAGGCTGGGCCTGAGTCCTTGGACCCCACGGACCCAGGTGTGCAGTGCCGGTCACATGACTCGGGGCTGTCTCGGGTTTCTCCCAGGAGGGGCCCTCTCAGCAAGGGCCTCCTCCCTTATGGCTCAGGGCTGGGAAGCCTAAAGCAGATGCCAGGGAAGATTCCAGCAAAACACAGGGATTAGGGCCTGTGGAATTGGCTGCACAGGTAGCTGGTCAGGCAGGCATGGGATTGACCAAATGCCCCACAGCCCACATGCGGCTACGCGGAGGCCTCCCCCAACACCTCCCACATCTGGCAACCCCCGCCCCCAACACACACTCCTGCGCTCTGCCCTTGACTTGGCCTTTGCATCTGCCCTGAATAGCCCTCCTGCCCTGTCCAGGCCCCTCTCCCTCCTGTGCCCTGCCTGGACAGCCGAGACCCAGTCTGGATACTTCAGACTTTGAGGGGTCCCCGTAGACCCCCAGCTTACTTTCCTTCCTGTGCCCATATACCCAAGTTCACACATCACTGCCCTTGGGGCGCAGCCCAGGCAGAACCAGTGACTCCGGTTCCATATGTGGTATGAGGTTCGTGTGGGCCCAGAGGGGAACCTGCGTCATGGCCTGCACGGTGGATGGTGCATTTGACCTTGGACAGATCACTTCCTTGCTTCTGGTCTCTGTTGCCTTGTCTGAAAATGGGTAATAAAAGCTCTTACTGTCAGCCAGGTGCAGTGGCTCATGCCTGTAATCCCAGCACTTTGAGAGACCGAGGCGGGCGGATCACTTGAAGCCAGGAGTTCAAGAGCAGCCTGGCCAACATGGCAAAACCCCGTCTCTACTAAAACCACAAAAATTAGCTGGGCGTGGTGGCGGGTGCCTGCAGTCCTAGCTACTCAGTGGGTTGAGGCAGGAGAATCACTTGAACCGGGAGGCGGAGATTTCAGTGAGCAGAGATTGCGCCACTGCACTCCAGCCTGGGCAACTGTGAGACCCTGTCTCAAAAAAAAAAAAAAATCCCGGAAAGCTCTTACTGTCAGCCAGGCACAGTGGCTCACGCCGGTAATTCCGGCACTTCGGGAGATGGAAGCAGGTGGATTGCTTGAGTCCAAGAGTTCGAGACCAGCCTGGGCAATATAGCAAGACCCCAGTCCCTATTAAAAATACAAAAATTAGCCGGACATGGTGGTGCATGCGTGTAGTCCCAGCTACTTGGGAGGCTGAGGCAGGATAATTGCTTGAACCCCAGGGGACAGAGGTTGCAGTGAGCCAAGATCGTGCTACTGCACTCCAGCCTGGGTGACAGAGCGAAACCCTGTCTCAAAAAAACAAAAAAGCTCTATCTCTGGCTGTCCAGAGTCTAACATAACACCTAGTGTGCCAGAAGCAACACTAGTGTCTGCAGTGATAACTCCTTGCCCGTGGCCCTTCAGTCCTGCCGGGGGTCGGATAAACCCCTCTAAATCCCCAAGAAAGGTGGGCCTGGGACCTTGGCTCCTTGATGGTGGAGGAAGGGCAGGTACATGTCCACCCCCAGCCCCACCTCGGCCTCTGGAGCTGCTGGGGGTATGCCAGGTCACATGGAGGGGATGGGATGGATGGTGTCCCAGCTGGGGTGAGGGTCTTCTAGCCAGCGCCTCTTGGGAACACTCGCCTCTACCCCCAGCACCCCTGCTAATCACTCAGCAAGATGTGCATGAAATTTGACCTGTGCCTGCCTGATAGCATCTCCGGGTACCAACCTCCCTCCTCACCCCGCAGCGCTGCCCCAGCCCCGCGAAGGCCCCGCTTTGCTGGGGAGGGGAGTGTTTTTCCAAGAGGGCAGGCAGGCTCTCTGCATCCACCGGGGGGATTAGCGCCCCAAGGTCGTGGGTATAAAGCCACCTGCACACCCTGCTGTTCTATAGAGGCAGGCAAGGAGCAAAGAGGGCCAGGCAGGCCCCCCTGGACGGACAGGCGGACGGGGTGGGGGGCGGGTGGGGTGGGGGAGGGGATGAGCACCATGTTCTATGATTGTCTCTTCTCAGCTGCCTGTCAGCGTGAGTACCTGCCTCCCCCACTCCAAGCCCCTTGTGGTCCCCACCCCACTGAGGACAGAGGGGCAGGGAGGGAGGACTTGGCCACAGGCTAGCAAGACCTTCCAGGGACCACTCCTCCGAGCAGCTTCCACTCCCGGGAAGCCAGGGTCACCCCAGAGAAGGTGGCCCCAGCACCTCGATCCTTCCAGCGCTGCCAGGACCCTGGAGTGGACAGTCAGTTCCCTGCCTGTCCACAAGTCCCGTCTGCTGGGAAGGGTCCAGCCTTCTGGGTTTTGAGCATCATAGCTCTTCAGTCACCCTATCTGGTCTGACTTCAGGATGAGGAAAGCTGATGAGGGCTGCTGCCAGGTATTAAGGATCCTGGGTCCTGCAAGCCTCAGCCCGCTCTGCCACGTGGGCCCCTGATGGGTGCAGTCAGGGCTGGCCAGGGGGAAGCAGGACTCTTGGAGGGGCCTGACCTTGCTGGGGGTTGGCTTCAGGCTGCATCTTCCCCTCCAGGGGGGCTCAGGCTTAGGCTGGGGGCAGGGAAAGCAGGAAGAACTGACCTGGTGGCCCCTCCCCACAGAAGGTGCCATGCGGGCCAGCGAGACAGTGTCGGAGGCCAGCCCCGGCTCCACCGCCAGCCAGACCGGCGTTCCTACTCAGGTGGTTCAGCAGGTGCAGGGCACCCAGCAGGTAGGATGTGGCCCTCCCAGGGGGTGGGGGAGGGCCCGGGAGGGGGGCAGTGCAGGCTGCGTCCTCGGGGGCCTCACCTCCCCTCCCCGCTTCCTGCTGGAGCCATCTGCTCACCTGTTCTTATCAAGATGTGCACAGCAGCCGCCCGCCACCCAACCACGCCAGGCCTCCCTGGGGGAAGTGGCAGCTCAGCTCCTCCTGCCTTGTCTCCACAGCGGCTGCTGGTCCAGACGAGCGTGCAGGCCAAGCCAGGCCACGTGTCGCCCCTCCAGCTGACCAACATCCAAGTGCCCCAGCAGGTAATGCTGCTGCACCTGGCCACCACCCTGGAAGGCTCCCTCAGGGTGGAGGACCAACCCCCTGTGGCAAGCCTGGATCTGTCCTCACCAGGATGGAGGGAAGAGTCCCCATCCAGGGGCTGCCCTACCTCCTGGCTCTGGGCAGTCACCTCCCCAGGGTGAGACTATCCGGCAGGGGCCATCAGGGACAGAGGAGCTGCAGGAGCCATCTCAGCAGAGAGAACAAGATGTATAGTTGGGAAGGTGGTTTGCGGGTCCAACCCAGTGTCCCGAAGCAGAGAACCCAAGGCCAGGTTTAGAGTCAGGAGTCCACAGCCAGCACAGGGTGGTCTGTCCCCCAGAAGGCTGCGCATGAGGTGCCGCGCACACCCGTTTCCGACTGATCAGCGCAGATCTGGACAAAGTACTGTTGGGTTTTACAATGGCTCGATCTCGGCTCACTGCAACCTCCGCCTCCCAGGGTCAAGTGATTCTCCTGCCTCAGCCTCCTGAGTAGCTGAGACTACAGGTGTGCACCACCACACCTGGCTAATTTTTGTATTATTAGTAGAAACAAGATTTCACCATGTCGGCCAGGCTGGTCTCGAACTCCTGACCTCAGGTGATCTGCCCGCCTCAGTCTCCCAAAGTGCTGGGATTACAGGTGTGAGCCACCACACCCAGCCTAGGACTATTGGGTTTTAAGGATGACAGCACATTCCACATGGCCTGACAACAACTCCGGCTCTGCCGCTTCCTGGCTTTAGGACCTCAGATAAGTGCCTTTGCCGTCCTGAGCCTTGGTGTCACCCTCTGTGAAGTGGGGGCAGTAGCCGAGCTTCATCAGGGCTGTCAGGGCGATTCTGTGAGCTAACAGGCGTGAAGCACTTAGAATGTCACCTGGCACTGCGCAGATGCTCGGTGCAACTGCACGGGCTGTCATCAGTGATCTGCCCTCCCTCTCCCTCCCTGGCCCCAGGCTCTTCCCACGCAGCGTCTGGTGGTGCAGAGCGCAGCCCCAGGCAGCAAAGGTGGCCAGGTCTCCCTGACGGTCCATGGTACCCAGCAGGTGCACTCGCCCCCAGAGGTAAGTGGTGGTCCTGTTGGCCGCCCTCCCCCCTGCTGTCTCCCGAGGTCAGCAATGTATCCCCATAGTATATTTGGGGCTCCCTGCCCCGCCCCCCAAGCCCACTTGCTCCTCCAAAGTCCTGCTTCCCTCTTCACTCCCAGTGCAACGCCCTTGTTGACCCCAGGTAGGGTGGCTTAGCTGCCCAATTCCTGGCCCTGCCAGCTCTGAGCTAAGCGGCCGTGGAGCTCTGCTCTGGGAGAAGGAGGTGATTTCCTGGGTTGAGATGGTCCTGGCAGCTCCAGCTCAGGGAACTGCATTCCGAGAAACAAAGTGGGTTCCTCTTCCCCCCGGAGGGTGGGACAGTCTCTTCCAGGAAGCCTTGGACCACAGGGTAGATTCTGGGGACCCACAACACCAATGAGGGTGTTGAAGACAGGCTGTGGATGCTGTCTGCATCAGGAGCTCGGGGTCAGATGGCTGGCCCAGCCACTTCCTCTCGTGGGACTCTAGGCAGGCCTCTGAGCCTTGTTTTGTTTTGTTTTTGAGACAGAATCTCGCTCTGTCCCCCAGGCTGGAGTGAAGTGGTGCGATCTCAGCTCACTGCAACCTCCGACTCCTGGGTTCAAGCGATTCTCCTGTCTCAGCCTCCCGAGTAGCTGGGATTAGAGACATGCGCCACCACGCCCTGCTAATTTTTGTATTTTTAGTAGAGATGGGGTTTCACCATGTTGGCCAGGCTGGTCTTGAACTCCTGACCTCAGGTGATCTGCCCACCTCAGCCTTCCAAAGTGCTGGGATTACAGGCGTGAGCCACCATGCCCGGCCCCTTTGAGCCTTCTGAGCCCTGAGTTTTCTCTGTGTCAAACAACTGATGGTATCAACCACCCCTCAGCTTGCTGTGGGAATTACAGCCTGAGGCACAGTAGGGCTCAGAGCAGACATGGGGCTCTATGGCCAGCCTGCCTGGGCTCAGCCCTGTGCCTCATCGCCTGCAGCCATGTGACCCAGGGCTTGTCCCTTCCCCTCTGCCCCTCCATTGGGAAGTGGGGGTGCCATGAGATTCCAGTGAGTACATTTAAAGCGCTCAGTGCAGTGTCTGGTGGGAGTCGGCCCAATATCACACCAGAGGCTGCTGTCGTCATTGCTATAACCTTTGAGGGTCAGCCCCAGGAGAGCTTCAGGGGTGCTGGCGGCACCACCCACCATCAGCCAACCTTGCTGGGGAGGGTTAAACCCCCATCATTGCTGGGAGTTGACTGGGACTGTTGCAGGGAGTAGGCATTTGGATGCGTGGGACGCGGTCAGTTACCAGCCTCGGTGGTTGGGATAGGTCCCCACAGACTGCCGCCCTCCCCAGACAGCTCTCCTGAGAAGGGTGTGTGTGTGAGCCCACCTCAGAGAGGATGCAAGCCCACCCCAGCGGCACTCCTGTGTCTCCTTCCCTTACAGCAGTCGCCGGTGCAGGCCAACAGCTCTTCCAGCAAGACAGCCGGGGCCCCCACGGGCACAGTGCCACAGCAGCTGCAGGTCCACGGCGTCCAGCAGAGTGTCCCCGTCACCCAAGAGGTGCCAGGCCAAGGCGGGCAGTGGCTCGGTCCAGGGGTACCGGCCAGGCAGCCTCTGCAGCCCCCCACGGCTGTGCCTCTGGCCTATTAGAGCCCAGCCCATGTGGGTCCAGCCCCAGCCTGCCACCCTGGCCTTTGATAAGCATCTCTGCCTGTCTCCAGACTCAGCATCCTGGGGCTAGAGGATGGGGGAGCCGCGGGGAGGACGAAATTTGAACCTCCTGGAAGGAGACTGGGGCGTAGTGGGCCATGGGAACCGCTTGGAGAAGCCACCTGAGCCTCTTTGGGCCCATTTGCCTGAAGGAAGCCCCGAGGCCACATCCTGGCTCCTTCTGGGGAGGATTTCAGGGAGGGGACCCAGCCCCCAAATCCACACCCAGCCTCTGCAGGAGGCAGAGCCCTGAGCCGGCGCAGGTTAAGATGCTGGGGCTGCGCACCATCTGGTTGTTACCACTGAAGTTGAGGGGGTTCCAAGCCCCTTGAAAAAACAGATGAAATCCATAGACCCTTCCCCAAGTGTAAACAGAAACCCTGTCCCAGAGGTTTCACAGATACTCCCCCGCCTGGCACTAGAGCCCCCCCGAACCTCCAGACCTAGGTCCAGGCCCCAGCTCCTCCACTCAGCACCCTCCTCCGCCAGCCTCCGTCCCTGGCTCTGCGCCCCTAGGATAATCCCCGCATGCCCGCCACAGCACAGAACAGGGCACACAGTTGACATTGGGGGGTGTGGGGACGAAAGATAACCCAAGGCCTTGCCTGCGGGTTCTTGGCACAGCTTCAGGGGCCCGTAGGGAGAGGGGGCGGAGAGCAGAGACCCCGAAGTTAGTCCCAGGTTCAACTCAGCCCTGCTGCTTCCTGGGAGCCTCACTTTATCAGTAATGGATCCAGCACCCTCCTTGCTTGGCTGGAGAATGGTGGCCTCTTGCTTATGGGTCTGCTGTGAGCTTTACAGAAGCTCACCTGTGCAGGGGCTGGGTAGGTTGACGGCCATCGTTGCCATGGTCATCTTATTGTTGCCTTTCCCCTCCCAGAGATCTGTGGTCCAGGCCACTCCACAAGCGCCCAAACCCGGCCCGGTGCAGCCGCTGACCGTGCAGGGCCTCCAGCCAGTCCACGTGGCTCAAGAGGTGTGTGTCTCCCCCTCCTACCCCACGGGCAAAGGGGCTGGTCCCGGGCTGGGGCTGGGGAGTGCAGGCCCCTGAGGCCGCAGGGAGGGAAATGCCTCTGTGAGCTGCAGACACTGCCCTACATCCTTCCCCTTTCCCGGCCCCCTGGCAGCTCAGGGTCCAGGTTTTGCTAAGAGAGATCTGGATTCAAACCCCTCTTCTTTCTTGCGTGGCCCTGGGTCAGTTCTAACCCCTCTCCGAGACCCCGGGCGGCGGGGATCTTCCCTCGGGTGGCTGCGTGCGCGCTCAGCAACCCGGTGGGTGGAGGCCTGGAGCCCCGCCCGCGGCCGCCCCCGTTGACCCCCCAGTGTCTCTGTTTGTCCTCCAGAGCTCAGGCAGTCAGTTTCCCGCTAGGAAGGCAGAGCAGCGAGATCCCCGGCCCACGCCGCCGCCGGAGCCGCCGCCCCGGCCGCCCGCGTGCAGCGGCGAGGCCCCGCAGCTAGGCAGCCCCGAGCCGCCGCCGCCCCATTACGAGCCGGGCGCCGAGCAGTGGGTGGAGCTGGTGGGCGTGCTGCCCCCACACCTGCTCCTGCCGCAGCAGAAAGTGGTCTTCGAGCCACTGTCCCGGCTCCCGGCCCGAGCCAGCCCCGACCAGAGGGTCAGGATCCAGAGAATCCCCCAGGTGCTAGTGTTCGGCACGGCCGCCACGGCCCTCAAAGTAGGTGGCGGACGCACGGGCGGGGGGCAGCGGGCGGGCGGGGGCGGGGGCGCCCAGTCTGGGCCGCCCACCAGGCCCCGCAAGCCCTGTAGACCCCACCTCCGCCCGACGGGTCGGTCTAGGGACCCGCCTCTGACTCCCCACCCAAGCCCCGTCCAGGTCCCAGCTCCGCCCCTGCAGACAAGGGTGGGGGATGGAGGTGGGGGACTCAGGCCCCGCCCCTAAGGCCCTGTCAGTGATTCCAGGTTCTGTCCCACCAACCGGGGCCCCAGGCTCCGCCCCTCACATCCTGTGCCCGGTTTCCAGGCCCCACCCCTGAGGCCCTTTCTGTAGCTCCATGGCTCCAGCGATAGCCTTGCCCCTGTGCCTGGGGTCCAACCTTCACGCCCACTACAGGACCCTGTCTCGGGTCCCCTCCACTGTCCGTCAGGCCCCACCCTTGCTGGCCCCAGCCGAAGCCGAGAGTCCTGGCTTCTCCTGACACAGCTCTTCCTGATTCCCAGCCCTGGCCTCCTCCAGGGTGTTTTGTTGAGAGTCCAGAAGCCACCCTTGGGTCCGGGAGCTGGGCGTCAGGGATAGCCTGGGTGGGCACCAGCCCTTTAGAGGGAGAACCGTAGGAGCTGGCCCACCCCTGACCCTCCACGTGCCCTTCCTCTGCCCCAGGTGCAGCAGCTCCAGCAGGTGCCCGTCCCACACGTGTACTCCAGCCAGGTGCAGTATGTGGAGGGCGGCGATGCCAGCTACACGGCCAGTGCCATGTAAGTGAAGGGAGAGGGGTGGGTGAGGGAGTCAGGTCTGCACTGGAGCCTCCCCAGTCTCCCAGGACACCAGTCCCCAGTCCCAGCCCCCAGCAGGCCATCCGGCCTTCAAGGCCTCAGGTGACAGACACACAGGTGGGCACTCCCCAGGGGCAGCCACAGCCACGAAAAGTGGCGAAGCAGAGGGACCCTTGAAGGTTGGGAAAGGCACCCCGGCATAGCTTAGGGCTTGGGAGTCAAATGAGCCTGGTTTTTAACCAAAAAAAAAAAAAAAAGGCCAGGCACGGTGGCTCACGCCTGTAATCCCAGCACTTTGGGAGGCCTAAGCGGGCAGATCACTTGAGGTCAGGAGTTCAAGACTAGCCTGGCCAACATGGTGAAACCCTGTCTCTACTAAAAATACAAAAGTTAGCCAGGAGTGGTGGCAGGCACCTGTAATTCCAGCTACTCGGGAGGCTGAGGCAGAAGAATTGATTGAACCCAGGAGGCGGAGGTTGCAGTGAGCTGAGATCGTGCCACTGTACTCTAGCCTGGGCAATAGAGTGACACTCCATCTCAAAAAAAAAAAATCATTTGACTCTCAACCCTGTCCCAGAGAGGATGCTGTGACCTGTTTCTTTGTTTCTTTCCAGAGATACTCTAAGAACAGAAACTCTAGCCCTCTATCCATTTTTTTCTTTTTTTTTGTTTTTTTTTTTGAGATGGAGTCTTGCTCTATCGCCAGGCTGGAGTGCAGTGGTGTGATCTCGGCTCACTGCAACCTCTGCCTCCTGTGTTCAAGTGATTCTCGTGTCTCAGCCTCCCGGGTAGCTGGGATTACAGGCACACACCACCACACCCAGCTAATTTTTGTGTTGTTAGTAGAGATGGGGTATCACCATGTTGGTCAGGCTGGTCTTCAATTCCTGACCTCGTGATCCACCCGTCTCAGCCTCCCAAAGTGCTGGGATTACAGGCATGAGCCACCGCACTGGACTTTTTTTTTCTGTTTTTTTTGAGACAGGGTCTCACTCTGTCGCCCAGGCCAGAGAGCAGTGGCGCGATCAGGGCTCACTGCAGCTCACGGGCTCAAGCAATCCTCTTACCTCAGCCTCCCTAGTAGCTGGGACTACAGGTGTGCACCACCATGCTCAGCTAATTTTTGTATTTTTGTAGAGATGGGGTTTTGCCACGTTGCCCAGGCTCATCTCCTCGAACTCTTGGACTTAAATGATCCTCCCGTCTTGGCCTCCGAAAGTGCTGGGATTACAGGCATGAGCCACAGTGCCCAGCCTCTACCCGCTTTCTGTGGTCAGAAATAGACGCAGGACATTCCATCCATACCTTATTTCTTTCCTGGCTCTTCTACCATGTGTCCTCGTGGGTCCTGGTCACCCTCTTAGCTGCTGTGTAATAACCCCTGTGCAGATGCAGCAGCCACGATGTCATCAGTCCCCACCCAGTGATGCATAGGGGGCTTCTTCCCCTCCCTGGGTACAGCACTACCATTCCTGTGTATGGGCCGTGTCAGGCAGGGGCCACGTCCTGGCCCCGCTTCAGTCCCGGCTCGGGCTCCTCGCCGGGGGTCCTCCATGCCACCTTCCCTCTCCCATCTCCACAGAAATTGCTGCAGTACTAGAGTTACTGTTGGTTTAGTTTCCAGAGGTTTCACTTGGTTTTCTTTGCATTTGCATGATTTCTTTTTTCATCCCTGCCACTTGTTCTTCTGGGGACAATGCTGGGATTGGTTAGCTCATGGATCGACTTAGTCCTAGGGTCATGATGCTCTGACCGACCCCAGTGGGCCTGGTCCAGGCATCTAAATCGTGAGGCTTGGTCCCCGGCGTCCGGCTACCTCACAGTTCCATTTGTTTCTTTCCAGTGCTGCTAATCTTTTCACTGTGTGGTTGAGCCAAGCTGGCAGGGGCCAGACAGGGCATTGCAAAGAGGAACACGGTGTCCAAGGGTTCCTGCTGCCATCCCTGGTAGCGTCTCTCCTGTCTCTCCTTTGCTTCTGTCTGAATTCCTCTCTCAGTGATCATAGTGTGTGTGATTGCACCTAGTTCATCGTTGCTATCGGGTTTTTCTGCTACGAGAAGTTGTTGGGGGCCACTCCTGCTGTCAGCTGCCCACCCCTTCTGTCTCTCCCTCTGAGTGAATTACTGCGAGTTCCCGACCCTTTGCCAGCCCTATCCCCACCCTGGCCAAAGCCACAGCCCCTGGGCCTCCATCCCTGGTCCTGTTCTGGGGGGCATCCAGAGCTGCACACATTCATTTATTCAGTCATTCAGCAACCATCTACCAAAGCAACCTTTTTGCAGCACACATTGCATGCTGGGTGTGCAGGAGTGAGCAGGCTGTGGCCCCCGCCTTGGAGAAGTAGGGGCTCTTGCTCAGGTCATGTGCTCTTGGTGTCACTTTGTGTGGTAGACATAGGGCAGGACAGAGAGATCGAGAGCTGGACCTGATGTGTGACAAAGACCATGCTTCCATATCTCCTTCCACTGTCCCCCTCAACTCCCTCTCTTTGTTCACCCACAACCACTCGGGCCTGTGCGGCTCCCTCCCCTGCCACCTTCAGAGTCTGAGCCAGGCCACCTCTTGACTGACCACACTGTCTTTCTGGATGTTTAATTTTTTTTTTTTTTTTTGAGATAGAGTTTCCCTCTTGTTGCACAGCTGGAGTGCAATGGTGCAATCTTGGCTCACTGCAACCTCCACCTTCAGGGTGGTTCTCCTGCGATTCTCCTGCCTCAGTCTCCCGAGTAGTTGGGATTACAGGCGCCCACCACCACACCCGGCTAACTTTTTGTATTTTCAGTAGAGAGAGGGTTTCATCATGTTGGCCAGGCTGGTCTTGAACTCCTGACCTCAGGTGATCCACCCGCCTTGGCCTCCCAGAGTGCTGGGGTTACAGGTGTGAGCCACCGTGCCTGCCCCTGCCCCCCTCCCTTTTTTTTTTTTTTTTTGAGGTGGAGTTTCACTCTGTCACCCAGGCTGGAGTGCAGTGGCATGATCTCAGCTCACTACAGCCTCCACCTCCCAGGTTCAAGTGATCCTCCTGCCCCAGCCTCCTGAGTAGCTGGGACTACAGGCGCCTGCCACCATGCCTGGCTAATTTTTGTATTTTTAGTAGAGACGGTTTCACTATGTTGGCCAGGCTGGTCTCGAACTCCTGACCTCAAGTGATCCACCCGCCTCGTCCTCCCAAAGTGCTGGGATTACAGGTGTGATTACACTGCACCTGGCCTAATGCTATGTTTTTAATCACTAGTACATTGAAAGAGTTCAAAGATCAAAACTATGTCCAACGATGTTTAGCGAGATGGTGAGAGGTGCCCCCTGCCTGTCCCCCTCGACGGAGCCCTCCATGCCCACAGATGACAGACACGCATGCCACATGCAACGCATTCTTCCCTATTGTTCGGTCACACGGTCCCCACTCTTCTCTGCCTCTTATCTGCCCGGTGTTAGGTTCTGGAGCTTGTTCTTTCGGGGGACGACAAGCCTTGCCTCCTTCTCTTTCACCCCTGCATAGGATTCCATCATCTTTTGTTTAACAGCCCCTTGAGGTTGAACCCCTGGTGGTTTTTATACTTGTATACTTGTGACGATTTGCAGCCTCAAGCCTGTGTCACCGGTGCCCATCCCGTCACGCGATATCTGAAGGAGAGAGGCTTCCCCAGCCTGGGATAGGTAGCTTGGCTCAGGGGAAACATATCTGCATTCCTGATGGTCTTCTCCAATCACAGCGTCGCCTTCTCTAGTCCCTTCCAATCACAGCATCGCCTTCTCTAGCCCCACCCCCTTCCTGCTTCACTCACTGCCTGATCACCTTCTGTTATGATCTCTCATTTACCTTTGCACGTGGCTTCTTGCCTGTCTCCCCAACTAGACGGTTCCGGGGGCCGGGGCTTTTCATTCTTGTCCATTGCTGTGTCCAAAGTGTGTGAAACAGTGCCTAGCACACAGTAGGCACTCGAAGTACTTGCCAATTTTATTTTTTTAATGAAGTGTGTAGCATTCCAAGTTCCCTAACCCTTCGGTATTTTTTTTTTTTTTTAATTAAAAAGACAGGGTCGGCCAGGTGTGGTGGCTCATGCCTGTAATCCCAGGACTGTGGGAGACTGAGGCGGGTGGATCACTTGAGGTCAGAAGTTCGAGACCAGCCTGGCCAACATGGTGGAACACCAACTGTACTAAAAAAATACAAAAATTAACCTGGTGTGGTGGTGAGCCCTGTATTCCCAGCTCCTTGGGAGGCTGAGGCAGGAGGATAGCTTGAACCCAGGAGGCGGAGGTTGCAGTGAGCCAAGATTGCGACACTGCACTCTAGCCTGGGTGACAGAGCAAGACTCTGTCTCAATAAGTAAATAAATAAATAAAATAACAAAAATAAAAAGCCAGAGTCTCACTGTCACCTAGGCTTTGCTGCAGTGGTAGTATGGTTATAGCTCACTACAACCTTGAACTCCTGGACTCAAGGGATCTTCCTGCCTCAGCCTCCCAAGTAGCTGGGATTGCAGGTGTGCACCAGCATGCCTGGCTAATCTTCATATTTTTTGTAGAGATGGGTTTTCACTATGTGGCCCAGGCTAGTCTTGAACTCCTGGCCTTCAACGATCCTCCTGCCTCTGCTTCCCAAAGTGCTGGAATTACAGGCAGGAGCCACCATGCCCAGCTGATGATTATATGAAATACTGCCCATCAAGCACTCAGGATGGTACCCAGTCCGTTGTAGATGAATGCTAGGATCTGCTCCTTGCTGCAGGGGAGCTGCTGCTTCCCCAGTCCCCTCCTAGGACCCCCCTTCCTGCACAGTCATGCCCCTCGGCCCCCCAGTTCTCATCCCCCTGACTCTCCCTTGGCTTTGCCTCTTTCCCAGCCGTTCCAGCACCTACTCCTATCCCGAGACGCCGCTGTACACGCAGACGGCAAGCACCAGCTACTACGAGGCCGCAGGCACGGCCACCCAGGTCAGCACCCCCGCCACCTCCCAGGCGGTGGCCAGCAGTGGCTCCATGCCCATGTACGTGTCCGGCAGCCAGGTCGTCGCCAGCTCCACCAGCACTGGGGCTGGGGCCAGCAACAGCAGCGGAGGTGGTGGCAGTGGTGGTGGCGGCGGCGGCGGGGGAGGCGGTGGCGGGGGTGGCAGTGGCAGCACCGGAGGCGGCGGCAGCGGAGCAGGCACCTACGTGATCCAAGGCGGCTACATGCTGGGCAGTGCCAGCCAGTCTTACTCTCACACCACCCGTGCCTCGCCAGCCACGGTAAGTGCCCCAACGCGGGCCCCAGAGGAGGCAGGCAGTGGTGGGTGGTGGGCACTAGAAGCCCAGTCCATGACGGTGGTTACCAACCACCGCTAGCAGGAGCCTGTGTGGCCCCCAATGAAGAGAACATATGCAGATGTCCTGGGATTGAATGCTGTGTGGCCTCAGATAAATTACTCAGCCTCTCTGGGCCTCAGCTGATATGCATGAAATTCTTAACACAATACTACAGAAGTGTTGTCTATTGTTGGCTGGGCGCTGTGGCTCACACCTGTAATCCCAGGACTTTGGGAGACTGAAGTGGGTGGATCACCTGAAGTCAGGAGTTCAAGACCAGCCCGACCAACATGGTGAAACTCCATCTCTACTAAAAATACAAAAATTAGCCGGGCATGGTGGTATGCACCTGTAATCCCAGCTACTCAGGAGGGTGAGGCATGAGACTTGCTTGAACCTGGGAGGTGGTTGCAGTGAGCGGAGACTGCGCCACCGCACTCAAGCCTGGGAGACACAGCAAGATTCTGTCTCAAAAAAAAAAAAAAAATGTTGTCTACTTTTTTTTTTTTTTTTTTTTGAGACAGGGTTTTGTTCTGTCGTCCAGGCTGAAGCACAGTGCTGTAATCATAGCTCACTGCAGCCTCAAACTCCCAGGCTCAAGTGATCCTCCCAGTTTACCCTTGCAAGTAGCTGGGACTACAGGCATGCCGCACCATGTCCGGCTAATTTTTTTGTTTGTTTAAGACGGAGTCTTGCTCTGTCGCCAGGCTGAAGTGCAGTGGCATGATCTCGGCTCACTGCGACCTCCGCCTCCCGGGTTCAAGTGATTCTCCTGCCCCAGTCTCCCGAGTAGCTGGGACTATAGGCGTGCCACCACGCTCAGCTAATTTTTGTATTTTTAGTAGAGACGGGGTTTCACCATGTTGGCCAGGATGGTCTCGATTTCCTGACCTCGTGATCCACCCTCCTCGGCCTCCCAAAGTGCTGGGATTACAGACGTGAGCCACCACGCCTGGCGGATTTTAAAAAATTTTTTTTGTAGAGACAGGATCTCACTCTGTTGCCTAGGCTGGTCTCAAAATCCTGGCCTCAGGCGATCCTCCCAGCCATCTATTCTGATTAAAATTGATTATAGAGAATAGATAATGAGGGCAGAGAGAAGCCAGCACTGCCATGGGGAGCTTCCTGAACAGGGTTCTTCCACCATCAGGAAGGCGGGTGCTGGAACCTCCCTGTGCCTAGAAGTGGTTGTGTGAAGTCCCTGGGGCAGCCCTGGATTCCAACCCCAACCGGGCCCTTCGACATTTGTGTGATTGTGGGGTGGGTCAGCGCTGGTGGTCCTGGTGGTCCCTCATGGTCCTGATGTAGCCTGGCTTCTAGTCTATTCTAGTCTTTTTTTTTCTTTTTTGGAGATGGAGTTTTGCTCTTGTCACCCAGACTGGAGTGCAGTGGCGCAATCTCAGTTCACTGTAACCTTCCCACCTCCCAGGTTCAAGCAATTTTTGTGCCTCAGCCTCTCGAGTAGCTGGGATGACAGGTGCCCACCACCACACCTGGCTAATTTTTGTATTTTTAGTAGAGACAGGGTTTCACCATGTTGGCCAGGCTGGTCTCTAACTTCTGACTTCAGGTGATCCGCCCGCCTCGGCCTCCCAAAGTGTTGGGATTACAGGTGTGAGCCACCACTCCTGGCTTGAAAATTTGATTTTTTTCATTCTGCATAAATTCATATAATTTTTTTTTTTTAGAAGGAATCTTGCTCTGTCGCACAGGTTGGAGTGCAGTGGTGCGATCTTGGCTCACTGCAGCCTCTGCCTCCCTGCAACCTCTGCCTCCCAAGTTCAAATGATTCTCCTGTCTCAGCCTCCCAAGCAGCTGGGACTACAGGCGCACACCGCCACTCCCAGCTAATTTTTGTATTTTTAGTAGAGACGGGGTTTCACAATATTGACCAGGCTGGTCTCAGTCTCCTGATCTCATGATCCACCCACCTGCCTTGGCCTCCCAAAGTGCTGGGATTACAGGCATGAGCCACCACGTCCTGCTAATTTTTTTTTTTTTTTTTTTTTTTTTTTTTTTTTTTTGAGACAAGGTCTCACTGTATCCAGGCTGGAGTATAGTGGCTTGACCATAGCCTACTGCAGCCTTGAACTTCTGAGCTGAAGGGATCCTCTTGCCTCAGCCTCCCAAATAGCTGGGACTGCAGGTGTGCACCACGACACTAGCTAATTTTTTTAAAAATTCGTTGGTAGAGACAGGGTCTCCCTATGTTGCCCAGCCTGGGCTCAAGTGATCCTCCTACCTTAGCCTCCCAAAGTGCTGGAACTAAAGGGGTGAGCCGTGCCCGGCCTTTAATGTATTTAGCTATACATGGCAACTGTATTGGACAGTGCAGTTCTAGAGTTCTGTGGGACATAGTTCTTGGAGAGGATGGCAGTAGGATGTGCTAACTTATGTGGGCGTGGCTGTCAGGATCCCAGCTGGAAGTCGATGTGGGGCACTCAGCCCCAGCACTCAGAGATGACGGAAGCGCCTCTGACTGGTGCTCTCCCATCTCCCTCCCACCCCAGGTCCAGTGGCTCCTGGACAACTATGAGACGGCTGAGGGCGTGAGTCTGCCACGGAGCACCCTCTACTGCCACTACTTACTGCACTGCCAGGAGCAGAAGCTGGAGCCCGTCAACGCCGCCTCCTTCGGCAAGCTCATCCGCTCCGTCTTCATGGGCCTGCGAACCCGCCGTCTGGGCACCAGGTAGGGCCATCCGTCTACTCCCAGCAGTCCCTGGGGAATTGGTGGGCATGCCAAGGCCCACCCCCACTCCGAGTCATCTCAGGCAGTCCAGTCCAGCCCAGTCCCGCCGGCCTCTGCGAGGCTCCTCGACAGCCCCGCTCACTCCCACTCTAGGCCTTTGCACTGGCGGTGCCTTCCACCTCATGTGCTTCTCACCCCTCCTTACTTGCACGTCCCCTGACTGCCTCAACTAAAACTGCAGCCTCCCCCTCTCCCCTGCCCGACACCCCCCAACCCTGCTTTATTTTTCTCTTTAGCATTCAGCACGCTCACACGTGACTTTTTTTTTTTTTTGGAGACAAGAGTCTCACTCTGTGGCCCAGGCTGGAGTGCAGTGACTCAATCTCGGCTCACTGCAACCTCTGCCTCACGGGTTCAAGCCATTCTCATGCCTCAGCCTCTTGAGTAGCTTGGGACTACAAGCATGTGCCACCACGCCCAGCTAATTTTTAAAAAATAATTTTAGTAGAGACAGGGCTTTGCTATGTTGGCCAGGCTGGTCTTGAACTCCTGTCCTCAAGTGATCCACCTGCCTTGGCCTCCCAAAGTGCTAGGATTATAGGCATGACCCCACCGTGCCCGGCCCACACGTGCCTTTTACATGACTTATTTCAGTTGTTCTGGTCCGTCTGCAGTGCTCGTACCTCGATGACGCGGGGTTGTACCTAGTCAGTGCTTCATCAGGGTCTGTGAGTCAGTAAATTCATGCGGGAAGGAACAAGAAGGCATCCCAAGAACCCGCCCCTCTCTTCCTCTCCTTTGCAACCCCCATGGCTCACCTCCGCTCACGTCTCGGTTCCCATTCCCAGCTTCAGCGTCACCTCGTTCAGCCATTCATCCATTCAGCCATTCATTTATGCATAATCTTGGGCAAACCGCTGGATCTCTCCTGACACCCACAGCCCCTGTGCCTCCTCAGTGCAGCACCCCCGTCTCTGCAGGGCAGGCGTCTCTCTATCCATTCTCCTAACAGAGAGGAGACGGGTGTGCTGTGAGGTGCTCCATGGCCGGCCAGCCGGCAGACCCCCAGCCCAGCCCTTCCCCTCCACCTCCCTCCCAGGGGCAACTCCAAGTACCACTACTATGGCCTGCGCATCAAGGCCAGCTCACCCCTGCTGCGGCTGATGGAGGACCAGCAGCACATGGCCATGCGGGGCCAGCCCTTCTCGCAGAAGCAGAGGTAGGAAGGCAGGGCCGGACCCAGGGCAGGGCAGGCGGGGAAGGGCACACAGGCCGGCCCCCAGCAGCCGGCCCACCTGCCCATTCTACTCCAGGCTCAAGCCCATCCAGAAGATGGAAGGCATGACCAACGGCGTGGCGGTGGGGCAGCAGCCGAGCACGGGGCTGTCGGACATCAGCGCCCAGGTGCAGCAGTACCAGCAATTTTTGGGTGAGAGCTCCCTGGCCCGTGCTTCCCCAACCACCGCCTCCCTGCCCCGTGCAGACGGTTCCCAAAGCTGGATGGCGGCAGGCAGCCTCTGAGCTGGGGAGGGCTTGGTGAGAGATGCCCGAGAACCAGCAGGGGGTGGGGGAGACATCACAGTCTCCGTCCACAGTGACAGTTCTGTCCCTAGAATCCTTCTTCAAGGTAGATTCTCATTTCTTTCAATGCAAAGCATTTCTCGGGGGTTCTGAGCTTCCCAGTGAATCCCCTTTATGCTACTTGAGATTTTCTTTATTTTTGTATTTATTTGTTTATTTTTTTGAGATAGATTCTCTGTCGTCCAGGCTGGAGTGCAGTGGCACCATCCTAGCTCACTGCAACCTCCGCCTCCTGGGTTCAAGTGATTCTCCTGCCTCAGCCTCCTGAGTAGCTGGAACTACAGGCACGTGCCACTATGCCTGGCTAATTTTAGTAACTTTAGGAGAGATGGGGTTTCACCATCTTGGCTAGGCTGGTCTCGAACTCCTGACCTGAAGTGATCCTCCCACCTTGGCCTCCCAAAGTTCTGGGATTACAGGCATGAGCCACCATGCCCGGCATACATGAGATTTCAAATCCCACCCAGTTGGACATGGTTACTTTTTGGAGATATGACGGCAGGTCCTCTTCTCTCATGAGTCCTGTGAGGCCCACTCGCTTTCCCATCCAGCCATCCCACAGCCATGGTGTCCACAGGGCTAGGACCACTCACTCGCCAAGAAGGCAGGTGTGTACCCAGTGTTTCTAAAAGTAAGGCCTGGTGCAGTGGTTCATGTCTGTAATCCCAGCACTTTGGGAGGCCGAGGCTGGAGGAATCGCTTGAGGTCAAGAGTTCGAGACCAGCCTAGTCAACATGGTGAATCCCCATCTCTACTAAAAATACCAAAATTAGCCGGGTGTGGTGGCGGGTGCCTGTAATCCCAGCTACTCAGGAGGCTGAGGCAGGAGAATTGCTTGAACTCAGGAGGCGGAGGTTGCAGTGAGTCAAGATCATGCCATTGCACTGCAGCCTGGGCGACACAGTGAGTGAGACTCTGTCTCAGGAAAATAAAAAAGGCCGGGTGCAGTGGCTCACGTGTGTAATCCCAGCACGTTGGGAGGCCGAGGTGGGAGGAATTGCTTGAGTCCAGGAGTTGGAGACCAGCCTGGGCAACATAGCAAGACCCCATCTCTTAAAAAAAAAAAAAGACAAAGTAAACAACAATCCATGAAAACAGGGCCAAAGGATGCTAAGTAAACAAGCAACCCTTGGAACCCACAGTCCAGCCACACATCCTTGATCCTGAGCACGTGGGAGCTCATTTCCCCACCTGCCCTGGAGGCCGGGACATCCCATTTGGAGGGTGGGGAACAATACTTCTAGCAGAGTCGAGGGGCATCCCTAGGGCGACTGTCCATGGCTAGCCCCAACCTGGGGTGCTTAGGCTCAGGGCAGTGTCCTGTGGTCCTGACTGTGCCCTGGGTGCCTACCCATTCCCCGGCCAGGTGGGTGCTGTGTTGCAGCCGGGACTCAGAGGCCCACGTCCTGAGGGTTGGTGCAGTGCTGTTACTCAGCAGACAGGCAGGGCTGGCACAAGACCCTCCTGTCCTCTCTGCCAGAGGAGTGTGGGCCCTCACTCCTGGGCCCGTCCTGGGCCCGGGCCAGGCGCTCACCCCACCTAGCGTTGTCTCACCGGCACATGGGGGACCCCAGTCTGATGGGAAACGGACAGGTCAGTAGGACCCCAGGGTGGGCAGGCAAGGGGGATGAAGGGCCTCACGGTTCCCCCCGGCCCCCTAGATGCCTCTCGGAGCCTCCCTGACTTCACAGAGCTCGACCTCCAGGGCAAGGTGCTGCCTGAGGGCGTCGGGCCCGGGGACATCAAAGCCTTCCAGGTCCTGTACCGGGAACACTGTGAGGTAGGGTGGCCAGGTGGGCAGGCAAGTGGACGGGGACGCAGCCACGGGCATGGGAGGGCCATGCTGCCCCCCAGCCTCCCTGAGCATCCGCCTCTGCCACAGGCCATTGTCGACGTCATGGTGAACCTGCAGTTCACCCTGGTGGAGACGCTGTGGAAGACCTTCTGGAGGTACAACCTCAGCCAGCCCAGTGAGGCGCCACCGCTGGCTGTGTGAGTACTGCCCGGCGACTGTGGGAGGGAGAGGGGGGAGGAGGGCATGACCCGCAGGTGATTTTGATGGCCAGGGTTGGGGCACCTGCTTGTCCCCTGCAGTTTGTGGGGTACACATATCCTTGGCTGTGTGGAGTGTGTATAGCCACCCGACACTCAACAGTCGGGGGTGGAGTGCCTGACTAAGCCCAGGCATGGGGCAGGGCACCATCTTCTCCCTGGAGTGGCAGGTTCTGGAATCTGTTTGACCCCTGTATGGAGGGTAGGGCATAGGATCCCGTCCCACCCCTCGGGCCTGTGCCAACCAGACCCTGGGGATCTTTGGGAGGCAGGGGGTACTTACCTGGGGACGGGGGTACCTGTGCCCTTCTGACGCTGGGGGCAGGGCCACAGAGTGCCCCCAGTGACCCTGGGTTGGGGACAAGGTATACCTGTGCCTTCTGGCACTGGAGGCAAGACACAGAGTGCCCCACTGACCCTGGAGTGGGGGTAAGGGGGTACCTGTGCCTTCTGATGCTGGGGGTAGAACCACAGAGTACCCCAGTGACCCTGGGTCAGGGACAGGGGCTACCTGTTCCCTTCTGACGATGGGGGCAGGACCATAGAGTACCCCAGTGACCCGGGGTGGGGTGGGTGCCCGCAGACATGACGAGGCCGAGAAGCGACTGCCCAAAGCCATCCTGGTGCTCCTCTCCAAGTTCGAGCCCGTGCTCCAATGGACCAAGCACTGTGACAACGTGCTGTACCAGGGCCTGGTGGAAATCCTCATTCCCGACGTGCTGCGGCCCATCCCCAGTGAGTGCTCGGCCTGCTCGGCATCCCCTGCCCCACATACACCCGCCCTGCCCTGACCGACCCCCGCCACCGCCCACAGGTGCCTTGACCCAAGCGATCCGGAACTTTGCCAAGAGCCTGGAGAGCTGGCTCACCCACGCCATGGTCAACATCCCCGAGGAGATGCTGCGGGTGAAGGTGAGAGTGTGAGGGGGTCCCTTTCTCCTATCTCTGGGGCTTAGGCCTCCGTCTCCTCTGCTCCCCAGGGGCGGTAAAATTTGTCCCCACGCCTGTTCCAGGGATGATGCCTGTGGAGGAAGGGGAGACCTTCTCCGCCTCGGGGAGCACCCTGGGCATTGTCTTTATAAACCAGTGTCCTCAGGCACCCACTTCTGAAATGCAACCCCCTTTGTGGTGTTACTGTACTCAACACAGCATCTTTCAAAAATAAAAACCAACTGCAAATGTACAGTAGTTCCCTTTAGACAGCCTTGCTAGAAAGTGCTTCAGGTGTGCAGAAACAGATAAAACTTTTTAAGAAAGGCAACAACATCTATAAGGAAACATAATACTTGCCTTTTTCATCAAAAGATGCACATTCGCTGACTACTTAGATGTGAGGAATTTGATGGGATGTGGTTGGGAAAAACAAACAAACAAAAAAACCACCGCTGGGCACAGGGCAGGGACTGGGGCCTTTGGAGACAGTAGATGCCAGATCCAGGAGCAAACCCTTCAGAAGAAACAGCGAGACTCATGTATTCATGTATTCACACAACCTCCTTCTCAGTACACAGCAATGAACAAGATGGACAAAACCCCTGTCCTCTCCCAGAGCTGAGATTCCAGGGTACGAAAGAAAATGAGGCCGGGCGTAGTGGCTCATGCCTGTAATCCCAGCACTTTGGGAGGCGAGGCGGGCGGATCACTTGAGGTCAGGAGTTCAAGACCAGCCTGGCCAACATGGTGAAACCTTGTCTCTACTAAAAATACAAAAATTAGCCCGGCGTGGTGGTGTGCACCTATGATCCCAGCTACCCAGGAGGCTGAGGCACGAGAATCGCTTGAACCCACGAGGCGGAGGATGCAGTGAGCTGAGATCGCGCCACTGCACTCTAGCCTGGATAGAGAGAGATTCAGTGTCAAACAAAAAACAGAAAAAGAAAATGAAACGTGTTTATCAAAGCAGTGTTTGCCCTTTCTGTGCAGTGCCCTCCATATTATCTATTGTGTTCTTTCGTTTTTAAAAAAAAAAAAAAGGCCTTTCCTGGCACGGTGGCTCACTCCCAACATTTTGGGAGGCAAAGGCAGGAGGATCACTTGAAGCCAGAAGTTCGAGACCAGTCTGGGCAACATGGCGAGACCCTGTCTCAATAGTTATTTTAAAAAATATAAATAAATTTCAAAGAATATTGTGCCCTGGTCAGAACACAATAAATTGAATTTTGGGGGGCGCTTGTGAGTGGACACCCAAAGTTTGAAGGTCCCGATCCTTCTGTGTCCCAACAAAAGTAGCGAGGCACATCCCTCCTTTTTTAGGAAAAAGGAAACAGGCTTAGGGAGGTTGCAGCGGGGTGGGGCCAGGGCTGGCGGGCTGGGGTTCCTTGGAAGCAGCAAGCCCCTCAATCCCTGCACGCAGGTGGCCGCGGCTGGCGCCTTCGCGCAGACACTGCGGCGCTACACGTCGCTCAACCACCTGGCGCAGGCGGCGCGCGCTGTGCTGCAGAACACCGCACAGATCAACCAGATGCTGAGCGACCTCAACCGCGTGGACTTCGCCAACGTGCAGGTGAGCGCGGGGCGGGGCGGGGCGGGCGAATGAGGGGCAGCCTAACGGGGCGGGCCAGGCGGGGGTGACGGCGGCTGAGCCCCGGGCGCCCGCCCACCCTCTGTGCCCCAGGAGCAGGCCTCGTGGGTGTGCCGCTGCGAGGACCGCGTGGTGCAGCGGCTGGAGCAGGACTTCAAGGTGACGCTGCAGCAGCAGAACTCGCTGGAGCAGTGGGCGGCCTGGCTGGACGGCGTGGTGAGCCAGGTGCTCAAGCCCTACCAGGGCAGCGCCGGCTTCCCCAAGGCCGCCAAGCTCTTCCTCCTCAAGTGGTCCTTCTACAGGTGCGCGCGCGGCGGGATCGGGTCCGGGCGGCACCAGGGAAGGCCCCGCGTCCCTGGGGGTCTCAGGTGCTCTTCTACGACGACCCGAGCCTGCAGGCTGGGCGGGCAGGCTGGGGCCCTGGGCTCATGTGCCGGGAAGGCTGTGCGGGATCCAGCCTGAGTCACTGGGCTGGCGCGAGGCCCGGGCGCATCGCAGCGGGGAGGGGGAGAGGGGGTCGGGCCGGACGGGGCCTGACGGTCTCCTCTCCGTCTCCATCCCCAGCTCCATGGTGATCCGGGACCTGACCCTGCGCAGCGCCGCCAGCTTCGGTTCCTTCCACCTCATCCGGCTGCTCTACGACGAGTACATGTACTACCTGATCGAGCACCGCGTAGCCCAGGCCAAGGGCGAGACCCCCATCGCCGTCATGGGCGAGGTGCGCGAGGCGGGCCACTGGGGGCGCGGGCGGGGCGCCAGGCGGCGGGACCCTCACCCATTTTCTTCTCTTCTTCCTCCAGTTCGCCAATCTGGCCACCTCCCTGAACCCCCTGGACCCCGACAAAGGTAGGCGAGGCGTGTTCCCACCCAGGGCGCGGGTCCCGGGGGTGGCGGACAACGGAGGGGCTCGGGAGGAGGAGGAGCCCGGGGGCGTTGCCACCCCGCCCCGAGCCGGACTTGGTCCCTGTGTTCCAGACGAGGAGGAAGAAGAGGAGGAGGAGAGCGAGGACGAGCTGCCGCAGGACATCTCACTGGCGGCTGGCGGCGAGTCACCCGCGCTGGGCCCGGAGACCCTGGAGCCGCCGGCCAAGCTGGCGCGGACTGACGCGCGCGGCCTCTTCGTGCAGGCGCTGCCCTCCAGCTAAGCCCTTGGCCTCCCCGCCCCACCCGCCCCCGCCACCCCTCCACGCCAGGGTCCCTCAAAGCTTCTGTGGCTTCGTGGTCACTGCTCCAGCCTCAGCCAGGGCAGGGAGGGGGACTCCGAGACAGGGAAGACCGGGGCCCTCCTCCCTTATGGGGCCGGCACAATCAGTGGGCTGGGCGGAGCCGCAGCTGCAAACTCTGACACAAAAGACGTGCCTTAAGGAACCCGCCGCGTGCCCAGGTGCCCCGCGGGGCATCCAGCTCGGCCCCTTGGCCGCCCCCCTCCCAGGCCCCAGCGTCTTCTCCCCAGCCCCGTCCTCCCACCACCCCAGGGGGCAGGCAGGCAGGCCCCCTCCCGTGCGAAACTGTTAACTTATTCAGCTCGCTGGCTTTGCACAGCCTGTCCTGGGCCCAGCCCTGAGCCCCGGGCCGGCGCAGGTGGGCGTCACCTGGGGACTCCCCACTGTCAGCAGCAGCCCCGGGACACCCTACCCCCAGCAACCCCACTGCTTCCCCTTCTTGGTATTAAGTGCAATTAAAGCCGTGGGTGTCGCATCTTCTCCAGCGCTGGGCCCTCCCTTGCCCCCAAGCTCAAGAAGGGGGCACTGCCCGGCCCGGCTGTGAGGAGGGCGGCAGGGGGCACGGCCTCCAGCTTCCAAAGAGCAGCGAGCCGCGGAGCCGGGGAGTGCCCACAGACCCCAGCCCCCGCGCCCCCGCCCTCCGCCGCTGGTTTGTAATGGAACCTTTTCTGTGCCCCTATCTTCCCGGAGACCACGCTTCTCCTCCGTGCCGTGCGACCCCCACCCCATGACTATTGTGCGATTCGTGAGCGCCGCCCGAGCGGAGTTGGTAACTTGTTGGGTTTTTTTCCAACCATCATGGCCTTATCTGTTCCAGTTTTCTCAGTGTTTTCAGCCTGTGAGATAGATGTTTATGGCAAGAAAAAGGAAAAAAAAATGGAAATCTGACCTATTGTATAAAAATCACTATTTTGTGTGCTCCGCGTGCTATAGCTTTTGGGGCGGCCCTGCCCAGTCCCCGTGCCCACGGGGCTCCCTCTCCCGGTGGTGAAAGTGTCCACACGTGTGGTAGTCTAGTGTGCCGAGCTGTTTTCTACCTTTTTGTAGTCTTTCTTAAAACAATAAATTCCGCTGTGATATTTGCCTACTGCTGACTCGCCGGGCCTTGGTGGGGGCCTTGGGGCGGGGGCTCCAGCTGGGCCCCAAGCTGCAGTGACAGGACCTCAATGAGGTTCAGAAATTAAAACATTTATTACATGAAGAAGAACGGAATGGGGATGGCCAGGTTGCCGGCCTGGGTGGGGAGGCTGGGGGCGGGCAGGGCAGGGGGAATGGGGTCCATTCGACCTCCCCGAGGGCAACGTCCACAGCTGTAGCCGAGAAAAGGGCAAATGCACGAGGGGCCAGGCCCATGCCCAGCTCGGGGTGAAGGCGGGGCACTCAGGCTGGTGGGGCAGGGGGCGCCCTCTCTCTGCCCCTTCCCAACTTAAATAGGCATAAATAAAAAGCGTCCAGACCCTCAGGCCAACAGAGGCTGCCCTGCCCAGCCCCGTTCCGCAGGCTAACACTAGTGCCGGTCATCAGTCGGTGGGCCAGCCGGCCAGGAAGAGGCCACCCCAGGAAGGGGGCCGGTCCCAGGCCACGGAGGTAGTTGGAGTCAGTGTCCGGGGCGGCCTGGCCCTCACAGCACGATCCACGTATATCGCTCGCTGTCCGCCAGAACCTTCAGGGAGCACCCTACAGGGACAGGTGGAGACAAAGCATAGAGCCCCTGCCTGCCTGGCCCTGCGGCCACACCCTCCACCTGACTTGCTTCTGGCCCAGAAGGTTCCAGAAGGCAGGGACCCTGCTGAGTTGCCCTCCACCTCTAGCCTGCAGCTACCCAATAAATGTAGCGTGAATGAGTGACCAGCCAGGCCATGACTGGTGGGAGGCTCCCAGGCCCCACACTTTCAGGGCTGCTGAGCTGGGCCTGGCCTGGGCTGCCCTCTCCTCACCAGCCTTCCCACCCATTTCATCAGCGCTCAGGAATCAGCTCCTGGGTGAGGACAAGTGTTCCTGGTGACCCTGACCATCACGGGGTCACCGAGCCCCACCTTTGTGCAGCGCCTCATTGGTCATCCTGTTGACGTAGCGGCCGCTGCTCTCCGGCACCAGCCACTTCATGACCATGTCCACGCAGCTCTTGCGGTAGGAGCTCCAGACACTGCCGCTGCGGGGCCAGGGGGTGAGTGGCTCTCGTCGCCTTGGCCGCGCCCTGACCCTGCCCCCCAGCCCTGCCTCACCTGGTCTGCCCTTTGACCTCAGTCAGGTCGCCTACACTGACTGTCTCGAAGATCCCTGTGTTGAGGTCCCATGCCACCTTGAGGCTGGTGTGATAGGTCTTTGGTCTACAGTGGAGAGGGACATAGGACAAACGCTGGGACAGCCGGGCTCCTGAACCAGGCCCCAGGCTACCCTGAGGGCCTTTTGTCTTTGGAACAGCTATGGAGGGGCCCAGCCAGGTTGTGGCACAGGGAGAGCCTTCTCACGTCCCCACACCCCCACCGTGAAGTGTCTGCCAGTGGCCCCCCTAGTGGACAGAGAGGGCAGGATCCCCGCGCTCACCGGAGCTGGCCCTCCTCAGTGGGGGACGGGAAGGCCAGGAGCAGCAGGCCAATGTTGATGAGGACCTGGTTGGTTTCTGGGCAGACCTGGGGGTGGGGGTGGATGATGCCAACTGTTGAGGGCGACCCCAGAGTACAGGAGGCCCTGGGCCCACCCTGCCCGCCCTGGGCCCACCTCCAGAATGACGATGTCATAGTCGCTGAAAGAACAGAACTGATGGCCCCAGGTAGCGTCGTGGCGGATGACCTCATTGATAACATATTCGAAGTCTAGTGTGAGCTGCTCCACTGTCAGGTACTGGCCCTGCGGGTGAGTGGGTAGGCGCAGGGGACGGTGCCAACTGCCCCCCGGCAGCTCCCCGGGACTGTCCTTGGCCCGCCCACTGCCCACACCCACCTGGACAGCAGTCCGCTCCCGCATGGGCCGCAGGTTGCGGCCACGAAGATCAGTCACCACGAAGGGCAGGGAGATCTTGTCGTCCTCCAACTCTGGGGAGGCAGGAAGTGGGGGTGGGGTGGAGGGAGGCCAGGGGCCCCGTCTGGGCTGGCCTCTCCATCCCAGGCCCTGTCACATGCCTGCCCCCCGCTCACCATCCTCCGGCTCCGTCCCCTCTCCGGACTCCAGCACATAGTACAGCTTGGTGTAGTTGACATAGCCAGGCTCGGAGGCAGGTGCCTCCGAGGCAGGGGGGCTGTCCCGGGGTGCCGTCTCTCCACACAGGGCTAGGGGCTCAGAGTGCGCACGGCAGCGGCTGCCAGAGGGTCCTGGGCACAGGGCAGGCCGGGCTTCCTCAGGGACCCCGCCCTTGGCCTCTTTGGCCCGGCGGAAGATGTCAGCCACAAACTCCTTGGCTTTGGCAATGGCGGGCGAGGGCTCAGGAGACCCAGAAGAACGGGCTGGGGCCGCCTCAGGGCAGAAGCTGGGGAGGGCAGGGGGCAGCTCTGGGCTCTGGGGCTCAGGGGGGCTGGCAGGCGCCAGGGGGCAGGTGCTGTGGTCATACAGGATTTGGCAGAAACTCCTGTCACCTAAGAAGAGATGGGGGTGGAGAAGTGTCAGTCTGGGGTGCTCCCAGCCTCGCTCAGTGTCCCCAGGGGTTTTCAGAAACCCACCTTAAGGAGACACTTCTAGGAGACTTGGCTATGCTGAGATCAGTTTGAAACACCCAAAAGGGGAAAGACCTTTCTGCGCATGCACACCACGCATTCATGCGTGCAGACGTTCATTCAAACCCCTTTCTTAAGCTGTCTACTGAGCGCCCCACACTGAGGACACAGGAGTGAACCAGACAGACAGAACCCTGCCCTGAGGGAGACAACACTCTACAGCGTAGAGTGTTCACTACAGTAGCATCCAGCCTCCTAACATCTGCCACTCTGTCGAGGGACATCTTGTGATTTTCACTGGCGTTTCTCTGATATGGAAGACCTAAGGCAAAGCCCTCGGTCCTTCCTGACACAAGCCAGACCACTGCGGGCACACTTCATCGAATCAGGGCCTCTGTCTCTGCCTGCCTAGAGACGACTCCCCCAAGGAATGTGGGGAACACATGGAGAACCCCAACATATTCACTAAGCAACCCTGTGGCTGGGCCCCAACCCAGGTTTCCTCCAAGCCCCCTACAAGCAACCCCTAGAGAGGGGCCACATCCCCCAGAATGCAGCTCAGGGATAAACATGCCCAAGGTCACATCTGAGAAAAATCGAGTACGGGCTCCCCTCCACCACCGTGACAGCCCTCCCACAACAGGGCGGGGAACAGAAGGTGACAATGGCCAAGGAAGAAAGCACCCCTCTGTGTCGGCAGCTCCCACTGATGACCACGCCCTTTCCCTGGGCTGGTACAGAGCTGATAGTCCGCTGTGGTCGTTCCTAACAGGACCCACAGCCAAAAGGGCAGAGCGGCGTCAACCCTCGCAAGCTGGGGGGTTCATGGCCAAAAACCAAGTGGTCAAGCCTCAGCAAGAGACAGCGCCTCACCCTTCCTGGTATAGATTGGGGGTGAGGACAGAAAGCCCCAGATATGTCTGGGGACAGAGTGCCCTGGCCCCTGGCTTATTTGTGGGCTGCGTTATATACATTTAATCCTGCCCATTCCCCGACCGCCCCAGGGACAACCATTTCCATGAGGATTTAATGGACGTCTTTGCATCTGAGTTCTTGCAAAATTAAAACGTCTTTTTTTTTTGGAGATGGAGTCTTGCTGTCTCCCAGGCTGGAGTACATTGGCACAATCTCGGCTCACTGCAACCTCCGCCTCCCTCAGTCTCCTGAGTAGCTGGAATTATAAGCATGTGCCACCATGCCCAGCTAATTCTTATATTTTTACTAGAGATGGGGTTTCACCGTGTTGGCCACACTGGTCTTGAACTCCCTGATCTCATGTGATCCGCCTGCCTCAGCCTCCCAAAGTGCTGGGATTACAGGCATGAGCCACTGTGCCTGGCCTAAATCGTCTTTTTAATTTATATTAAGTGGTTCCAGTTATAGATTCCTTGTGTTTCACCCACATGTGCACGCATCTGACACATGCTCCATGGATGCACACACAGGGGCCTTCATTGGTGTTCCACAGATGCCCCCAACCCCTCGCCACCTCCTAAGTCGCTCCCCAATCCCCAGGGAGGGTTCTTCAGGTGGCCCCCAACTCCCCCTCAGCAGTCTTGGACATACGGACCCAGTGAGACTCTGCCAGAGGGAGAGACCCGGGCACAGGGCAGCTGGGTCAGTCATAGTCACAATTCTGTTGCCAAATGGCCCCCGGGGCCCCCTCCCTCCTGTTGCTGCCAGCCGGTGGCATGATCCAGCCTCCTGACATTTGTCACTGTCAAGGGACATCTTGTGATTCTCACTGGCATCTTTCCGATATCAAACATATAATGCCAAGTGCCTGCCCACTAACCACACCCTGAAATGTCACATTAGCGTTTCTCTTCTTAAGAGAAAGGGGCGCTACCCCGTCCAGCTAGCCAACTGTAGCTATTTCAGCTTAAAACAACTACAATTAAATCCATCACAGGCCAGACGCGGTGGCTCACGCCTGTCATCCCAACACTTTGGGAGGCCAAGGTGAGTGGATCACTTGAGGTCAGGAGTTTGAGACCAACCTGATCAACATGGTGAAATCCCATCTCTACTAAAAACACAAAAATTAGCTGGGTATGATGGCACAGGCCTGTAGTCCCAGCTTCTCGGGAGGCTGAGGCAGGAGAATTGCTTGAGCCTGGGAGGTTGCAGTGAGCCAAGATCGCACCACTGGACTCCAGTGGAAAAAAAAGTATCACAAGCTCAGTTCCTCAGTCACATGAGCCACATTCCAAGTGGCTGCTGGAGGCAGCCATGGTGGGACATCTCAGCCACTGGAAAGATCCCGTGGGCAGGGCTGTGGTGGGCGTGGCCACATTTGGACCGCAGCATTCCCACAACCAGGCTGTGTGACTTGGGGAAGTAGCTCCCACCTCTCTACGCCTGGGGCCCCTTGTCTGTGTGGTGGGGTAGGGAGAGGACCCGCTTCACGCGTTGCCGGGTGGCCACGAGACCGCAGGGCCTACCTGCCGAGTGGACGGAGACGGCGCAGGCCACCAGGGAGTAGCTGGTGTTGAGCAGCACCACCTGGTCCTTCTTGAGCTGGAAGGCGGGCTGGAAGGTGGGGAAGGGGTAGACCACCTGGTACTTGGTGTGCAGCATGAAGCCATGCCGTAGGCACTGTGCATTCGGGTCTCCTGTAGCAACACACGCCACAGCAGCTCACTCTCGGCCCGGAGCAAGGGGGGGAGGGGGGAAGAGGCCCTCGCCCCCTCGGCCCCCTCACCTGGGTGGGCTCGGCTGGCATCCTGGCAAGCAGCACAGCGGCCTGGCGGTGGCACGGCCACGGTGCTGACGTAGATGTCACGGTGGTTCTCGTCACTCATCATCATCATGTTCATGAGCATCCCGTTGGCCGAGCGGGTGCTGGGGGCCAGCATACCCTCAGCTGCCTGGTCGGCGCCTGGGGGGCCCCCACTGCACACCCCCTGCCCCAACCAGCCAAGGCTCCCCCAGGCGCCTGGTCTCACTTGAAGCCGAAGACGATGACCTTGGAGGCGTCGCTGGGCCACTCGCATACGGTCAGGTACAGGTCGCTGTAGATCTCCTCGTCCTGGAATAGCCGAACCTGCCGGACCTGTGAGGCACGTTCAGGGGCAGCACCGGGTCAGGGAAACTGCGGAGGTCCCCCGAAGCTGTACGATGCAGTCCCTCATCAGGGCTGGGGCTGAGCGGGTAGGAGCACCCCAACAGCACCCGCCACACCCCTCCACCTTGCCTGAGGACAGCCGTGGAGGCTCCTTTCACCAGTCGGGGAGACCAGGCCAGGGTGGGATGCAGCCGATGGGAACAATGTCCCGGGGGAGACTGCGCCAGGCACTGGTTCCAAGCCCAGCCTACCCTGAAGCCCGTTCAGCTCTCTGAGTTCACATGTATGCTGAGGTAACAGCACACCTCCTGGGGGGGTTCCAGGAGTCAAGGGTCAAGGCTAAAGCCAGGGTGGCCTGGTCCTAATAAAGCTAACTGGCCTGAGCCAACATGTTCTACAGCTTCATAGGGTGTGTTGAACCAAATGGAATTGCTGCTATTTACCCATTTTGAACCATAAAAATGGTAATTTCTTTTTCTTTTTTGAGACAGAGTCTTGCTCTGTAGACTGGAGTGCAGTGGTTCGATCTCGGCTCACTGCAACCTCCACCTCGCAGGTTCTAAGCGATTCTCCTGCCTCAGCCTCCGGAATAGCTGGGATTACAGACATGTGCCACCATGCCCGGCTAATTTTGTATTTTTAGTAGAGATGGGGTTTCACCATGTTGGCCAGGCTGGTCTTGAACTCCTGACCTCAGGTGATCCACCCACCTCGGGCTCCCAAAGTGCTGGGATTACAGGCGTGAGCCACTGTGGCCAGCCTTCATTTGTTTTGTTTTGTTTTGTTTTGTTTTAGAGACAGGGTCTCACTCTGTTGCCCAGGCTGGAGTGCAATGGTGTGATCATGGCTCACTGCAGCCTCAAACTCTTGGGCTCAGGTGATCCTCCTGCCTCAGCCTCCAGAGGAGCTGACTACAGGCACACGCCAATATGCCCAGCTAATTTTTTTTTATTTTTAGTAGAGACAGGGTTTTGCCATGTTGCCCAGCCTGGTCTTGAACTACTCGGACCAAGTGATCCTCCCGCCTTGGCCTCCCAAAGTGCTGGGATTACAGGTGTGAGCTACCATGCCAGGCCCTGGTAATTTCATATGGTTGGATCTAACACATGGAATCTTGATGATGACCCCAGGAGTACATGATGATCATTTTACACCCAAGGAACCTGAGGCTCAGAGGTTGCTGTGACCTGCTGAACCACACCATCTGAAGGGCCAGCCTGGTGTTGAAGCCTCCCTACCAGCTTGAGCTTGCTGTGAACGTTGAACTCCCACCAGTACAGATGGTAGATGTAGAAGGAGAAGTCGTCATCCCCACTGCTGCTGGTGTAGGAGAGGACGTAGCGGCCGCATTTGGAAAAGCCCAGGAAGATATGTCTGTGGGGGTGGAGGGGGCACAGCGGCCAGGTCAGGGCGAGCCCACCACTCCCGCCCACCTGCCCCCTTTGCCTGGGCCCAGCCTCACCCTGCATAGAGGAAGTCCTCATCCACAATGTTCTTGAGGGACACGCACACCCGGGGAGGCAGCTTCCGGAAGAGGCGAGGGGAGAGCTGTCCGCTGATCTGGGGAAGGGGTGGCCAGGGCACTTCAGGCACCATCTGCAGCCCCCAGCCCCCTCACCCACGGCAGAGAGGCAGAGCGGCTCTCACCGGGTCCAGACCGGCCCAGCCCACCATAATGGTCAAAAGAAGGCCAAGCTCTGGAAGGTGGGAACAACTGAGGCAGATGGGGACAGTAAAGCCAGATGGACCGCGCTTGAGCCTTCATCTCCACCAGGGACCCAGGCCACCTTCCCAGTTCCATACCTCTTCAGCCTCAGGTCCCTCTTGACTGAGCCCAGCGTCACCGCCCCCAAGAAAGTTCCCCAATCACCCTGTCCCACGCTGGGCCACCTGCTTCCCTCCCTGAAGGCTGTCCCTAAGCTGTGGGTATTTATCCTACTAAGGAGGCTGGGACAGAGTCCTGACCTGCACCCATCTGTTCCCAACCCACCAGCCTTCAAACAAGGGGGCTCCTCCTCCCCGGGGCAGCTCTGGCCTCTGCTGGGGGCCAGTCGAGGCAGATAGAAGGGTGAGCCTAACCAATGACCCAACGCCCCCTTCCCAATTAACTACCGCCTTCCAACGGAATCCAAGGGAATCCCTCATCCCCAAAACTTCACCGCGGAAGGATCTGCGGGGACTGACAGGCAGAAGCCAGGCACAGGGATATCCGAACAGCCTCAGTCTTGCTACCCAACTCTGCCTTCAAGACATTCCAATCTGATGGGAAGAGTCCTGTCTGGGAAGCTCCCTGTCTGATGGGAGACAGCCCTGTCCACATGGAGGTCTCAGTCTGACGGAGGAAACAGCCTGGCCAGCCAGGCCCAGGCCGACAGGGGAGACACAGTCCCTGCCCAAGGAGCTTCCAAGCTAAGGGCGGAACCACAGCCAAGCCCAGGGAGCTCCCAGGCTAAGGGCGGAGACTGTCCCAGCCCAGGGAGCTCCCAGTCAAAAGGGGGAGACACAGCACTGCCCTTACAAAGCTACCAGCCTCACGGAGAAGGCGCAGTCCCTGTCCACAGAGACACAGCCTTGCCCCAGTTACTGCCCACCTGCAAGAGATCCACATTTCTGCCCTCCAGAGCTCCCAAACTGATGGGGGAGAGAGACATCATCCCCCAGCTCTGGGAGTTTCCAGTCTGATGGAGGAGACAGAGCCTGCTTCGGTAACTCTCACTCTGCGGGGGAAGACTCAGCCCTATCCAGGGAGCTCCCACACTTTCAATGGGGAGGCCCACCCAGGTACTGGAACTCCCAGCTCATGTGTGGTCGGGGCTTGGGCAGGGAGAGGAACATCAGGCGGAGGAAGCCCAAAGCCAGCGGCAGGGGCTCTGCAAAGGGGGCGGGAAGGTTCCATTATGGAGCAACCATGGGAGCAGAGCTTTGAAAAGCCTGGATCGCCCCCTTCCTCCTGATTCTCCCTGCGGCCTCTGGGGTCGCCTCCCTCCGAGCCCCCTCCCTGGGGCCCCGCCCCCAACCCCCTCCATCCCAGCCCCTTTGCCGGTCACCCGACACAACCACCTGCATCCAGGCCCCCAACTGAGCCCCCTCCATCCAAGCCATCTCCCCCGGGCCCCGCCCAGGCCCTGCATCCGAGCCCCCTCCCCTGGGGCCCCGCCCCCAACCCCTCACCCCGCGAACGCCCTCCTCCCTCCGCCTCCCTCGTCCCTACTCCCCACCCTCCGGCGCGCTCCCCACTCCGGCTCCAGGCCTCACCTTGACCCGCTCCAGCTGCTTGAGGACGTGCTCCCGCCGCCGCCCTGCTGCCCGCTTCCCTCCGGCTCCCCCGGGGCCGCCGCCGCCGCTCCCAGCCCCGCTGTTCCGCTCCGATTTCGAGCTGGGCGCCATTTTCACCCCCTCCCTCCACTTCCGGAGCAACCGGCCCCTTCGCCCCACCCCTGCCGCCTCCTCATTGGTCCTTTTTCGGGACAGCGGCCCGCCGGTTGGGCGAAAGCCCGCACTCGCGCTATGCCTGTCCATCAAAGCCATCTCGACTCTTGATTGGTAGCGACAGTAACAGCCCCCGCGGCCCGTTGCCGTATTCCCGCCCCGCCTTAAGGACGTACCACTCGGAGGTCCCGTTTGTTCGCCCTGCCCAGATAACTTTGATCTGATAGGTGAATATCTCTGTCTGTCTCAACGGCGTCACGCCCCCTGTGGCTGGCGGGTTTCCATGGAGACCACAGGCGGTCCAGGCCCTTGGGCGGGGCGACGGGAGCCTGTGGTCCACCAAGGCTCGAGAATCCTCAGCCCCGGGCTGCCCGCGCCCGGTCCAGGTGGGCAAAGGCCTGACGAGCATACTTGGGCGGCAGAGCCAGGCCGAGGAAAGAGATTTACAAAAAAGGAAAAAACGATGGGATTCGATGAAAGCTTGTTTCCGATGGGCGGGTTGGTGGGATGATGGTGGTGATAATGATAGCATCAATCATGGATCGCTCCACATGTGACAGACACGGTTCTGAGCTTAAACAGTTCGATGTGGCAGGGCCCTGTTGTGCCAATTATGCAGATCATAGCAATAAAAATAATTGTTGAAGGTCCGCTCCGTGCATCATATTCGTATACATTACCTCATTTATTTTATTTTTTTAGACAGAGTCTCACTTTGTCACCCAGGCTGGAGTGCAGTGGCGTGATCACGGTTCACTGCAGCCTCGACCCCGGGCTCAGATGATCCTCTCACCTCAGCCTCTCATGTAGCTAGGACTACAGGCGTGCGCCACCACGCCTGCCTAATTTTTTGTATTTTTAGTAGAGACGAGGTTTCACTATGTTGGCCAGGCTGGTTGCGAACTCCTGACCTCAGGTGATCCGCCCGCCTAGGCCTCCCAAAGTGCTGGAATTACGGGCATAAGCCACCGCGCCCGGCCTAATTTTTTGTATTTTTTGTAGGGACGGAGTTTCACCAAGTTGTCCAGGCTGGTCTCCAACACCTGGGCTCAAGTGATCCTCCCACCTCTGCTTCCCAAAGTGTTGGGAGGACAGGTGTGAGCCCCCACCCCTGGCCAGCCCATTTAATCCTCTGAACAATCTAGAAGATAGTTTTTTTTTATTGTCTTCATTAAAAAAATTTTTTTTGTAGAGATGGGGTCTCACTATGTTGCCCAGGCTGCTCGAAAACTCCTGACCTCAAGGGATCATCCCGTCTTGGCCTCCCAAAGTGCTGGGATTACAGGCATAAACCACTGTGCCCAGCTGATTTCAAGGGTTTTAGGAGTTATGTACTAGAAAACCTAAGACCAAAATATGGTTTTTTAAAAATATATCACAACACAATATCACAACATATCTTTTTTTTTTTTTTTTTTTTTGAGATGGAGTTTTGCTCTTGTTGCCCAGGCTGGAGTGCAATGGCACAATCTCAACTCACTGCACCCTTCACCTCCCGGGTTCAAGCAAACGATTCTCCTGCCTCAGCCTCCCAAGTAGCTGGGATTACAGGCATGTGCCACCATGCCCGGCTAATCTTTGTATTTTTAGTAGAGACAGGGTTTCACTATGTTGGCTAGGCTGGTCTCAAACTCCTGACCTCAAGTGATCCACCCACCTCACCCTCCCAAAGTGCTGAGATTACAGGCGTGAGCCACTGCGCCCGGCCATCACAATGTATCTTTAGCCAAAGGTTCCCCTGCTTCTTGCATACCCTACGTCCATGGAGAGCAAAGCTGTCTCCAAGACAGTGGGGACACCTGGCAGCTACTGCCTTAACCAAGTGATCAAAATCAACATCACCAGTGATAAGTCATACTGACATCACGGACCCCAGCTATGTGATAGGGAGGACATTTGTAACTGTCTGATATTATCCCCAAACCTAGAACCTCAATCTAACCATTAGACAACATCAGACATTTATCCCAGATTGAAGAAGGTTCTCAAAATACATGACCAGGCCAGGTGCGGTGGCTCATGCCTGTAAGCCCAGCACTTTGGGAAGCAGAGGAGGGAGGATCACTTGAACCCACGAGATCAAGACCAGCCTGGGCAACATGGCGAAACCCTCATCTCTACAAAACATCAAAGAAATTCACTGACTCTACTGGCACACGCCTATAGTTTCAGCCACTCGGGAGGCTGAGGCAGAAAGATTACTTGAGCCCAGGAGGTCAAGGCTGCAGGGAGCTATGATGGTGCCACTGCACTCCAGCCTGGGAGACAGAGCGAGACCTTGTCTCAAATAAAAAACAAAACAAGGCCAGGCATGGTGGATCACGACTGTAATCCCAGCACTTTGGGAGGCTGAGGTGGGCAGATCACAAGGTCATGAGACTGAGACCATCCTGGCTAACACAGTGAAACCCCGTCTCTACTAAAAATACAGAAAATTAGCCGGGCCTGTAATCTCAGGTGGCACACGCCTGTAGTCCAGCTTCTCGGGAGGCTGAGGCAGGAGAATCACTTGAACCTGGGAGGTGGAGGTTTCAGTGAGTCGAGATCACGCCACTGCACTGCAGCCTGGGTGACAGAGCAAGACTCTCAAAAAAAAAATAAATAAATAATTTAGCGGAGTGTGGTGGCGTGAACCTACAGTCCCAGCTACGTAAGAGGCTGAGGTGGGAGGATCACCCGAGCCCTGGAGGCTACAGTGAGCGGAGATTGAGCCACTGCGCTCCAGCCTGGGCGACAGAGTGAGATCCTGTCTCAAAACAAAACCCAAAACCCAAAACCCAAAAAACATTAGAGGAAATTGAGTGAAGGGAATAAAAGAACTCTCTGTACCTTCTTTGCAGATCTGAAAATGTCTAATTTCAGGCTGGGCACAGTGGCTCACACCTGTAATCCCAGCATTTTGGGAGGCTGAGACAGGAAGATGGCTTGAGAAGAATTTGACCAGCCTCGGCAACTGTTAAGACCTCGTCTCTACAATGAAAAAACATTTTTTTTTCATTAGTCTGGTGTGTGGTAGCACGTCTGTAGTCCTATGTACGTGGGAGGCTGAGTCGGGAGGATCCCTTGTGCCCAGGAGTTTGAAATTACAGTGAGCTGTGATGGCGTCACTACATTCCAGCCTGGGTGACAGAGCAAGACCCTGTCTTTAATAATAATAATAATAAAATTACAAATAACAAAAATAAAATAATGTTGTTTCAAAATTCAAAGGGGCCAGGCACGGTGGCTCACATCTGTAATCCCAACACTTGGGGAGGCCAAGGCGGGCGGATCACTTGAGGACAGGGGTTCAAGACAAGCCTGGTCAACATGGTGAAATGCTGTCTCTACTAAAAATACAAAAATTAGCTGGGCTTGATGGTGGGCTCCTATGATCCCAGCTACTCAGGAGGCTGAGGCATGAGAATCGCTTGAACCCGGGAGGCAGAGGTTTCAGTGACACAGAGCGTGACTCTGTGTCAATAAATAAACACATAAATAAACTCTAAGTTTTTAAAAGAGCATGGGGGAGGATTTTTTTTTTTTTTTCTGAGACAGAGTCTCACTCTGTCACCCAGGCTGGAGGACTGTGGCACCATCTTGGCTCACTGCAACCTCCTCCCAGGTTCAAGTGATTCTCCTGCCTCAGCCTCCCAAGTAGCTGGGACTACAGGCGCCTGCCACCATGCCTGGCTTTTTTTTTTTTTTTTTTTTTTTGTAGAGGCAGGGTTTCACCATGTTAGCCAGGACGGTCAGGATGGTCTTGATCTCCTGACCTCGTGATCCTCCCACCTTGGCTTCCCAAAGCGCTGGGATTACAGGCGTGAGCCACCACACCCGGCCAGGAGGATGTTATTATGACTGCTATGTGCAGAATGGTCTTGGGGGATGAGGATGGGGGCAGGAATAGTCTTGGGGGAGCCAGGAGGGTAGGTGATGCTGACTTAGATTAATCTACTAGCATTGAAAATGGAGAATACGGCCGGGCATGGTGGCTCACACCTGTAATCCCAGTACTTTGGGAGGCTGAGGCAGGTGGATCAGGAGGTCAGGAGATCGAGACCATCCTGGCTAAACATGGTGAAACCCCGTCTCTACTAAAAATACAAAAAAAAAAAAAAAAATTAGCCGGGCGTGGTGGCGGGCGCCTGTAGTCCCAGCTACTCAGGAGGCTGAGGCAGGAGAATGGCATGAACCTGGGAGGCAGAGAGCTTGCAGTGAGCCGAGATTGCGCCACTGCACTCCAACCTGGGCGACTGATCAAGACTCCGTCTCAAAAAAAAAAAAAGAAAAGAAAAGAAAAGAAAATGGAGAATATTGGCCGTGGTGGCTCACGCCTGTAATCTCAGTGCTTTGGAAGACCAAGGCAGGAGATGGCTTGAGTGGGAGGATTGCTTAAAGTCTCCCTTGATCCCCGGAGACCAACCTGGGCAACATAGTGAGATCCCATCTCTATAAAAATTTTAGAAATTAGCATGAGGGCCTGAGCCTGTACTCCCAGCTACTTGGGAGGCTGAGGTGAGAGGATCGCTTGAGCCCAGGAGTTCAAGGCTGCAAGTGAGCCATGATCGCACCACTGCACTTCAGCCTGGGCAACAGAATGAGACGCTGTCTCAGAAATAATAATAAAAATAAAGAAAGAAAATGGAGAAAAGTGGCCATAGTCAGAGCCGATGGGGTCATTTTCAAGGACAAGATATTGGGATAGGGGCAAGGAGAGAGAAGTTAATGATGACTTTAGCATCTGAGTGGAATATTTAGCAAAATGTTAGTGCCATTTTTTGATATGAGGAAGACTAGGGAGAAGTCAGTTTGGCCCAAGTCAGTTGAATACGTACATGGGACAAACAGACTGTTTTTCCTTCTATATCACATCACTCTCAATCCTTCGCTTCTGACACCAGATGATGGGGCAGCTTCTCCCAAATCAAGTAATTCCCCAATTCTTGGTGGACACCAACATGATGTCCTGCAATTTACCTCAATTCTTTTTTTTTTCTTTTTTTTTTTGAGGTGGAGTTTTGCTCTTGTCACCCAGGCTGGAGTGCAATGGTGCGATCTCAGCTCACTGCAACCTCCGTCTCCCGGGTTCAAGTGATTCTCCTGCGTCAGCCTCCCAAATAGCTGGCATTACAGGCATGCACCACCAGGCCCAGCTAATTTTTGTATTTTCAGTAGAGACGGGGTTTCGCCATGTTGACCAGGCTGGTCTTGAGCTCCTGGCCTCAGGTGATCCACCTGCCTTGGCCTCCTAAAGTGCTGGGATTACAGGCATGAGCCACCATGGCCAGCCTTTTTTTTTTTTTTTTTTTTTTTTTTTTCTGAGATGGAGTCTTGCTCTTTCACCCAGGCTAGAGTGCAGTGGTGCAATCTTGGCTCACTGAAACCTCCGCCTACAACAATTATTATAAAGGTGTTTTTATGGTGTTTTTTTTTTGTTTTTTTGTGTTTTTTTTTTTTTGAGACAGGCTGGAGTGCAGTGGTGTGATCATAGCTCACTGTAGCCTCGACCTCCCAGCCTCACGCAATTCTCCCACCTCAGCCTCCCGAGTAGCTGGGACTACAAGTGCGTACCACCACGGCCAGCTAATTTTTGTGTTTTTAGTAGAGAAGGGGTTTCACCATGTTAGCCAGGATGGTCTTGATCTCCTGACCTCGTGATCCGCCCACCTCGGCCTCCCAAAGTGCTGGAATTACAGGCGTGAGCCACTGCACCTAGCCAAGATTTCCCATATTTCTGATCGTTCGTCACTTGGACTCTCCCTTAATACGTATATGTATTTGTTTACAAATAACCCAACTATACAGGTGCATTTAGACCACTCTTTCTAGCCTGTGAATTAAATCATACCTGGAAAAGGGCCATAAAACAGGATGGGGCAGGTAAATAGAACTAGAAATTATGATTCATTTCCCACACCCAACTTTGGAGACCAGTGGCTTTGAACACAGAAAGCCTTGGGCTCAATTTTCCTTGTGGTCCTAACTCCTCATTGCTTCCTTTTTACAGGTCATCCCACTTTTATGCAGTAGTGATAGAAACTCAATTTTTTTTTTTTTCCAAGACAGAGTTTTGCTCTGTCACCCAGGCTGGAGTGTAATGGCTCGATCTTGGCTCACTGCAACCTCTGCCTCCCAGGTTCAAGCAATTCTCCTGCCTCAGCCTCCCAAGTAAGCTGGGATTACGGGTACCCACCACCACGTCTGGCTAATTTTTGTATTTTTAGTAGAGACGGGTTTCATCATGTTGGCCAGGCTGGTCTCAAACTCCTTACCTCGTGATCCGCCCACCTCGGCCTCCCAAAGTGCTAGGATTACAGGCATGAGCCACTGTACCCAGCCAAGAAACTCCATTTTTATCTGAACATGTGGCTTCCCAGTAGAAAGATGGTGTTTCTCATCCTCCCTTGAAGTTAGCAGTGTGTATCCACCATTTCCTTTCTTTTCTTTTTTAGAAACAGGGTCTTGCTCTGTTGCCCAAGTTGGAGTGCAGTGGCACTCCACCCAGGCTCAAGCAGTCTTCCCACTTCAGCCTCCCAAGGAGCTGGAACTACACGCATGCACCACTGTGCCCAGCTAATTAAAAAGTTTGTTTTTTTTTTTTTAATGGAGTCTCGCTCTGTCGCCCAGGCTGGAGTGCAATGGTGTGATCTCGGCTTACTGCAACCTCTGCCTCCCAGGTTCAAGCGATTCTCCTGCCTCTACAACACCAGGTGCAGTGGCTTACGCCTGTAATCCCAACACTTTGGGAGGCTGAGGTGGGTGGATCACAAGGTGAGGAGTTCAAGACCAGCTTGGCCAAGATGGTGAAACCGTGTCTCTACTAAAAATACAAAAATTAGCTGGGCGCAGTGGCAGGCACCTGTAATTCCAACTACTCAGGAGGCTGAGGCAGGAGAATCACTTGAACTCGGGGGATAGAGGTTGCAGTGAGCCGAGATCATGCCACTGCACTCCAGCCTGGGCAGCAGAGTGAGACTCCATTTCAAAAAAAAAAATTGTAGAGACAGGGTCTCACTTTGTTTCTCAGGCTGGTCTTGAACTCCCGGGCTCATGCAATCCTTCCACCTCCACCTCCCAAAGTGCTGGGATTACAACCGTGAGCCACCTTGCCCAACCTAATTTTCTGAATTTTTTTTTTTTTTAGAGATGAGGGTCTCACTATGTTGCCCAGGCTGGTTTTGAACTCTTGTCCTCAAGTGTTCCTCCTGCCTCAGGCTCCTGAGTAGCTAGGATTACAGGTGTGAGCCACTGCACCCTGCTCAACTTTTTTGCTATTTAATTCAACAGATGTACAGGGCACAGTGGTGCATGCCCATGGCCCCAACTATTCAGGAGTATTGCTTGAGCCTGGGAGTTGGAGTTCAGACTGGGAAACATAGCGAGCTCCTGTCTCTTAAAAAACAAAATAAAACAGGCCGAGTGTGGTGGCTCATGCCTGTAACCTCAGCCCTTTGGGAGGCCAAGGTGGGTGGATCACCTGAGATCAGGAGTTCAAGACCAGCCTGACCAATATGGTAAAATCCTGTCTGTAATAAAAATACAAAAATTAGCCAAGCATGGTGGTGTACACCTGTAGTCTTAGCTACTGGGAAGACTGAGACAGAAGAATTGCTTGAACCCAGGAGGCAGAGGTCGCAGTGAGCCGAGATCGTGCCACTGGACTCCAGCCTGGGTGACAGAGTGAGACTCCCTCTCAAAAAAACCCCAAAACAAACAAAAAAAAAACCCCAAACAGGCCAGGAGTAGTGGCTCACATCTGTAATCCAGTACTTTGGAAGGCCAAGGCGGGCGGATCATTGAGGTCAGGAGTTTGAAACCAGCCTGGCCAACTTGGCAAAACCTGTCTCTATTAAAAATACAAAAATTAGCCAGGCATCATGGCCTGCACCTGTAGTCCCAGCTACTCGGGAGGCTGAGACACGAGAATCGCTTGAACCCAGGGATCGGAGGCTGCAGTAAGCAAAGATCCCGCCACTGCACTCCAGCCTGGGCAACAGAGAGACTTTGTCTCAAAATAAACAAATAGGGCCAGGTGTGGTGGCTCACGCCTGTAATCCCAGCACTTTGGGAGGCCAAGGCAGGCAGATCATGAGGTCAGGAGATCAAGACCATCCTGGCTAACACGGTGAAACCCTGTCTCTACTAAAAATACAAAAAAATTTAGCCAGGCATGGTGGCGGGTGCCTGTAGTCCCAGCTACCCGGGAGGCTGAGGCAGGAGAAGGTGTGAACCCGGGAGGCGGAGCTTGCAGTGAGCCGCCGAGATTGCGCCACTGCACTCCAGCCTGGGTGACAGAGCGAGACTCTGTCAAAAAAATTAATTAATTAATTAATTTAATAAATAAAACAAAACAAAAACAGATGTACAAGGATATCCAGTGGCAAGCCTCTCTTTGCCCCCAGCCACAAGCATTCAGGTCTCCCCCCAGAGCTAGCCAATATGTATGTTTTAATATATGGAAATGATCTACATTGTTAGCATCATTCTGCAATTTTTTTTCCCACAAGATTATCTCTACCCAGGTAAATCCATGTCGTGGTTTGAATGGTGTCCCTCAAATAGATAGGTAGATGTCCTGTCTCCCCGATGCCGTGAATGTGACCTGATTTGGAAAACAGGTCTTTGCGATGTAATTCAGTTAAGGATCTTGAGATGAGATTATCCCAGATTAACTGAGTGGACCCTGAATCCAAAGACCAGTGTCTTTATAAAAGACAGGAGAGGAGAGGCTGGGCGCGGTGGCTCACGCCTGTAATCCCAGCACTTTGGGAGGCTGAGGCAGGTGGATCATGAGGTCAGGAGATCGAAACCATCCTGGCTAACATGATGAAACACCGTCTCTACTAAAAACACAAAAAAATTAGCCGGGCGTGGTGGCATGCACCTTTAGTCCCAGCTAATTGGGAGGCTGAGGCAGGAGAATGGCCTGAACCCAGGAGGCAGAGCTTGCAGTGAATCAAGATCACACCACTGCACTCCAGCCTGAGCAACAGAGCGAGACTCCATCTCAAAAATAAATAAATAAAGACAGGAGAGGAGAAACAGGCTCAGTGAAGAAGGCCACGTGGAAACTGAGGCAGAGATTAGGGTGATGCAGCCACAAGCCAGGAAACACCAAGTTGCCTGGAACCACTTCCAGCCTCCAGAACTGTGAATGCATTCCTTTTCTTTCTTTCTTTTTTCTTCTTTTTTTTTTTGGAGTTTCACTCTCGTTGCCCAGGCTGGAGTGCAATGGCGCGATCTCAGCTCACCACAACTTCTGCCTCCCAGGTTCAAGTGATTCTTCTGCCTCAGCCTCCTGAGTAGCTGGGATTACAGGCATGTGCCACCATGCCTGGCTAATTTTGTATTTTTAGTAGAGACGGGGTTTATCCATGTTTGTCAGGCTGGTCTCAAACTCCCGACCTCAGGTGATCCGCCTGCCTCAGCCTCCCAAAGTGCTGGGATTACAGCATGAGACACCGTGCCTGGCCCTTTCTGTCTTTTTTTAGAGAGAGTCTTGCTCTGTCACCCAGGCTGGAGTGCAGTGGTGTGATCGCGGCTCACTGCAACCTGTGCCTCCTGAGCTCAAGCGATTCTCCTGCCTCAGCCTCCTGAGTAGCTGGGATTACAGGTGTGCACCACCATACACAGCTAATTTTTTTTGTTGTTTTTTTTTGTATTTTTTAGTAGACATGGGGTTTCACCATGTTGGCCAGGCTGGTCTCAAACTCCCAACCTCACATGATCTGCCCGTCTCTGCCTCCCAAAGTGCTGGGATTACAGGTGTGAGCCACAGGGGCGCACAGCCAATCCTATGTGCATTCTGTAAATATTTACTAAATACTGATTATACCAGGCTCCATGCTGGACACTGGGGCCACATTGATGGACCATACTCCATTGTTATCCCTGCAGAGGCCCCTGCTGGGTAATGCAGAACTGGGCAGGACCAGGCAGGACTGGACAGGACAGTGTGGCAGAAGGGGAGTTTGTTGCAGGAAGATAAGGCCAGTGGGTTATTTACAGGAACAATGGTTAGGTTCCTAGCCAATCAGCACATTCCATCCCTCTGGCCCCAGGGATTGGCTCTGGATGGACATGTGACCAAATTTAGGCCAATGAGATTTAAGTCTGAGGCTTTCTACTAAAGCCAGGGAAGAATGCTTATTGGTTCTGGGAATGTCTTAGCACCACATACAGAAGCCTGCAAGTAGAGTTCAGAGTTCAAGAGAGAATTCATCTAGAAGAGATCACTGGAGCCCCTGGATCCAGCTGTGCCTGAAGGATACAGGTTTTCTGTTCATGAGCCAGTAAATGCCCTTGTTTGTATTAGCTAGTTCAGTTTGGGTTCTCCTTCCTTTGCAATGGAAAGAGGCTTGCCCGGAACTCAAACATCTTGGTTCTTATTGCTGCTTCCCTGGGGGCTAGGACTGCTACAGTAGTCCTGTCTCCCTAGGGTTAGCCCCATTACACTGCTGAAGAGACTGAGGAACTTCCACCCAATGTCCAAGCTAATGGCCATCCATCCCATGGGGAGTACTTGAGATAGGAGCTGTTGTTCTCTTCTGGCCTAAACTAAGACCCGTCTCCTGTCTCACCCCATGAAGAGAGACCCTCAGGAGGTCACACAGCCCTAGGAAACATGAACAGATAACCACCTCTCTTGGCCCATGTTTCTTAACTTTTTTTTCTTTGAGATGGAGTCTTGCACTGTCGCCCAGGCTGGAGTGCAGTGATGCAATCTCGGCTCACTGCAACCTCCACCTCCCAGGTTCAAGAAATTCTCCTGCCTCAGCCTCCCAAGTAGCTGGGATTATAGGTGCCTGCCACCATGCCTGGCTAATTTTTTTGTATTTTTAGTAGAGACGGGGTTTCACCTTGTTGGCCAGGATGGTCTCGAACTCCTGACCTTAGGTGATCTGCCCACCTCAGCCTCCCAAAGTGCTGGAATTACAGGCGTGGGCCACTGCGCCCAGCCACTGTTTCTTGATCACTTCCTCCCTCCCCTGTATCACTGCCTGCCTTCTCTGGAATAAATGCACTCAATCCTTGTCTCAAGCTCTGCTTCTGGGAGACTCCAACTCCTGGCCTTGGCCACTCCCAAGCTGAGCAGACGCTATACTTTTTTTTTTTTTTTTTTTTTGAGACGGAGTCTCACTGTTACCCAGCCTGGAGTGCAGTGGTGTGATCTCGGCTCACTGCAGCCTCCAGCTCTCAGGTTCAAGCAATTCTCCTGCATTAGCCTCCTGAGTAGCTGGGATTACAGGCATGCACCACCGTGCCCAGGAAATTTTTGTATTTTTAGTAGAGACTGGGTTTCACCATGTTGGCCAGGTTGGTTTCAAACTCCTGACCTCAGGTGATCCACCTGCCTTGGCCTCCCAAAGTGCTGGGATTACAGGTGTGAGCCACCGTCCTTGGCCGACACTATACTTTTATTTTTATTTATTCATTCATTTTTGAGACAGGGTCTCACTCTGTCATCCAGGCTGGTGTACAGTAGCATGAACACGGCTCACTGCAGCTTCAACCTCCTGGGTTCATGTGATCCTCCCACTTCAGCCTCCCTGGTAGCTGGGACTACAGGCAACACCACCATGCCCCGCTAAGTTTTGTTTTGTTTGAGACAGAGTCTCGCACCATAGCCCAGACTGGAGTGCAGTAGCACAATCTCTGCTCACTGCAACCTCTGCCTCCCAAGTTCAAGCCATTTTCCTGCCTCAGCCTCCCAAGTAGCTGGGATTACAGGCACATGCCACCACACCCAGCTAATTTTTGTATTTTTTAGTAGAGACAGGGTTTCGCCATGTTGGCCAGGCTGGTCTCGAACTCCTGACCTCAGCTGATCTGCCCACCTCGGCCTCCCAAAGTGCTGGGATTACAGGTGTGAGCTACCGCGCCTGGCCCCCGCTAAGTTTTTTTTTTTTTTTTTTTTTGAGACGGAGTCTTGCTCTGTCACCCAGGCTGGAGTACAGTGGCGTGATCTCGGCTCACTGCAACCTCCGCCTCCCTGGTTCTAGTGATTCTCCTGCCTCAGGCTCCTGAGTAGCTGGGACTACAGGCGCGCACCACCACACCCAGCTAATTTTTTGTATTTTTAGTAGAGATGGGGTTTCACAGTGTTAGCCAGGATGGTCTCGATCTCTTGACCTTGTGATCCACCTGCCTCGGCCTCCCAAAGTGCTGGGATTACAGGTGTGAGCCACCGCGCCTGGCCCCCCACAAAGTTTTTAAAAAATTTTTTTAGAGACGGGGGTCTCACCATTATTGACCAGGCTGGTCTCAAACTCCTGGGCTTAGAGCCATCCTCCTGCCTCAGCCTCCAAAAGTGTTGGGATTACAGGCATGAGCCACCACACCCAGCCACCATTCTTAAAATGTTCTACCCACTGCCTCGTTCTGCTTCAAGACAGCTCTTTGAGGGGGGGGGTTTGTCATCCCCCCACTTTTTTTTTCTTTATTTAATAACAGGGTTTTATTCTGTTGCCCAGAGTGGCGTGCAGTGGCACATAGCTCATTGTAACCTCAAACTTGAGCCCAGAGGCTCAAGTGTTCCTCCTGCCTTGGCCTCCTGAGTACCTGGGACTGTGGGTGTGCACCACCATACCAGGTTAGTTATTATTATTATTATTATTATTGAAACAGAGTTTTGCTCTGTTGCCCAGGCTGGAGTGCAGTGATGTGATCTCCACTTCCCAGGTTCAAGCGATTCTCGTGCCTCAGCCTCTGGAGTAGCTGGGATTACAGGCACGTGCCATCATGCCCAGCTAATTTTTGTATTTTTAGTAGACAGGATTTCACCATGTTGGGCTCGATGCTCTGGAACTCCTGACCTCAGGTGATCCGCCTGCCTAAGCCTCCCAAAGTGCTGGGATTACAGGTGTGAGCCATGGAGCCCAGCCCAGGCTAATTTTTTTTTAAATTTATTTTTAGAGACAGGGTCTCACTATATTGCCCAGTCTGGTCTCAAATTCCTGGCCTCAAGAGATCCTTCTAGCCAGATGTGGTGGCTCATGCCTGTAATCCGAGCACTTTGGGAGGCCAAGGTGGGCAAATCACCTGAGGTCAGGAGTTCGAGACCAGCCTGGCCAACTTGGCGAAACCCTGTCTGTACTAAAAATACAAAAATTAGCTGGGCATGGTGGGAGGCGCCTGTAATCCCAGCTACTTGGGAGGCTGAGGCGGGAGAATCACTTGAACCCCGGAGGTGGAGGTTGCAGTGAGCCGAGATCACGCCACTGCCCTCCAGCCTAGGCGACAGAGTGACAGAGTGAGACTCTGTCTCAAAAAACAAAAGAGAGATCCTCCTGTCTCAGCTTCCCAAAGCACTGGGATTACAGGTATAAACCCCAGCACCCAGCCTGTCAATCCCATTTTATGTGTGGGAAAGCTGAGGTCTGGGCAGGAGAAGGACCTGTCTGAAGCCGCCCTGTTGGTAAGTTGTGGGTCTGGGAGAATTGACCTCATGTGGAGACCAGCTTGTCACCCCCATCCACGGGTGCCAAAGCCCTGGGATATGCCAGGCACTGTTCTGAATGCACACTTCGTATAATCCTTACAACACTGTGGGGGAGTGTGGGGTGGTGAGCCAACCATTACCCCAGAAAGGGAAACCAAGGCCCTGAGAGGTGGCACAGCCCAGGTTCAAACCCAGGCAGGCTGGCACCAAGCTCACACTCTTAACCACCAGGCTGATGCCTGGATATATGTAATTTCCTTCCAGGCGGCTGTGGCCATTTGCGGGGGGAGGAGGGGGCGGGTGTCTGGAGCAAGACCAGCCAGCAGAGGGGAGGTGGGTGCCGGGCAGCAGACCTGGTCAGGAGCTCCCAGGCTGGCATCTGGGCTGCCAGGCTAAGCTCAGGCCTCCCTAATCCCTCGCTGCTGCCCGCCCCTGCTTCTCGGAACTCTCCTGTGCCCCGAAGCTCCCCCCATCCCTCCATCCCCACCCCTACTCCTGCGGTCGTCCCAAATACCAGACAGGACGAATCTCAGCTTTTCCCCAAACATTCCTTGTTCTTGTGGCCCGGCCCAGGCTGGCTGAGGTTACGAAAGCAGAGATGGGGTGGTTGTTGGGGGGGACCAAGGGGACGGGCTGGCCTGTCCTCACCACCCCATCCGGCCGCCTGCCCGTCCTCCCCAGGGCGGGGAAGGGGGTGGGCCAGCTCCCCCAAAGCCCCGGGAGAACAGGCTGTTGTGGGGGGTGGCATGGGTCTGGAGATGGGGGGCGGTGGTGGCCACAGCAGAGGCTCCAGGAGGTGACCGCCTGGTTTCCATTAGGAAGTCCTGGTCAGCAGCTTGGGCGAGATGGCAGAGTCAGGGCTGGCCATGGTAAGGTGGGGCACGGGAGGGTCTGAGGGTGGGGCCTGCCTGCCCCCCCACCCCTGCTCTGCCAACTGGCCACTGCCTCCCCACCAAGACCCTCCCCGAGGAGGGGATGCTCCAGTCACCATGGCGACCCTGCGCCCAGCCTGGAGACACGCTGACCCTCCCTCCCCCGCAGTGGCCGAGCCTGCTGCTGCTCCTGCTGTTGCCGGGGCCCCCGCCCGTCGCCGGCTTGGAAGACGCTGCCTTCCCCCACCTGGGGGAGAGCTTGCAGCCCCTGCCCCGGGCCTGTCCCCTGCGCTGCTCCTGCCCCCGAGTCGACACTGTGGACTGTGATGGCTTGGACCTTCGAGTGTTCCCGGACAACATCACCAGAGCCGCTCAGCACCTCTCCCTGCAGGTGGGGCCCACGGAGGGGAGTGGGGGCATGCAGGGCTGAGACCCAGTGGTGAGGGGAGCTGGAGGGGTGCCCCAGAGCTGAGGAGCGTGGTGGGGTATAGGAACACACTTGCAGGAGGGCGGTGCAGAGCAGGCTGTGATGGAGCTTTGCCTTGGCAGATTGGCTCTGCATGCCCAAGATGAGAGGGGTGAGCGTGGACATGCTGGAAGTTGTCGGGGACTGAGGATTAGTGGTGTTAGGGTCAACATCTTGGCGGTTATAGTGTTGTTTGGAGTTAGTGTGATGGGGAGTTTGGGGTTATGGGGATGTTGTGGCGTGTGGGGTTGATGGTGGGGGTGATGGCACATTTGGGGTCGATTGTGGGGGTGATGGCGCATTTGGGGTCAATTGTGGGGGTGATGTCGCATTGTGGTCGATTGTGGGGGTGATGGCGCATTTGGGGTCGATTGCGGGGGTGATGGCGCATTTGGGGTCGATTGCGGGGGTGTTGGGGCATGTGGGGTTGATTGCGGGGGTGATGGCACATTTGGGGTCGATTGCGGGGGTGTTGGGGCATGTGGGGTTGATTGCGGGGGTGATGGCACATTTGGGGTCGATTGCGGGGGTGTTGGGGCATGTGGGGTTGATTGCGGGGGTGATGGCACATTTGGGGTCGATTGCGGGGGTGTTGTGGCATGTGGGGTTGATTGCGGGGGTGATGGCGCATTTGGGGTCGATTGTGGGGGTGTTGTGGCATGTGGGGTTGATTGCGGGGGTGATGGCGCATTTGGGGTCGATTGTGGGGGTGTTGTGGCATGTGGGGTTGATTGCGGGGGTGATGGCGCATTTGGGGTCGATTGTGGGGGTGTTGTGGCATGTGGGGTTGATTGCGGGGGTGATGGCGCATTTGGGGTCGATTGTGGGGGTGTTGGGGCATTTGGGGTCGATTGTGGGGGTGATGGTGCATTTGGGGGTGATTGTGGGGGTGATGGCACATTTGGGGTTGATTGTGGGGGTGTTGAGGAATTTGGGGTCGATTGTGGGGGTGATGGTGCATTTGGGGTCGGTTGTGGGGGTGATGGCACATTTGGGTTGATTGTGGGGGTGTTGGGGGAATTGGGGTCGATTGTGGGGGTGATGGCACATTTGGGGTCGATTGTGGGGGTTTGGGGTTTGACATCTTGGCAGTTATAAGACTGGGTCAGAGTGATGGGGTGTTTGGGATTAACTGTGGGGGTGATGATGGTATGGGGCTGGTTTGGGCTGATGGGAAGTTGAGAATCAGTGCTTGGGGTCACTTGGTCACGGGGTCACGGGTGTGAACACCCCAACTCTCACCCTGCAGAACAACCAGCTCCAGGAACTCCCCTACAATGAGCTGTCCCGCCTCAGTGGCCTGCGAACCCTCAACCTCCACAACAACCTCATCTCCTCCGAAGGTGAGGGGGCAGAGGGAGGCGGCCTCTCTGGGGCTGTAGGACTGACCGAGGTCTCAGCTGCCATCCCCCTCCCCCGCCCCATCTGCGGGCAGCTCTGTGGCAGTTCCCAGAACTGCCCTTTGCTGAGCAGGATGGAAACTCAGGAGCTGGGGTGGGGGTTGGGGGCTGTGGCTTTTGAGTAGGGATGGGGAGGAGGGGATCTGAGGGCCTGGGGAGCCTCTGCCAGTTCCCCGGCCGAGAGTCCTGGGGCAGCTGGGAGCCCAGACTCCCCCTCCACCCAAGACAGGCCTGGGGTCCCTTCACTGCCCCCCTACTCTCCCAGGCCTGCCTGACGAGGCCTTCGAGTCCCTCACCCAGCTGCAGCACCTCTGCGTGGCTCACAACAAGGTGAGCCCCCAGCCCCACCCGCAGGCCGAGCCCAGTGAGGGTGCAGCTTCAGTCACTCAGCCCAGGGTGTGGAGGGGACAGCTCTGCTGGGGAAGTGGTGGGGCCAAGGCGCACCAGGACCAGTCCGGCTGTGGGCTGTGTCCCCACAGCTCTCAGTGGCCCCTCAGTTTCTGCCCCGGTCCCTCCGTGTCGCGGATCTGGCTGCCAACCAAGTGATGGAGATCTTCCCCCTCACCTTTGGGGAGAAGCCGGCACTCAGGTAGACCCTGGCCCAGCCCAGGCCCCCAGGCCTCAGATACATCTGTGTCATGCCCCGGTTCTAGGAGCAATGAGGGAGTTAAGACCTTGCCCTCGGCCGGGTGCAGTGGCTCACTCCTGTAATCCTAGCACTTTGGGAGGCCAAGGTGGGAGGATCATCTGGGGTCAGGAGTTCGAGACCAGCCTGGCCAACATGATGAAACCCTGTCTCTACTTAAAATACAAAAATTAGCTGGGGGTGGTGGTGTGCGCCTGTAATCCCCGCCACTCAGGAGGCTGAGGCAGGAGACTGGCTTGAACCCAGGAGGTGGAGTTTGCAGTGAGACGAAATCGTGCCACCGCACTCAAGCCTGGGCGACAGAGTGAGACTCTGTCTCAAAATTAAAAACAAAAACAGAAACAAAATGCCTTGCCCTGGAGGGCTTAACCAGGGACAGATCCCTAGCCTTGGGGAGTGGGAAGAGGGCATAGTTCTACCCTGGGAGGAGAGTGAGCGGGGAGACAGGGCCCTGTATGCTGTGTCAGAACTCCAGACTGAGGTGGAGACAGTATGTGCAGGGACACACACACACACACACTTACACAGACTCACATACACACCTGCACACACAACCACATGAACACATGCTCATGCACACACAATCACATGCACACACAAGCACACACACAGACTCACATACACACCTGCACACACTTCCAACCACATGCACACAGGCACACACTCATGCATGCACACGCAATCACATGCACACACAAGCACACACATGCACATATGTACACAATGCTCACACTTTTGCACATGATCACATGCACACATGGACATACATGCATACACACAGTTGCACACTCGGCTGCACACACACAATCACATGCACACTTATGCACAGGCATGCACACATGCACACCCACACTTACAATCACATGCACACACTCACCCATGCACACTTATGCACAGGCACATAGCACACACTTGCATATACATACACACATGCACGCCCACACACTCTTACAATCACATACACACGTGCACACACACTCCACATATGCACTCATTACACTTACACATGCACACTGCTCACACATGCACACACGTCTATTCATACAACACACATGCACACTCACCTGCACACCTACGCACAGTCACATGCACACATACACAATTACATTCCCACACAGACTCCACACATGCGCGCGCACACACACACACACACACACACACACACTGAAGGCGACCCTGAGCAGGGTGTGGTGCGGGAGTGGGGTGGTAGGAGGCGAGGGGCAGGCTGGTGGCCGGAGCCTGGCTCTCCTCAGGTCCGTGTACCTCCACAACAACCAGCTGAGCAACGCTGGCCTGCCCCCCGACGCCTTCCGCGGCTCCGAGGCCATCGCCACCCTCAGCCTCTCCAACAACCAGCTCAGCTACCTGCCGCCCAGCCTGCCGCCCTCACTCGAGCGGCTCCACCTGCAGGTAGCCCTGCTGTAGGTCCCACCCCGGGCCAGACTCTCTTCACCTCTTTCCAGGGGGACCCCTCCAGTTCCTAGCTTTCCATTCTTCTCAATTGCCCCTCAGAATGCCAGTGGTCAGAGTTATCCTTCTTTGAATCACTTTATTGGAAATCGCTTTGAGCTCAAGGCAAGCTCCTCGTCACTCCCTTACTCAAGAGCCGTCTGTGGCTTCCCGCTGCCCTCATCCCAGACTCAAGTCTCATTCTCTTCTTCCTTCTCCAGAACAATCTCATCTCCAAGGTGCCCCGAGGAGCCCTGAGCCGCCAGACTCAACTCCGTGAGCTCTACCTCCAGCACAACCAGCTGACAGACAGTGGCCTGGATGCCACCACCTTCAGGTACAGGCTGGTTGGGGGGCAGCAGGGGCTGAGAATTTACAGTCGGGGGTCCCAACCTTCAGTCCCCCTTCCCTGACTGGCTCCTAAGCCACGGCCTCATTTACTGAGTGCCTGCTGCTCACTGGGCTCGGCAGAGCACTGGGTAGGTGTCCCTGTTCCCCACAGCCCTGCACTGACATCGTAAGTCTCACATGCCTTTCCATCTCGGCTCTACCCTGGTCACCCCCATAGCTAACTCTCAGGCTGGAATCTGCCCTGGGCACCCCAAGTTTACCTCCCACCCAGCTCTCTCCACGCATCACTCCCAAGTCAAAATCTCCAGCTTAAATCTGTCTCAGGACCACTCCCCAGCCTCCCCGCCAAAATCTGTCAGGCACCCCACTCCAAGTGCCCCACCTAACACCGACCCTCTCTCCTTCCAGCAAGCTGCATAGCCTTGAATACCTGGATCTCTCCCACAACCAGCTGACCACAGTGCCCGCCGGCCTGCCCCGGACCCTGGCTATCCTGCACCTGGGCCGCAACCGCATCCGGCAGGTGGAGGCGGCTCGGCTGCACGGGGCGCGTGGTCTGCGCTATTTGTTGCTGCAGCACAACCAGCTGGGGAGCTCAGGGCTGCCCGCCGGGGCTCTGCGGCCGCTGCGGGGCCTGCACACGCTGCACCTCTATGGCAATGGGCTGGACCGCGTGCCTCCAGCCCTGCCCCGCCGCCTGCGTGCCCTGGTGCTGCCCCACAACCACGTGGCCGCGCTGGGTGCCCGTGACCTGGTCGCCACACCGGGCCTGACGGAGCTTAACCTGGCCTATAACCGCCTGGCCAGCGCCCGTGTGCACCACCGGGCCTTCCGCCGGTTGCGTGCCCTGCGCAGCCTCGACCTGGCAGGGAATCAGCTAACCCGGCTGCCCATGGGCCTGCCCACTGGCCTGCGCACCCTGCAGCTGCAACGCAACCAGCTGCGGATGCTCGAGCCCGAGCCTCTGGCCGGCCTGGACCAACTGCGGGAGCTCAGCCTGGCGCACAACCGGCTCCGGGTCGGCGACATCGGGCCAGGCACCTGGCATGAGCTCCAAGCCCTCCAGGTCAGGCACAGGCTGGTTAGCCACACTGTCCCCAGGGCCCCTCCATCCCCCTGCCTGCCCTGCCACGTCCCAAACATTCTAGTTAGCTGGTAAAGCAATCAGAACAAGAAAATGATAAGAGTGGGTTAGAAGGTGATGAGGAGGCTGGGTGAGGTGGCTCATGCCTGTAATCCCAGCACTTTGGGGAGCCAAGGCAGGAGAATCGCTTTAGGCTATGGGTTTGAGACCAGCCTGGCAACACAGCAAGACCCTATCTCTACCAAAAAAACATAGCCAAGCGTGGTGGCACATGCCTGTAGTCCCAGCTATTCAGGAGGCTGAGGCAGGAGGATCGCTTGAGCCCAGAAGTTTGAGGCTGCAATGAGCCGTGATCGGGCCACTGCCCTCTAGACTGGGCAACAGAGCAAGACCCTGTCTCTTGAAAAAAAAAGTGATGAAAGAGGTATGGTGCGATTCAATGACTGACTCATTTAATCAAGTGGGGACCTGTCTGTCTGTGCCTTCCTGGGAAGGGCCTTAGTTTACCTCTGCAGAAGGGAGGAATTTGGCAATCATGGGGGGTGGGGGGCAGAAGGGCCAGGCTGGTATGAAGGGGGCAGGGGACTCTCAGAGAGGTTGGGGGCTGGCTGAGCTGAGTGGCCCAGGCCTGGGGCTGCCACGATGCCATCTATAACCCCCTGCCCAGATGCTGGACCTCAGCCACAATGAGCTGTCCTTTGTGCCCCCGGACCTGCCTGAGGCCCTAGAGGAGCTGCACCTCGAGGGCAACCGCATCGGCCACGTGGGCCCCGAGGCCTTCCTCAGCACACCCCGCCTGCGTGCCCTCTTCCTCAGGTGCCCCGAGGGTGACCGGAGGGGTGGAGGTGGGCAGGGGAGGGCCTGGGAGGGTCATGACCGCCTCTCTGTGCAGGGCCAACAGGCTTCACATGACGAGCATCGCGGCTGAGGCCTTCCTGGGGCTCCCAAACCTGCGTGTGGTGGACACGGCAGGGAATCCGGAGCAGGTCCTGATCCGGCTGCCTCCCACCACCCCACGTGGGCCACGGGCAGGGGGCCCCTGATCCTAGAGAGGCCCAGCAGAGCAGCTCAGACTCCTGGGACTCCGCTGGGCCGTGGACTGAGGAGACAACGCCCACCAGGGGCCCTTGGTCTGGCTCTCCTGGGCCTCCAGGGCTGGGCCTGCTCTGCCTGCCACTGGCCGAGACACAGAGGCACACAGCTGGCATACTCCAGGCTCACAGACCACGCCGGCCTGGCGGGACACACCCTACCCCAAACTCCCAACACAGATGGAGGCAGCAACAATAAAGCCAAACCCTTCCAGCACTCAGCACGGACCAGGCACCCTTTGGGGGCTCTGTCCACGGACTCCTCCCCACAACCAGTCCAGCTGGGGAAACTGAGGCTCTGGGATGCTAAGTGGGTCAGGACTGAATTTTGAGGTCTTGAGGCACACACTGGGGTCACCAAACAGCACCCTGTGCGACCTAGCCACGTGTGATTGCAGGGACGCCCAAGGCCACCCACTGAAAAAACACTGGGTGACAGATATAGGGACCCTCACATGTATCCCCCCCCACAGCAAGCATGGGAATGAAATGCATCCTTCAAGCTGGGTGTGTGGTGGTGCCCTTCTGTAATCCGTTAGGAGGCTGAGGCAGGAGGATCATGTGAGCCCAGGAGTCGGAGGCTGCAATGAGCTGATTGTGCCACTGCGCTGCAGCCTGGGTGACAGAGGGAAACCCGGTCTCTAAAAAAAAAAAAAAAAAGCACCTTTCACAAGCACACTGTCCCTCCCCAAAACTGCTTCCCTAACAGGCGCCTCCCCATCCACTTCCAGGGGAACCGGGGGGTGGGTGGGAAGACCTAGCCTGGCCACCGAGGGTCTGAGCAAGAAACAGACAGGACAGAGCTGGGCTGAGTGTGGCCCTGGCTATTTTATTCCATGTGCTGGCCCTGGGGACCCAGCTGGGCCAGGTCGACGCCCCTGGGGAGACAGTGTGGCTCGGCCAGCCTCAGTGGCTTCTTTGGGGTGCAGGAGGGCTTTGGGGTTAAGGCTGGGGAGGAACAGGAAGTAAAGTGCTTGCAGGGGCCCTCGGGGCTTGGCCCCAGCCACCCTCCCTGCTCCGGGGCGGGCCAGAGGCCGGACACCCCTGGGCTGTGCAAACAGGACTCTCCAGGGCCCAGCCAGGCCTGGGTGAGGGGCACATACTGGCTGGCAGGCATGGTTCCCAACACCCGCAGCCACGGAGGCTCTGGCGGGGCTGGGGGCCCGGATGAGGGGTGAGTCCAGAACCGATTGTCCGCTGATTGTCTGCTTGTCTGGTTCGTGGCTGTGTCGGCTCTTCCCGGTATCGGGGCCTGCTGCCCGCTTTCTGGGGGCTGCCCGCCCCATGGGCTCCTCACCTGCGGAGCCGCTGCAGCTGGGGGAGAGGAGGCCACTGGGGTCATGGAGGTGGGCTACGACCACAGTGATCCCCCAACCACCCCATCTCCTAAGCTGCTTACCTCACTCTCTACCAGATTCCGCCTATAGAGCGCCTCCTTTGCAGCATCCTGTGGGGGATGGGCATTCAGCAGGTAGTCCCTGCAGGCCCCACCCTGCCCGCTGCCCAGTGCCCACCCGGCCCGCGACCAGCTCACCCTGCTGCCATCGTTGCCCAGGCGCCGGGCAGCCTCCGTGTAGAACTGCAGCTGCCGCTCCAGCTGGGCTGCGTATTCTGAGAATGGATGGCGGGGGAATGGAGGCTTAGGGTGGGGCCTCACTGCCCACAACCCTCCTGGACTGTGCCCATCCCCAAGCCCGTCCCCCGCCAGGTGCCCATCCCCGAGCCCCTCCCCCTCCAGGTGCCCATCCCCGAGCCCCTCCCCCTCCAGGTGCCCATCCCCGAGCCCCTCCCCCTCCAGGTGCCCATCCCCGAGCCCCTCCCTCTCCAGATGCCCATCCCCGAGCCCCTCCCCCTCCAGGTGCCCATCCCCGAGCCCCTCCCCCTCCAGGTGCCCATCCCCGAGCCCCTCCCTCTCCAGATGCCCATCCCCGAGCCCCTCCCCCACCAGATATGCATCCCTGAGCACCTCCCCCCCCATGCCTATCCTGGAGCTCCTCCCCCACCAGATGCCCATCTCCAAACCCCTACCCCGTCGGATGCCCACACCCCCCTGCTCCAGCTGTGCCCTCTGCCACTGGCTGCGTTGCATGATGTCCTGGTACTGCTGGGCCACTTCTGGGGGCACCGGCCGCCGCGCCTGCCTGAGGGCCAGGATCTAGAGGATACAGAGGGTCCTGTGAGGATCCTGCCTGGGCCTGCAGACTCCCCAGTCCTGCCCCATGTAGCCCGGCAGGATGGATACCCACCTTCCGCTCCAGACGCTCTTGGTCAAACGCCAGCACACTGAGGCTATGCAGGGGCCGGGCTGATCTAAGGGGTGGAGGAAGGATAAGGGACTGCAGAGATTCCCCCAGCCCAACCCTGTTAATTCAAAAGACACACTGGGCTGGGCACAGTGGCTCACGCCTGTAATCCCTGCACTTTGGGAGGCGGAGGTGAGTGGATCATGAGGTCAGGAGTTCGAGACCAGCCTGGCCAATATGGTGAAACCCCGTCTCTACTAAAAATAGAAAAAAAATTAGCTGGGCATGGTGGTGTGCTCCTGTAGTCCCAGCTACTTGGGAGGCTGAGGCAGAAGAATTGCTTGAACCTGGGAGCTGGAGGTTGCAATGAGCCGAGATCACACCACTGCACTCCAACCTGGGTGACAGAGCAAGATTCTGTCTCAAAAAAAAAAAAAAGCCGAGCATGGTAGCTCATGCCTGTAATCCCAGCACTTTGGGAGGCCGAGGCAGGCAGATCACCTGAGGTCGGGAGTTCGAGACCAGCCTGACCAACATGGAGAAACCCCATCTCTACTAAAAATAGAAAAATTAGCTGGGTGTGGTGGCGCATGCCTGTAATCCCAGCTACTCAGGAGGCTGAGGCAGGAGAATCGCTTGAACCCCAGAGGCGGAGGTTGCTGTGAGCTGAGATCGCGCCATTGCACTCTAGCCTGGGCGACAGAGCTAGACTCTGTCTCAAAAAAAAAAAAAAAAAAAAAAGACACACTGGGCACTGGGGGTATGGTGGGAGACAGCCGAGAACCACCCGGTGTTACTGATCCCAAAACCTAGCGGGGATGATGGCTGCACACCCAGGAAACTATGATGCCTAGTGGTCAGGGAGGGCTTCCTGGAGGAGGTAACAGCCAAGTTGGGATCCAAAGAAGGAATCAGAGGTGGGCAGAGGAACAAGGAACACCCCTACCCTAGGTAGGGGTGTTCAGGGCACTGGAACCCACAGAAGTCCAGAGGCCAGTGAAAACTATTCATGGACATGAACCACAGGAGGGAGTAGGGAGAGAGAAGCCTGGATATGTTGACAATGGTCAGATCACAAAAGGTTTTAAAGACCAAACCAAGGAGTTTAAACTGGATCCTCTGGGAAAAGGGGTGCCAAGAAAGGTTTTGCAGCAGGAGAGGGACGTGGTCCAATTTGTGCCTGGTGGGAAACTGTCCAGGTGGGGCTGAGAGGGGAATTGGGTGTTTTCTCCAGCATGCCCTGGCCCAGATACCTACCTGTTCCCTGACTCCCTTGCAGGGGCAGGCACAGGAGGGGCCTTCCCTTTGGGCCCAGCAACCTGCTTCAGAGGAGAGAACCAGTCCTGTGAGTCCTGGGCCCCTGAACCAAGCTTCCCTCCCTGGGGTTGCTGATGGGTGGGGGTGGGGGGTCTCACTGTGGGCACAGCTGCCGGCACAGGGTCAATGACCAGCCACCTCTCTGTCGTCGTCTCCAACTGCTGGGCTGTCAGTGGCTCCCGAATCCGGACCATTACCTCCAGTCGCCCCCCTGTGGGCCGGCGACCATCCAGGACCTGGGTGGGGGTAAGGAGAAACTGTTGGTGGGAAGCAGGAAGTGACTAGAGGCCCAGGGCCAGGACAAGGGAGAACAAGACTGGTTTTTTTTTTTGGTTTTTTTTTTTTCTGAGATAGAGTCTCGCTCTGTTGTCCAGGCTGGAGTGCAGTGGTGCAATCTGGGCTCACTGCAAGCTCCGCCTCCTGGGTTTACTTACGCCATTCTCCTGCCTCAGCCTCCCGAGTAGCTGGGACTACAGGCGCCCGCCACCATGCCTGGCTAATTTTTTTGTATTTTAGTAGAAACAGGGTTTCACCATGTTAGCCAGGATGGTCTCGATCTCCTGACCTCGTGATCTGCCCGCCTCAGCCTCCCAAAGTGCTGGGATTACAGGCATGAGCCACCATGCCTGGCCAAGAGTGGTTTCTAAAATATGAGCCCATGGTATGGCTGAGATACCAGTTGATCATAATGGAGTGGGGTACTGCAAGTATTTAGGGCTGGGCAGTAGGGAGGTCTGAGGCTCTGAGGGGAGGGGCTGGGTCAACAGACAGGCTCATAGAGGGCTCAAGGCAGGAAGTGTTTTAATAATGTTAACGAGTAGCATGGCCATACCGGAGCACGCGGATGAATGTCCACCTCTCACCTCAAGGATCTCCCGGACCTCACATGCTATCTCCAGTGCATCCAGCTTCAGCTGGGCTGTCCCCAGCACCCGGTCAGTCTTGAACAGCCCCCTGTGTGCATGTGTGTATAGTGGGGACAGGATGGTTGGTTCAGAGGAGCTCCCCTCCCCTGGAGCCCACCCAGCGGCCATGGCTCTCTCTAGCTCACCCCTTGTGAACCACTTCGAACTTGATGCCCTTGGTCTGGATGGCCCTTCGGAAGCCACGGTGGCTGCGGTTGATGCAGAGTTTGAACTGCTCCTTGAACTCTGCAGGAGGAAGGAGGGAGAGGAAGTTGGGTGGGGTCAGGCCATTGTCTTATGTCCCTTCTGCTGCAAGGGAGTAGGGGTAGGGTGCTTCCAGCCGAGGCTCACCAGGGGAGTCTGTGTTCTTGATCACACTGGTCTTGTCTTTCTGAGCTTCTTCCTATGACCAGAGAGGAGGCAGGAAATCTAGGGGGCCTGGGACCTGGCTTTGGCCCACTGAGGCTGCAGCCCTCCCCTCCTCAGCTCCCCACGTACCACGTTGGGATAGGGGAAGTCAAACCGAACAAAGACATCCAGATCGCCAGGGGACAGTCCTGTGGGCAAACAACGGTCAGAGCTGGGCAGAGAGGGGGTCCCCATGACCCTGACCCTTGCCTACAGCCCCCTCACCTGGGGGTGTGGGCAAGTTGATGCCCTTCACGATGAAGAGGAGCATGTCGTTGCTGCTGAGGTCAGGGAAGATCCTTCCGGGTGGGCAGGTGGGCAGGCAGGTGGGCAGGGAAACAGAGGCACCTCAGTCCCACTGCCCGCCTGCCTTCTCTTCCCCCAGTGGGGGCAGGGAACAAACCCCACCCTGGCCTTCGGGGGTGTCTCAGCTCCTGGGCTCATTTTAGAATCAGACAGACTAGAGTTCTCTGTTCAGGTTGGCAATGGATCACTTTCGAGTCTTTTCTTCAGTCTGTGTATATTTATTTGGTATCTACTGTGTGCTAGGTACCCTAGCTGCTGGGTGATATTCCCTTCACTTAACAGTTGTTGAGTCCTACTAAGCATCAGCCAGTGCCCTAGCTGCTGGGAGATCTTTCCTTCATTTCCCAATGTTTCTTGAGCACCTACTATGTGCCAGCCAGTACCCCAGCTGCTGGGGGACCTTCTTTTCACTTAATATATATGTGTGTGTGTGTGTGTGTGTGTATATATACATATATATACGTGTATATATATATATATACACATATATATACGTATATATATATATACACACATATATGTATATATATATACACATATATATACGTGTATATATATATATATATATATATATATTTTTTTTTTTTTTTTAGACAGAGTCTTGCTCTGTCGCCCAGGCTGGAGTACAATGGTACGACCTCAGCCCACTGCAACCTCCACCTCCCAGATTCAAGAGATTCTTCTGCCTCAGCCTCCTGAGTAGCTGGGATTACAGCTGCCCGCCACCACTGCTGGATAATTTTTATATTTTTAGTAGAGATGGGGTTTCACCATGTTGGCCAGGCTGGTCTCGAACTCCCGACCTCAAATGATCCGCCTGCCTTGGCCTCCCAGCCTGGCCTCACTTAATATTTTTTGAGTCCTATTAAAGCACCAGCTAGTGTCCTAGTTGCTGGGGGACCTTCTATTCATTTCACAATATTTCTTTTTTTTTTGAGACAGTCTCACTCTGTCGCCCAGGCTGGAGTGCAGTGCGATCTCTGCTCACTGCAAGCTCTGCCTCCCAGGTTCATGCCATTCTCCTGCCTCAGCCTCCTAAGAAGGTGGGACTATGGGCGCCTACCACCACGCCCGGATAATTTTGTGTATTTTTAGTAGAGACGGGATTTCACCATGTTAGCCAGAATGGTCTCGATCTCCTGACCTCGTGATCCACCCACCTCAGCCTCCCAAAGTGCTGGGATTACAGGCGTGAGCCAGCACGCCTGGCCTCATTTCACAATATTTCTTGAGCACCTACTATGTGCCAGTCAGTACCCTAGCTGCTGGGGATCTAGAAGTAAATACCCATACCCTGTGCTCAATCTAGCTGAGTGGACAGATGAGCATAAGTACATAAATAGAAAAACAATAAAAAACTCAGCAGAGAGGGGAGAGTGGAGTGTGCTCAGAAGAGACTGCTCGGATAGATAGGGAGGGCCTCTTAGAGGGAAGGTGACATCATAGGTGACTCTAGATGTCAAGAGGGAGCTGCCACATGGAGACCTGAGGAAGAGGGTGAAGGCGGAAGAAATAGCTGATGCAGAGGCTTGGGGTAGGAACACACTTTGTTTGTAGGAGGGACCAAAAAGAGTCCCTTGTGGCCAAAGCTGAGTGAAGCGGGGACAGGAGGCAGAGAAGAGGTGACAAGGAGCCAGGCTGTGTGGAGATGGGGGAGCCAGGGTAAGGGGTGGGGGTTATCCCAAGGGCAGCTGGGAACCACCGGAGGGCTAGTGGCTGCACCTAACCTCATTTAGAAAGTGGAGAAAATGGGCCGGACGCAGTGGCTCACTCCTGTAACCCCAGAATTTTGGGAGGCCAAGGCAGGCGGATCATTTAAGGAGACCAGCCTGGCCAACTGAATGAAACCCCGTCTCTACTAAAAATACAAAAATTAGCTGGGCATGGTGGTGGGCACCTGTAGTCCCAGCTATTTGGGAGGCTGAGGCAGGAGAATTGCTTGAACCTGGGAGGCAGAGGTTGAAGTGAGCTGAGATTGCGCCACTGTACTCCCGCCTGGGTGACAAAGTGAGACTGTCTCAGAAAAAAAATTTTAAAAAAGGCCGGGAGTGGTGGCTCACGCCTGTAATCCCAGCACTTTGGGAGGCCGAGGTGGGCGGATCACGAGGTCAAGAGATCGAGACCATCCTGGCTAACACGGTGAAATCCCGTCTCTACTAAAAATACAAAAAATTAGCCAGGCGTGGTGGTGGGCGGCTGTAGTCCCAGCTTCTCGGGAGGCTGAGGCAGGAGAATGGCATGAATCCAGGAGGTGGAGCTTGCAGTGAGCAGAGATCACACCCCTGCACTCCAGCCTGGGCAACAGAGTGAGACTCTGTCTCAAAATAAAAATAAAAATAAAGTGGAGAAAACAATCCCCGCTCCTCTGGGCATGGGAAGACTTGATAGTACCAAGACTAACACCCACCAAAGCCGTGACTCATCTCTGGTCCCCCGTGGACTCACCCAGGCCCTGGGACAAGATACACCTTTGCACTCTCTAGATCTTTCCCAAATGCGTCACTGTGACTGCACCCTCACCATCCTTCACTTGTATCTCATGCCTGCCCCAGAGCCTTTGCATGCTCTGTGCTCTTCCACCTATCCAAAATTTCTTCCAGATGTAAATCTTGTGCCAGCTTCTGGGGAGCACAACCCGCCCCACCGCCACCAAAGGGCCACTGGGGCCACGTGGTGGGGCGTAGATCAGGAGCCTTACTTGATGACGCTGAAGGTCCTTTGCTCAAAGCGGGCGGTGGGCGTGGGGAGACCCCGGACGAAGGCTTGCTTCAGAATGTCCATGCTCCGCTTACAGTCCTCCGCCAACTTTTCAAACCTGCCGGTGGGAGGGCCCTGCTCATGTCCCTGGCCCTGGGGATGGGTGGCTGGGGGTGCAAGTGTCTGGCACAGGTCAGGGCACTTACTTGGTGGTTTCAGTGATGTTGCCCAGCTGGGTGAATTGGTTTGAGTGGTTCAGGCACATCTGGGGAAACAGAAGGCAGTGAGTCGAGGGAAGGGAAGAGAGGGGAAGGAGGGTCACGCTCCTGGGGGATGGGCTGGGGGCCTCCCCCTCACCTCGTGCTGCTGCCGTATGAGCTTGGTGAGTTCACCATAGCGCCGGGCGGCCTCCTGAGACAGACCCGGGCCAGGCCGCTGGACCAGGGCAAAGTCGTCCTTGTTGACAGGGGCAGGCGGCACCTGGGGAGGACGAGGCTGGTGGCGGGGGTAAGGAGGACAAGCAGGCCCACCTAGGGCTCTGCAGAAATGTCATTCTTCCTTGACGAGGGGCATTCCCTGACCACGGCTCTGTCACCCTTCTCTGGTCTTTTTTTTTTTTTGAGATGGAGTCTCGCTCTGTTGCCCAGGCTGGAGTGCAATGGCGGGATCTCAGCTCACTGCAACTTCCACCTCCCGGGTTCAAGTGATTCTCCTGCCTCAGCCTCCTGAGTAGCTGGAATTACAGGCGCCTGCCACCACACCTGGCTAATTTTTGTATTTTTAGTAGAGACAGGGTTTCACCATGTTGGCCAGACTGGTCTCGAACTCCTGACCTCAAGTGATCCGCTGGCCTTGGCCTCCTTAATTGCTAGGATTACAGGCATGAAAGACCATGCCCGGCCTCTGTTCTTTCTTCTTGATCCTTCCATTGTCCCATTTAACAAGGGCATCCTTCAGTCACCCCAGAAATCATGTATGGTGCCGGGTGCAGTGGCTCATGTCTATAATCCCAGAACTTTGGGAGGCTAAGGCGGGTGGATTGCTTGAGCTCAAGAGTTTGAGAAATCATGTATGGAGCCCCTACTGTGCGCTAGGCTCTGCTTTGGGGCTGGGGACACAAGGATGAAGAAGAGAGAACAAAATCCCTGCCCTCGTGGGGCTGACATTCTCTTGGGGGAGATGGGCAATAATCAGAAGAAATAAGTAAATCATATGAGAGAGTAGAAGGTGATACATGCCACAGGGAGAGGCAGAGCTGGGAGGAGGAGCAGAGGGATCTGGGTGACAGGGAGGGATTTTAGACAGCTCAGGGTAGGCCTCCTGGAGATGTGATGTCTGAGCAGAGACCTAATGATGGGAGAAAGTGAACCACACAGGTGTCTGTGGGAAAAGCATTCAGGCAGTGGGAACTGCATGTGCAAAGGCCCTGAGGTTGCAGAGTGCCTGGTGTTTGAGGCTACCAGACAGCAAGGGGAAGAGTGAGCGAGGGGGTGGGTGAAAGAGAAGGGGCAGGCCGGGCACAGTGGCTCATGCCTGTAATCCCAGCACTTTGGGAGGTCGAGGCAGGTGGATTGCCTGAGGTCAGGAGTTCAAGCCCAGCCTGGCCAACATAGTGAAACCCCATCTCTACTAAAAATATAAAAATTAGCCGGGCATGGTGGCGTGTGCCTGTAGTTCCAGCTACTCGGGAGGCTAAGGCAGGAGAATCGCTTGAGCCTGGGAGGTAGAGGTTGCAGTGAGCTGAGGTCGTGCCACTGCATTCCAGCCTGGATGACAGGGCGAGACTCCGTCTCAAAACAAAACAAAACAAAACAAAAACAAGAAAGAGACCAGGCAAGGGAGCTGATGGGGCAGATGGTGCAGTCTTCATGGGCCGTGATAAGGTGCTGTATTTATTTGTGTGTTTCTTGTGGTCTCTCAATTAGAACATCCACTCCATGACAGTGAGTCTCACTGTGTTTCCCAGGCTAGTTTCGAGCTCCTGGCCTCAAGGAATCCTCCCACCTCAGCCTCCCAAGTAGCTGGAATTACAGGTGTGACCCACCATGTCCAGAGAGAGTGTGGATTTTTGCCTTTTTTGCTCAAGGCCATGTCTCCAGTGTCCAGCAAAGACTACATGTCCCAGGCTCCTCTGAGGCTAAATGTAGCCATGTGACTGTTTGGGCCAATGGGAGGCAAGCAAAAGTGATGTCACTTCCTTAAACTGGGTGGCCTTTGCTGGGCGCCCAGTTCAAGCTCCTCAAATGTTTCCTATTATGAGTACTATTCTATCACATGAGGAATCCTGGCTGTCTTTCTTTGAGGCAGGGGTGGCCATCCCCACTTCTCTGAGAAAAATGATGCTCAGAGAAAAAGGAATGGTCCTGTCCTAAGTGGCAGAATCTAAGTGTCTCCCCAGATCTGATCCCCTCCCCTTCCCTAGTAATGGAGCTCAGGCTGGTCACACAGTGCACCAACAAGAGACTACATGTCCCAGCCTCCTCTGTGGCTAAATGTGGCCATGTTACTTAGTTCTGGCCAATGGGAGACAAGCAATAGTGATGTCACTTCCTTTAAAAGGGACTACTAGCTCTGCCTCTTTCTCTAGTCCTTCTGACAGGATCCACTTGGATCATGTGGACAAGGACAACCCCCTCAGGTGCAGCAAAGCAATAAGGTGGAAGAAACTCAGGCCCTGGAGGACCTCCCATTTGCAGAGCCCAGACTGCCCTGGGTGGTACATGCAAGAAACATAATAAATGTCTGTCTCCTTTCAGCCATTGTCTTGGGAGGACCTATTTGTTACAGCAGCTGGACCTTGACTAATACACTTCTAGTTCACGTGGCTGCTAAGGGGCAGGAGCCTGACAAGTGGGTGCCTGGGCAGTTCCCACAAGCCCAGAAGGTTCACCTTGGTGATGTCCACAGGCAGCCCATTGCGCGAGGCCTCCAGCATAGGCTCCAGTCCCTTGGCTTGGCGCAGGTGCATCTTGGCACCCTCCACGTCGTTTTTCTGCTTGGCTCGCAGTGCGGCCTGCAGGAGCTGCTTCTTGCGGCCCTCTAGGAAGGCCAGCTGCTGCTGGGCTGTGGGCATAGGAGCTGCTATGGGTGCTGCCCAGGCCACAGCCAGGCAACAGGCAGCTGGGGCGGGGAGGGGGAACTTACCTCTGGTGGATGTGGCTTTGGGGGGCGCTTTGGCTGTTGGGGCTGATCCCGACTGGGGAGTTCTTGAGGGTGGGGCTTTGGGCTGGGCTGTGGGGGCCACAGGGCTGTTCTGCTGTAGAGGAAGAGAGAGGATGTTAGAGATTTCGTAGCGCCTGTGATGAGTCCAGTCCCCAAGGATCAGGGTCTGATGGTGACAACAGTGGTCATTTAGTGGGCTCCCAGGACTTTGCTACTCCCCTGCCTCACTCAAAGCCCCTGGCCCCAAACACCTTTTTTTTTTTTTTTTTCTTTTTTGAGACAGAGTATCACTGTATCGTCCAGGCTGGAGTGCAGTAGCACGATCTTGGCTCACTGCAACCTCTGCCTCCCGGTTCAAGCAATTCTCACCAAACACTTTTTTTTTTTTTTAATTGTCTTGGAGATGAGGTCTTGCTCTGTCACCCAGACTGGCGTACAGTGGCATGACCATGGCTCACTGCAGCCTTGAACTCCTTAGTTCAGGTGATCCTCCCACCTCAGTCTCCCAAGTAGCAGGGACTACAGGTGAGTCCCACCATGCCTGGCTAATTTTAAAAAATTTTTTTGTAGAGACGGGGGTCTCACTGTGTGGCCCAGGATGGTCTCAAACTCCTGGCCTCAAGCGATCCTCCCATCTTGGATTCCCAAAGTGCTGGGACTACAGGTGTGAGCCACTGCGCCCGGCCCCAACCCTCAAACCTTCTTAGGCACCTCATCCTCTTCATCCTCTGGGCCTTCATCCTGGTTGGCCAGCTTCATGGCAGTCTCCAGGACACCCACCAGACTCTGCTGGGTGGGCTTGGTGGCCTCCAGGCCCTGGATTGGGGGGAAGCCTGGGTGGCCAGTCGAGGCCTGGTTATTGTGTGTCAGGATGGAGACCAACTCACACCATTATGGTGGAGATGCAGATTCCTCTCCCACCTATAGAGTCTTGGGCCTTTACTTTTTTTAATTAATTAATTTTTTTTTTTTTGAGACAGGATCTCGCTCTGTTGCCCAGGCTGGAGTACAGTGGCATGATCTAGAGTGGGACTGCAGGTGTGCACCACCACACCAGGCTAATTTTTAAATTTCTTGTAGCCACGGGGTCTTGCCACGTTGCCCAAGCTGGTCTTGAACTCCTGGCCTCAAGTGATTTTCCCACCTCAGCCTCCCAAAGTGCTGGGATTACAGACATGACCACCTCGTCCAGCCGGTTTGCCAATTTCTACAGTGCAGACACATCATGTCCAATGTCAAGCTCCCACTGATTAACAAGTTTACAAAACCCTTGAATATGTTGTATTCAGCTCCCTGAGCCTGTGCTATGGGGAGTAATAGCATCTGCCAAGGCTCAGAGGCTGGAGGAACAGGAGCTTGGGGCACAGCCTGCCAGCGGCGGGGCCTCTGGGGGCGGGGCCTACGGGGGCGGGGCCTACTGGGGCGAGGCCTACAGGGGCAAGGCCTACCTGGGGGCACGGGCAATTCAGCGACATCCACGGCTCGGCCAGCCTTGTGGGCTCGGATGGCATCTTGGTATTGCTGCGAGGGCCACAGGTGTTAGGGCTGCCTGTGGGAGGGCTCCCGGGCTGCCCACTCGCCCCACCTCCCCCGGAACCCCCAGGGCACCTTGACGATGCGCTCGTGCATTCGAGCTTTCCGCTGGTCCCCCTTGCTCTTGGCCTGGGCTGCGGCCACCTGGTACCGCTCCATCCGCTGCTCCAGCGCCTCCAGCAGGGTCCTCGGGGGTGGGGGCACCTCTGGGCCGGACAGGGGGACAAGGTTAAGAGTCAACGGATGGGTAGACAGTCTGGCTCCAGCCTGCCCCCAACCCCAGAGGGTCCCAGAACCTACCTGTTGTGGAGGGCGCCGTAGCGGGGGTCGGAGGCTGCGACGGTGGTGACGGTGGGTCTGGGGGCAGCTGGTCTGGGGACAGAGAGGTCCAGGCCAATGAGGGGCTTGTTAGCTGCACCCCCGACAAGCTGGTCTGGCCTGAGGGTGGTCTCTGGGCCTGACCAACAGGGGTGGCAGCATCAAGGAGAACTTAGTGTATGCCTGAAACCATCCCAGAGAGTGGGCATGGCAGGGTTCTCACCGGGTGGAGGGGGCAGGCAGGAGAGGTCCACGGGCTCACCCCGGCTCAGGGCCTCCAAGACAGCATCAAAGCTCTGGGAGAAGGAAGAGGAGATTAGAAGAAGAGGTGCAGTTGGGGGCTTGGACCCTGTGGGGAGCCTCCGGGCCCTTCCATGCCACCGAGGACTTCTAGCTCCCTCCCTTCCATTTGTGCCATCTTGCTTAATCCTCTTCCAACACACGTGCCCATTTCACAGAGGGGGTAAACTGAGGCTCCAAGACTTACAGCAAACTATTGCTAGGGAGTGACCAAGCTAGGATGCAAATTTGGGTGCTTTGCCACCAGGCCACGTGGGAAGCATCCTGCCCCATCCCTCCAGTCCTGTCCGTCAGGCTGGACGCACCTTAGCCACGCGGAAGTGTCTAGCGGCAGCAGTGGTATCTCCCTGCTGCTTGGCGTGGAGGGCAGCCAGCTTGTAGTCGCGCTGGCGGCTCTGCAACTGGGCCAGAGGGCCAGGGCTGCAGGGACCTGGAAGGGAGAACAACATACAGGAAGCCTCCAGGGCCTGGGCCAAGTTCACCGTGTAAACCATTTGTTATTTATTTATTTAATTTTTTTTTTCTTTTTCAGACAGAGCCTCACTCTGTTGCCCATGCTGGGGTACAGTGGCGCAATCTCAGCTCACTGCAACTTCCGCCTCCTGGGTTCAAGTGATTCTCCTGCCTCAGCCTCCTGAGTAGCTGGGATTACAGGCACATGCCCGGCTAATTTTTATGTTTTTAGTAGAGACAGGGTTTCGCCGTGTTGGCCAGGCTGGTCTCAAAGTCCTGACCTCAGGTGATCCGCCCACCTTGGACTCCCAAAGTGCTGGGATTATAGGTGTGAACCACCGCGCCTGGCTTTAATGTATTTTTTGAGACTGGGTCTTGCTCTGTTGCCCAGACTGGAGTGCAGTGGCACAATCTTGGCTCACTGCAACCTCCGCCTCCCAATTTCTGGCTAATTTTTGTATTCTTAGTAGAGACGGGGTTTCACCATGTTGGCCAGGCTGGTCTCAAACTCCTGACCTCAAGTGATCTGCTCACCTTGGCCTCCCAAAGTAGGATTACAGGTGTGAGTTACCGTGCCTGGCCATATTTAATGTATTTTTTTTTAAAGAGATAGAGTCTTGCTCTGCTGCTCACTATAGCCTCAGACACCGGGCTTAGGCGATCCTCCCATCTCAGCTTCCTGAGTAGCTGGGGCTACAGAGCATGCACCTGCATGCCCGGCTGGTTTTTTATTTTTTTTTGTAGAGATGGGGTCTTACTATGTTGTCCAGGCTAGTCTCAAACTCCTGGGCTCAAGTGATCCTCCCACCTCAGCTTCCCAAAGTGCAGAGATTACAGGCATGTGCCACCATGCCCAACTCACTTTTTAAATATATCCTGGGACTCACTTTAAGCAGTTGGGAATTTTGAGTCTTCTCTTATTTCCATCCACGTCCCCCACAGAAATTTATGCTAACATGATATAGCTGTGTGTTTGAAAGCCTTTTTTGCCTACCCTATTGTATATTTATACAACCAAAATATATTTATGCAGTGTGTTTGCAAAGTTAGGAAACCCAGTATTCAGTGCTTTTTAAACAGTGTGTTAGTTACAGTTTCAAATAATATGCTCAGTATGTTTTCTGGGGAAGTACCTCAATGTTTAAAGCTATAAGTGCAATTCTTAGTATAAAATAACACAGTACAATAAAGACACCACCCAGTGTCTGCAAAATCTGGAAACACCCAGAAAATGGCACGCAGTATCTTTTTTTCAGACTAACAACTGGACCCATTGCTTTAAACTTAGGCTTACTTCCCTGAAAATATGTTTGGAGGTAGAAGTGACACACCTTTGACATTGTATTGGTTTTATTTCCTGTGATTATAAATCTTTCATTGTTAAAAACAATGTTTTTCCGGGTTGAATTATTGTTATAATTATTACTAGCATGTAATTGAGCAAAACGTAAATACATCAAGCTTATTTTATTTTATTTTTTTGGAGACAGGGTCTCATTCTGTCACCCAGGCTGGAGTGCAGTGGTGCAATCACAGCTCACTTCAGCCTCAACCTTCCAGGCTCAAGTGATTCTCCCACCTCAGCCTCCCAAGTAGCTGGGACTACAGGCATGCACCACCATGGCTGGCTAATTTTTAATTTTTTATAGAGACGCAGTTTCCCTATGTTGCCCAGACAGATCTCGAACTCCGGGGTTCAAGCGATCCTCCCACCTTGGCCTCCCAGAGTGCTGGAATTATAGGTGTGAGCCACCACACCCAGCTGAGCTTTTTGGGTTGGTTTGTTTGTTGAGACAGAGTCTTGCTCTGTCGCCCAGACTGGAGTGCAGTGGTGTGATCGTGGCTCACTGCAACCCCTGCCTTCTGGGTTCAAGTGATTCTCTTGCCTCATCCACCCGAGTGGCTGGGACTACCAGCATGCACCACCACGCCCAGCTAATTTTTGTATTTTTAGTAGAGATGAGGTCTCACCATGTTGGCCAGGGCTGGTCTTGAACTCCTGGCCTCAAGTGATCCGCCCGCTTTGGTGTCCCAAAGTGCTGGGATTACAGGTGTGAACCACCACGCCCAGCCCCTGCTGAGCTATTTGATAGTTTTGGTACACCAAGAGCAAAATTCTACCAGAAATGTACCTCTTGCTGACATAATTGGAGCTGGGTCCAATCCCTAACAATCAACTCGTTTCTCCCATTCAATCCTCTTCTGTTTTTTCTTTTTTTAGAGATAAGATCTTGCTCTGTTGCCCAGACTTGGAGTGGCACGATCACGGCTCACTGCAGCCTTGAACTCCTGGACTCAAGCGAACCTCCCACCTCAGCTTCTCGAGGAGCTGGGACTAAAGGCATGCACTACCACACCCGGCTAATTTCTTAATTTTTATGTAGAGATGGGTTCTTGCTATGTTGCCTAGACTGCTCTTGAACTCCTGGCCTCCCAGAGTGCTGGGATTACAGGCATGAGCCACTACATCTGCACTTTTTTTCTTTTTTAAAGTGTTGAGGCCAGGGGTGGTGGCTCACGCCTGTAATCCCCGCACTTTGGGAGGCGGAGCAGGCGGATCACCTGAGGTCAGGAGTTCGAGACCAGCCTGGGCAGCAACATGGTGAAACCCCGTCTCTACTAAAAATACAAAAATTAGCCGGGCTTGGTGGTGGGCGCTTGTAATCCCAGCTACTCGAGAAGCTGAGGCAGGTGAATCACTTGAACCTGGGAGGCGGAGGTTGCAGTGAGCCGAGATCACGCCATCGCACTCCAGCCTGGAAACAAGAGCGAGACTCCGTCTCAAAAAAATTAAAGTATTGAGAAACCTACTTCACATTAACAAATAGATTGGAAGACACAGAATTTTGTTACTGTGATGTCTTTGTATTCTTTGAACTCCTGACAAGTTTTATGCCAAACTTCCATTGTGAAAAATTTTTGGTCGTTTCAGTTGACAATTTCAGGTGACAATTCCAGTAATCCTTGAACTTTGTCAAAAACAATGGCTTGGAAACTAGCTTGGTTGCAGAAGGATTTAGTGACCCAGTGTTTGCTTTCTCAAACCCATGCCAGTATTTTGAGTTGTCTCTTTGCTTCCTGCCAGGGAAGTGTTTGGACCTGGGGCAAAGCCCCGTGTTCATATCACAAAGAGAGGGAGGGAGGCCTTCCTTTCCTAGGGGGAGGTTAGGAAGAAAAACCTCTTAGAAGATATGTTCTAGCTTGGGCAACATGGCACCTCTACAAAAAGTACAAAAATTAGCTGGGCATGGGGCACGGTGGCATATGCCTGTAATCCCAGCTACTCAGGAGGCTGAGGCGGGAGGATTGCTTGAGCCTGGGAGGCAGGTTGCAGTGAACTAGGATCATGCTACTGCACTCCAGCCTGGGCAATAGAGTGAGACTCTGTTTCAAAAAAAAAAAAAAGGCGATGAGGCCTGGCGTGGTGGCTCATGCTTGTAATCCTAACACTTTGGGAGGCCGAGGCAGGCAGATCACAAGGTCAGGAGATCGAGACCATCCTGGCTAACACAGTGAAACCCCGTCTCTACTAAAAATACAAAAAATTAGCCAGGTGTGGTGGCATGCACCTGTAATGCCAGCTACTCAGGAGGCTGAGGCAGGAGAATTGCTTGAACCCAGGAGGCAAAGGTTGCAGTGAGCCGAGATCGCACCACTGCACTCCAGCCTGGGTGACAGAGCGAGACTCCGACTCAAAAAAAAAAAAAAAATTAGCCAAGTGTGTGGTGCATGCCTGTAGTCCCAGCTACTGGTGAAGGTGAGGGAAGATCCCTTGAGCCCAGGAGGTTGAGGCTACACTGAGCTATGATCACATCACTGCACTCCAGCCTGGGTGATGGAGTAAGACCCTGTCTCAAAGAATTAAAAAAAGCCGGGCACAGTGGCTCATGCCTGTAATCCCAGCAAATTGGGAGGCCGAAGTGGGTGGATCACCTGAGGTCAGGAATTCAAGACCAGCCTGGCCAACAAGGTGAAACCCCATCTCTACTCAAAATACAAAATTAGCCAAGTGTGGCATATGCCTGTAATCCCAGCTACTTGGGAGGCTGAGGCAGGAGAATCGCTTGAACTTGGGAGGTGGAGGTTGTAATGAGCTGAGATCGTGCCACTGCGCTCCAGCCTGGGCAACAAGAACGAAACTCCATCTCAAAAAAAAGAACTAAAATAATTTTTAATGGCAAATGTGATCTATATTTTATCATAATATCATAATAACAACAAAAAAAACTCTCTGGGTATCCATGTCCTGCTTGGGAGGTATTCATGAACTCCAGGGGCTTGAAGACCCCAGGACTCAGGGTGTTGAAAATATCTCACAATCAGTGCACAGCCGGCACCCCCCTAGAGCAGCATCCTGCCAGATGGCCCACTCGGATCCCATATCAGCCCGGCCCTGCCCATCACCTACCTGGGGGCATCTGGGGCTTAGCCAAGCCTGGAGATGAGGCTGGGGCGGTGGCAGAAGGTCCCTCCAGGGTGACCCTGGGCTCTGGGGCTGACGCGATTCTAGGGGCCGGCTGGGTGGGTGCAGGGCTGTAGGTAGGCGTGGACGCCGGGCCTTTTCCTATGGCCACTGGCGGCGGGATGTCCGCTTCGTCAATGGCATTGCCCTTACGGATGGAGGCGAGCAGGTTTTCCAGTGTCTAAGATAAGGCGTGAGTATTGGTTTGGGAGAAGCCAAGAGCTTGGTGCAGGGCATCGGGGTTGGCGGGGGGTCCCTGTACCCTGCCCTCTGCCCACTTACTTTAAGCCCCCGATCGTAGCGCCGCATCTTGGCGCTGTCTCCAGCTTGTCTGGCGCTTTCAATTGCTGTCTGATAGAGCGCCAGCCTCTCCTGCAAGGTGGTCTCCAGCCCCGGATGAGGGGCCTCAGGCTTCGGCTGTGGGAGGGCAGGGGCACAGTGTGGGTGGTGACCCCACTTGGGATGCCCCTGTTAGCCCCTTCTGCAGTAACAGTCGGCCCCATGTCATCCCTGGACCAGCCTCCCCTGCCCCAGTGAGGCAGAAATCATGGTCCCCATTTCCCAGTGGAGGGAATGGGGTTTCAGAAGCATCATGTCACCCACCTGATATGGGTCACATGGCTGTGAAGGATAAGGGTGGGCCAGGCGCGGTGGCTCACGCCTGTAATCCCAACACTTTGGGAGGCCAAGGCAGGTGGATCACTTGAGGTCAGGACCAGCCTGGCCAACACAGAGAAACACCATCTCTACCAAAAAATACAAAAATTAGCCAGGCGTGGTGGCACACACCTGTAATCCCAGCTACTGGGGAGGCTGAGGTGGGAGGATCCCTTGAACCTGGGAGGCAGAGGTTGTAGTGAGCTGAGATGGCACCACTGCACTCCAGCCTGGGTGACACAGCAAGACTCCATCTCATAAAAAAGGCTAGGTCTTGAACCCCGGGCTGTCCGTTGGGTTGTGGTTCAAGGGAGTGGAGTCATCCAAACTGTACCTGGGCCACAGGAGGTGGGGTCTCTGAAGCCTTCTGCTCCTCTCCAAGGACCTCATTTAGCTCCGCCTGCAGGGACACACAGCCAGGGCAGGATATAAGGGCCTGCTGGATGGGGGCAACCGGATCAGAGCCCCCACCCCGCCCTCAGTGCTCACCAGCAGGTCATCATCAGCCTCCAAGTCGTCCTCATCCGTCCCCTCCTCCTCATCCTCATCCGGGTCTCTCATGCACAGGCTGGCCATCTTCTCAATGGCCTCCATCGGCAAGGGACCTGGCGGTAGGGGGATGCCCCAGGTGGACCAGGGTCGTACACCAAGAGCCCCCATTTCCCATCCTGGACACGCTAGGTGATCCCACTTCTCGCTGACTTCCCCATTTCATCTCTTCCTTATTCAGCCTCAGGTCTGGGGCCTGGCTACCTGAATTCAAAACCCAGCTCTGCAGACCGGGCACAGTGACTCACGCCTATAATCCCAGCACTTTGGGAGGCCGAGGCAGAAGGATCACTTGAAGTCAGGCGTTCAAGACCAGCCTGGCCAACATGGTGAAACCCTGTCTCTACTAAAAATACAAAAATTAGGCTGGGCGCAGTGGCTCACGCCTGTAACCCCAGCACTTTGGGAGGCCGAGGCGGGTGGATCACAAGGTCAGGAGATCGAGACCATCCTGGCTAACACGGTGAAACCCCGTCTCTACTACAAATACAAAAAATTAGCCAGGCATGCTGGCGGGCGCCTGTGGTCCCAGCTACTCGGGAGCCTGAGGCAGGGGAATGGCGTGAACCTAGGAGGCGGAGCTTGCGGTGAGCCAAGATCGCGCCACTGTACTCCAGCCTGGGCGACAGAGCGAGACTCCGTCTCAAAAAAAAAAAAAAAAAAAAAAAAAAATTAGCTGGGCATGGTGGCGTGTAATCCCCGCTGCTAAAGAGGCTGAGGCAGGAGAATCACTTAAGCCCAGGAGGCAGAGGTCGCAGTGAGCTGAGATTGCGCCACTGCACTGCAGCCTGGGCAACAGAGCAAGGGTTTGTCTCCAAAAAAAAAAAAAAAAACACACACACACAACAACAACAAAAAAAACCCCAGCTCTGCAACTTTCTCTCTGTGAGAACTTCGGCAAGTGATGTCACCTCTCTGAGCCTCAGTTTCTCCCTCTGTGACACGGGGATGACAACAGTTCCTCCTTCATAGGTAGGTTGGAGCAGAGAAGGTCAATGAAGCTCTTAGAATAGCATATTGCCAATATCTTGTTATTAGTTATGTTACATTCTATAAAGCTGCTTTGAAGACTAAATTAATGACTATAAGACTGTTGCTCCTAGGGGAAATTTAAGCTTAGGTTCCTGTGAATCTCCAGTCATAACCTTTTTTGGAGACAGGATCTTGCTCTGTCACCCAGGCTGGAGTGCAGTGGCCCAATCAGAGCTCACTGCAGCCTCAAACTCTTGGCCTCAAGTGATCTTCCTGCCTCAGCCTCCCGAGTAGCTGGGATTACAGGCATGCACCACCACACCCAGCTCTGGTCACAAAATTTTAATCAACTGATCAATACACAACCTTGCTCTATGTGTGTTTCTGTTTGAAGACACCTTCCTGAATAGATATCGTTCATTCATTAACTTTGAATTCACAGCCAACAGCACAGTAGTTCATGCCTGAATGAAGCTTCTCTCTTTTTTGTTTTTTGGAAACAGGATCTTGCTCTGTCACCCAGGCTGGAGTGCAGTGGCGCAATCTCTGCCCACTGCAACTGCTGCCTCCTGGATTCAAGCGATTCTCATGCCTCAGCCTCCCAAGTAGCTGGGATTACAGGTGTTCGCCACCAAGCTTGGCTAATTTTTGTATTTTTAGTAAAGACAGGGTTTCACCATGTTGGCCAGGCTGGTCTCGAACTCCTGGCCCCAAGTGATCTGTCCACCTTGGCCTCCCAGAGTGCTGGGATTACATGCATGAGCCAATGTGCCTGGCTGACATGAGCTTATTGTGTGTGAGGGGGCCCTGGGTGAAATACTTATGGACTCCAGATTAACTCCTATAACATGGTTATTATTCCAGTTTTACAGATGGTGAAACTGAGGCCAAAGCACATGATGTGACTCATCAAGTCACATAACCAGTAAGTGGCAGAGCTCGGATTCCAACTCTCAGTCTCGGTCCAGACTTGATCTTTTTTTTTTTTTTTTTTTTTTTGAGACGGAGTCTTGCTCTGTCGCCCAGGCTGTAGCGCAGTGGTGCGATCTCGGCTCACTGCAAGCTCCGCCTCCCTGGTTCACGCCATTCTTCTGCCTCAGCCTCCTGAGTAGCTGGGACTACAGGCGCCCGCCACCACGCCCGGCTAATTTTTTTTTTTTTTTTGTATTTTTAGTAGAGACAGAGTTTCACCGTGTTAGCCGGGATGGTCTCAATCTCCTGACCTCATGATCTGCCTGCCTCGGCCTCCCAAAGTGCTGGGATTACAGGCGTGAGCCACCGTGCCCGGCCTCAGAGTCGATCTTGACTCTCTTACCCAGATCATTGGCTCCAGGAGAACAGGGGTCTTCTCTGTCTTCTTTCCCCTACCTACCCAGTGCCCCCAGTTCTGCGCCCGAACCACTTGCAGGAGATCAGAAAATGTTCTGAGGGTGTGTTAACCATCTCACCTTTGCCTTTGAGCTTCTCCAGGGCTGGGGGCTGGCCCCCGACCAAAGCCAAGAACTCAGCCTCCAGTTCTTCATCGTTAGCCCCGTCCTCAGGGATCATCAGGCCATCTGGGGAGAGGTCAACCAGCAGGCCCAGCTAGGGGAACAGCAAGGGTTCAGTCAGACCTTTGGTTCACCACATGGCTAGAGGCAGCCATGATGGCCAGAGAGTCCCCTTGGGAGGAAGGAAACAAGGTCTCCCAGGGAAAGCCATTTCCCTGGGGAGTGCCAGGAGGCTGGAACAAGCCCAGAACAGGTGTTCCAAGATAGGCCAGGCCCTCTGGCACAGTTCAACCTGGGGCAAAGGGCAAGAGACCCAGCTCTCTGATCTGAATCCACACTTATGATGTGCTGCTGGGCCAAGTTCAGTGGGAAAAGCAGGCCCCTGGCTGGGCGCAGTGGCTCACGCCTGTCATCCCAGCACTTTGGGAGGCCAAGGCAAGAGGATGGCTTGTGTCTGGGAGTTCCAGACCAGCCTGGGCAATACAGTGAGACCCCCAACTCTACAAAAAAAAAAAAAGTTTTTTGTTTTTTGTTTTTTTTTGACACAGAGTCTCGCTCTGTCACCCAGGCTGGAGTGCAGTGGTGCAGTCTCAGCTCACTGCAACCTCCGCCTCCGGGGTTCATGCCATTCTCCTGCCTCAACATCCCGAGTAGCTGGGACTACAGGCGCCCGCCACCACGCCCGGCTAATTTTTTTTTTGTATTTTTAGCAGAGACGGGGTTTCACCTTGTTAGCCAGGATGGTCTCGATCTCCTGACCTCATGATCTGCCCGCCTCGGCCTCCCAAAGTGCTGGGATTACAGGAAAAAAAACTTTTTAAAATTAGCTGGGAGTTGTGCTGTGTGCCTGTGGTCCCAGCTACTCGGGAGGCTGAGGCAGGAGGATCACTTGAGCCTGGGGAGATCAAGGCTGCAGTGAGCCATGACTGTGCTACGGCACTCCGCCTGGGCAACAGAGTAAAGCCCTGTTGAAAGGAAAGAAAGAAAGAGAGATGGAGCCGGGGAGGGAGAGAGGGAGGGAGGAAGGAGGGAAGGAAGGAAAAAAAGAAGGAAGCGAGGGAGGGAGGGAAGGAGGGAAGGAAGCAGGCTCCACACTTTGCCCAAAGCAAAGCTACTCTGTACACTTGGGCTTTTCTTTCCAGCATCCTCAGCAGAGGGGCTGTGTGGGAAGGTTGGGCTTCAAGAGCATGATGGCTGCATGCGGTGGCTCACGCCTGTAATCCAGGAGTTCGAGACCAGCCTAGCCAACATGGTGAAACCCCGTCTCTACTAAAAATACAAAAATTAGCTGGGAGTGCTGGCGGTGTCTGCAATCCCAGCTACTCGGGAGGCTGAGGCAGGAGAATTGCTTGAACCTGGGAGGTGGAGGTTGCAGTGAGCTGAGATTGCGCCACCAAACTCCAGCCTGGGCAACAGAGCAAGACTCTGTCTCCAAAAAAAAAAGAAGAGCAATTAGAAGCCCTGACGACAGGGCCAGGTGCAGTGGCTCACGCTTGTAATCCCAGCACTTTGGGAGACCAAGGTGGGGGGATCACCTGAGGTCAGCAGTTCGAGACTAGCCTGGCCAACATGGTGAAATCCCATCACTACTAAAAATACAAAAATTAGGCCGGGCACGGTGGCTCACGCCTGTAACCCCAGCACTTTGGGAGGCCGAGGCAGGCGGGTCACCTGAGATGGGGAGTTCGAGACAGACCAGCCTGACCAACAGGGAGAAACCCCGTCTCTACTAAAAAATACAAAATTAACCAGGCATGGTGGCGCATGCCTGTAATCCCAGCTACTCGGGAGGCTGAGGCAGGAGAATCGCTTGAACCCGGGAAGCGGAGGTTGCAGTGGGCCGAGATTGCGCCACTGCACTCCAGCCTGGGGCGAGAGAGCAAGACTCTGTCTCAAAAACAAACAAACAAAAAAAGAACCCCTAACCACAATGCAGGTTTGCCATGCAGACCCGTCTTCCTATCTTGGCTAATGACCAATCATGATGTGATAACATCGTGTTTAACCATATGAAATTGCCTTTCCTGTAGGTAAAAAATGGCCAAATATTGGCAATTATGTATGGTTCCACCAACTAGTAATAATGATAATAGTAACATTTATTGAGTGCTATGTTCTAGCACTTTCCATAAACTATCTCAATGACTCTCTACAACTGTCCTGTAATGTAGGGTCTCTTGGAGGTCTCCATTTTTAATTTTTTATTTATTTATTTATTTTCAGAAGGAATTTATTTATTTATTTTGAGAAGGAGCCTTGCTCTGTCACCCAGTCTGGAATGCAGTGGCGCGATCTCAGCTCACTGCAACCTCCGCCTCTCGGTTCAAGCGATTCTCCCACCTCAGCCTCCCGAGTAGCTGGGATTACAGGTGCCCGCCACCATGCCCAGCTAATTTTTGTATTTTTAGTAGAGATGGGGTTTCGCCATGGCCTCCCAAAGTGCTGGGATTACAGGTGTGAGACACCACCCCGGACTTCCATTTTTAATTTTTTATCTTTATTTTAGAGAAAGAGTCTTGTTCTGTCACCCAGGCTGGAGCAGAAGTAGCGCAATCATAGCTCACTGCGGTCTTGAACTCCTGGGCTCAAGCAATCCTCCCTTCTTAGCCTCCCAAGTAGTAGTACTACAGGCACATGCCACCATGCCCAGTTAGTCTTTTTTTGTCGAGACGGGGGTCTTGCTTTTGCCCAGGCTGGTCTCAAACTCTGGCCTCAAATGACTCTCCCACCTCTGCCTCCGCCTCCATCTCCTGAAGTGCTGGGATTATAGAGATCTCCATTTTACAGATGAGAAAGCTGAGGCTCAGAGCTGTAAAGTCAAGTGTCCGATGTACAGAGGCCAGGAGGGAACTTCAGGTCAGCCAGACTCTAATATCTGAACACCAAGCTATGTCCTGGGCTCCTTCCATCAAAACTGAGAAAAATCAAACTATCTGGTGCCTGGGGCAAAGAAGTCGGGAGAGTGAGAAGGGGTCCAGCCACAGTGCCATAAGCTTATGGCTGCAGCCCTGGATTTGTGCTTAGCCCTGGCCAAGCTGTTAATCCCTATGACCTTGGGCAGATGTCTTCACGTCTCTGAGTCTCAAAGTCCTCATCTGTACAATGGAATAAAAAGAGTCTGACATGGCCCGACTGATGCAAGGGTTTGATGTGTCAAGTCCGAGGACTGCCCCTCCTCGACTGGAGCAGCTGTGGCAACAGGTGGCCCCGAACCCGGGGCAGGGCCCCAGGAGCTGGGGAGCCAAGGCCAGTAGGCCACACTTGGGTGGTGTTGGAGCCTCACCTGGGGGGAGGCGGGGACCGGGGCTTACCTGTGGGGCGGAGATCGGGCTTCCCTGGGGGGTGGGGCCCTTCCCTGAGCGAGTGACGGGGGTGGGGAGGGATCCCCAGGTCGGGCCGTGGGGCGCAAACTCACCTGGCGGGCGGCCGCGGCGCCTCTGCCCGGGGGTCCCGGGGGTCCTTTCCTCTTGTGCATCTTCAAGGCTGGATGCCCGGACCACCTGCCCCCAAGCCCGGCCTTGCCCTGCCTCCTTCCCCGGGCTCTGTCGCCGCGCACTCGCCCTTCCTGAGTCCTGCACTCCTCGTCGGCGCCCCGCGGCCGTCGATCCCGAGCCCTCGCTTCCCTGCTTGGCCGTCCCACTTCCGCCTCGGGCCTCGGGCGCCGCCGCACCGGAGCGCGGCCACTGGGCTCGCCGGGTCTGCCGAGCCGAAACTACAACTCCCGGCAGGTAGTGCGTGGGCGCGCAGGCGCCTGGCTGGGGCGGTGCTGACTGTCGCGGGCTGCGAGGGCGGTGTTTGCGTCGCTCATGCGCGGGGCGGGACCTCGCGGGGCGCGGGAAAGAGGCAGAGCGCGCGCAGGTGTGAGGGGCGGCGACATCTGTGGGGTTCAGAGCGTCTGTCAGTCACCGACGGGCTCCGGCTTCACGTGGGCTCTCGGCCTGTGGAGTCCTCACTTCTCGGTGGTCGGCGTAGTGTCAGTGTGGGGCTTGTCACCGGGAGCGGGGTCTACAGCGCCCACCCTCAGGCCTTTCCATCTTTCACCTCCGGACTCGAGGCCTCCAGCGTTCTGTGAGGGCCAATTTGGCCATTTATTTTTTCCAAAAAGAGTAACGCGGATAATTCAAGCGACTTATTCCCAACTGATCCAGGCAGAGCTCGTTTCTGATAAGGACAGAGGGTCCTCAACGACTTCTGTGGCCCAGGTCCGTTCTGGTTTGCCTCGCCCCCAAGGCTGGGAGAAACCGGCCTATGGCAGCTCTTTCCCCTCCAAGGACCCAGCTGTCCCCTTTAAAGTGGCACGATCTTGGCTCATTGCAACCTCTGCCTCCTGGCCTTGTACCACAGCCTCCTGAGTAGCTGGGATTACGGGTGTGTGCCACCGCACCTGACTAATTTTTTTTTTTTTTTTTGAGACGGAGTCTCGCTCTGTCGCCCAGGCTGGAGTGCAGTAGAGCGATCTCGGCTCACTGCAACCTCTGCCTCATGGGTTCAAGGAATTCTACTGTCTCAGCCTCCCAAGTAGCTGGGATTACAGGTGTGCGTCACGATGCCCAGGCTAATTTTTGTGTTTTTAATAGAGAGGGGGTTTCACCATATTGGCCAGGCTGGTCTCCAGAGGCCCCTGGAGAGTCCTCAAGTGTCCTTGGAAGGGCCCCCAGATACCCCAGTCTGGAGGGAGGGGCTTCACACAGGCTGTTTCATCCTAGGGACCAGAGTCTGGGTCCCCGGGGCTATCTATAAGGACCCCCCAGGGCCCATTTGTCTTTCAGGTCCTGGGCATAAGATCTTCAGTTTGGAGGAGGTTTGAATTCCTACCTGGCCATGGCCCAAAGTGGCTGTGACTCTGTGTCCCATCCTGTGTCCCAGTGGGAGCCATCTGACCCCTGGGGCAGCCAAATGGGCTGAGGTGGAGGTAGGGGTAACCTCTGCTCTCAGCCAAAGCCACTGGATATAAACAGAGACAGAGACTGCTTATAATGATGAGAGATTTTGCTTGTTTTCAGATTTCTCAAGGGGAAGATAAAATGACTAAGAGGAAGAAGCTGCGGACCTCAGGTACGTTCATTCAAATGGACACTTGTTGATTTCTGCTTCTGCTTGTGGGAAGAATGTGGGCTTGTTTATTGCAGATCTGGCTAACACGACTGCCTTAACCTCCTTAAAAGGAAGCAAGGATTGGCCGGGTGCGGTGGCTCACACCTGTAATCTCAGCACTTTGGGAGGCCGAGGCGGGCAGATCACAAGGTCAGGAGTTCAAGACCAGCCTGACCAACATGGTGAAACCCCGTCTCTACTAAAAATACAAAAATTAGCCAGGTGTTGTGGCACATGCCTGTAGTCCCACCTACTCGGGAGACTGAGGCAGGAGAATCGTTTGAACCTGGGAGTCCGATGTTGCAGTGAGCCAAGATGGTGCCACTGCACTCTAGCCTGGGCAACAGAGCAAGACTCTGTCTCAAAAAAAAGAAAAAGACAAAAAGGATTTAATTCATGCTGGTAAGAAAAATAGAAGGCCGGTGTGGTGGCTCACGCCTGTAATCCTAGCACTTTGGGAGGCCGAGGTGGGCGGATCGCTTGAGTCCAGGAGTTCAAGACCAGCCTGGGCAACATAGCGAGATCCTGTCTCTACAATGTAAAGTAAGGAAATTAGCTGGGCGTGGTGGCAGGCACCTGTAGTCCCAGCTACTCAGGAGGTTGAGGCAGGAAGATTGCTTGAACTGGGAGGTGGAGGTTGCAGTGAATCCAGATCGTACCACTGCACTCCATCCTGACTGATAGATTGAGGCCCTGTCTCAAAAAAAAAAAGAAAGAAAGAAAAATAGAAATAACGGAGAGGGCATACAGGAAAAGTAAAAGTGAAAGTTTTCTGGAGCTTCTGCAAGCCTCTGGTGGGGTCCCACAGCTTAGAGGAGGCCTCCCCGGGCTTCAGGGCAGCGGGACAGCCTCCCTGCGGAACCAGTCCCAGAGATGACCCCTGGAATAATGCTTGATGTACTACAAGGCCACTCGGTATGTGGCTGAGTGTTTTACTCTGGGGCCCAAAACCTGGGTTCATCCCAGTTCTGCTCAGTGTGTGGTGGTGGATGATTTCCTCTGTGCCACAGTTTCCCCTTTTGTAAATTGGGGATAATAAAAGCCACTACCCTTTCCTTTAGAGCAGTGTTTCTCAACTAGGTGAGAGGAAGGGATTTTGACCTCCAGAGACAGCTGGCAATGTTTGGAGACTTTATTTTTTTTTTTTTTGGAGACCAAGTCTGACTCTGTCGTCCAGGCTGGAGTGCAGTAGCAAGATCTTGGCTCACTGCAGCCTCCACCTCCTGGGTTCAAGCGATTCTGCAGCCTCAGCCTCCTAAGTAGCTGGGACTACAGATGTGCACCACCACGCCCGCCTAATTTTTGTATTTTTAGTAGGGATAGGGTTTCACAATGTTGGCCAGGCTGGTCTCAAACTCCTGACCTCAGGTGATCTGCCTGCCTCAGCCTCCCAAAGTGCTGGGATTACAGGTGGGAGCCACCGTGCCCGGCCTAGAGACTTTTTTTGGTTTTCATAACTGGGGAAATTATACTGACATCTAGTGGGTGGAGGCCAGGGATGCTGCTCAAATATCCTACCATGCATAGGATGCCCCCCAGCCACAGAGAATGATCCAGCCCCAAATGTCCTCCAAGGTGAAGAATCCTGCCCTTAGAGCTCACATGTGGATTAGTATCTGTAAAGCACCCAGAACTGACCTAAGGTAGTACACAAATGTACACTGCTGTTAACAATTCTTCTTCCAGACTTTTAAGAAAACTTTTATTTTGAAGTAATCTGGGACTTAAAGAAAAGTTGCAAAAATAATTCAGAGAGTTCTAGCTACCCTTCTCCAAGCTTTCCCTAATGTTGACATCTAGCATAGCCATAGGACAGTGATCAACTGTAGAACAGCATGAAAAACAGGACAGGACTCTAACCTCGGTACACTGCTTCTAGACTTTTTTTTTTTTTTTTGAGACGGAGTTTCGCTCTTGTTGCCCAGGCTGGAGTGCAGTGGCGCGATCTCGGCTTACTGCAACCTCCACCTCCCAAGTTCAGGCGATTCTCCTGCCTCAGCCTCCCAAGTAGCTGGGATTACAGGCACCCACCACCATGCTGAGCTAATTTTTGTATTTTTTTAGTAGAGTCAGGGTTTGGTCAGGCTGGTCTTGAACTCCCAACCTCAGGTGATCTGCCCGTCTTGGTGTCCCAAAGTGCTGGGGATACAGGAGTAGGCCACCGCGCCCAGCCCAGACTTTTTTGTTTTTGTTTTTGAGACAGAGTCTTGATCTTGTTGCCCAGGCTGGCGCGATCTCGGCTCACCGCAACCTCTGCCTCCTAGATTCAAGCAATTCTCCTGCCTCAGCCTCCCAAGTAACTGAGATTACAGGCATATGCCACCATGCCCAGCTAATTTTTTTGTATTTTTAGTAGAGATGGGGTTTCTCCATGTTGGTCAGGCTGGTCTCGAACTCCCAACCTCAGGTGATCCGCCCATCTCGGCCTCCCAAAGTGCTGGGATTACAGGCATGAGCCAGCGCGCCCAGCTCAGACTTTTTTTTAAGATGATGTCTCACTCTGTTGCCCAGACTGGAGTGCAGTGGCACGATCTTGACTCACTGCAGCCTCCGCCTCCTGGTTTCAAGCGATTCTCTTGCATCAGCCTCCTGAGTAGCTGGGATTACAGGTGTCTGCCACCACGCTCAGATAATTTTTGTATTTGTAGTAGAGATGGGGTTTCACCATGTTGCCCAGGCTGATCTTGAACTCCTGGCCTCACATGATCTGCCCGCCTCAGCCAAAGTGCTGGGATTACTGGAGTGAGCCACCATACCCAGCTTTTTTTTTTTTCTTTTTTTCGAGACAGAGTCTTGCTTTGTCGCCCAGGCTGGAGAGCAGTGGCACAATCATAGCTCGCTGCAGCCTCGACCTCCCCAGGCTCAGGTGATCTTCCCACCTCAGCCTCCGGAATAGCTGGGACTACAGGTGTGTGCCACCATGACTGGCTAATTTTTGTATTTTTTGGAAGAGACGAGGCCTCACTATGTTGCCCAGGCTGGTCTTGAACTTCTGGGCTCCAGCAGTCCACCTGCCTTGGCCTCCCAATGTGCTCAGAATTACAGGCATGAGCCACCATGCCTGGTCAGACTTTTTCTGTATATATACAGATACAGTGTTGAGCTTTTTTCTTTTTTTTTTTTTTGGAGACAGTCTCACTCTGTCACCCAGGCTGGAGTGCAGTGGCACGATTTTGGTTCACTGTAACCTCTGCCTCCTGGGTTCAAGTGATGCTCATGCCTCAGCCTCCTGAGTAGCTGGGATTACAGGTACCTGCCACCATGCCTGGCAAATTTTTGCATTTTTAGTAGAGACGGGGTTTCACCATGTTGGCTAGGCTGCTCTCTAACTCCTGACTTCAAGTTATCCGCCTGCCTCAGCCTCCCAAAGATTACAGGCATGAGCCACCGTGCCTGGCCCAGATAAAATGTTTTTATTGGAAAATCGAATCATCACACTTACTGATCTGCAACCTCCATTTTTCACTTTGTGGTAGATCATGACCATGTTTACTTGTCAACATACCTATACAATTTCATCATTTGAAAAGAAAAACACCCCAAAATAGCCAGGCTTGGTGGTACGCACCTGTACTCCAGGCTACTTGGGAGGCCGAGGTGAAAGGATTGCCTGAGACCAGGAGTTCATGACCAGCCTGAGCAACATAATGTTACCCAGTCTCTAAAAAAAAAAAAAAATTTTAATTAACCAGTGTGGTGGTGCCTACCTGTAGTCCTGGCTACTTGGGAGATTGAGGCAGGAGGATGGCTTGAGCTGAGGAGTTCCAGGCTGCAGTGAGCTATGATTGCGCCTGCACTCCAGCCTGGGCCACAGAACAAAACCCTGTCTCTTAGAAAAAAAGAAAGATTGTTGGGCACGATGGCTCATGCCTGTAATCTGAGCACTTTGGGAGGCCGAGGCAGGTGGATGGATCATTTGAGGTCAGGGTTCGAGACCAACCTGGTCAACATGGTGAAACCCCATCTGTACTAAAAACACAAAAATTAGCCGGGCATGGTGGCATGTGTCTGTAATCCCAGCTACTTGGGAGGCTGAGACACGAGACTCGCTTGAGCCCAGGAGAGCTGAGATTGCACCACTGCACTCCAGCCTGGGCGACAGAGTGAGACTCTGTCTAAAAAAAAAAAGGAACAAACCAAGTCAGAAAGACAAACTCCCAATATGATGTAGTAGAGTTCCATTTGCCTATCATTTTCTAAAGTAAGTTAAATTTCTTCAAAATTTTGAAATGACTTTTTAATTTAGTGGCTGATGAATTTAGGGAATGGTGTGCATGTTTTTTCCCCCAAGATATGGGACAGGAGAGGAAATGATCAGCAGATTGAACATGTTTTGTGCAGAGATGAGCAACAGGCTGCTTGGAGGCATCAGAATTTCTCTGACCTTGGAGGGGGAAGCTGGGGACAGCCAGGTCCACCCACAGCAGGTCACTTGGGGCCTCTGTTGGCGGTAGACTCCCCAGCTCAGTGGACCTCTGGGCTGGCCCTGGACAACCCTTTCTGTGTGTGCTGGAAGGGTGGAGAGAGAGGAAGAAAATTCTGGCAGGTGGTGAAAGAGGCCTTTTCCCTCCCAATGTCTTTAGTCTTTGGTGTCGAACACAAGGTTCTGCCTTATTTTTTCTTAAATTAGTCCCATGTGGACAGATCACAGGAAGGAAAGAGAAGACTCTTCAATGCCATTGATATTTTTTTGCTTTTTATTTGGTACAAATGGCCATTCAGTCAGCCAAGTGAGCAAGTGTTTGAGAATCTCAAGAAACCAAATAAACAAAGCAGCTATATTTTGTCTTTTCTGGCAGACCACAAGGTCGTGTTTCTTTTGAGACAGAGTCTTGCTCTGTCACCCAGGCTGGAGTGCAGTGGTGCAGTCTTGGCTTACTGCAACCTCCGCCGCCTGGGTTCAAGTGATTCTCCTGCCTCAGCCTCCTGATTAGCTGGGACTACAGGTGCCCACCACCACACCTGGCTAATTTTTTGTATTTGTAGTAGAGACAGGGTTTCACCATGTTGGCCAGGCTGGTCTTGAACTCCTGACCTCAAGCAATCTGCCCACCTCACCCTCTCAACGTGGTGAGATTACAGGCATGAGCCACTGCACCCGGACGGTTAGGAATGTGTTTCTATAAGCAATGTCCATCGGAGCTTTACTTGTGGTGGTACATCCTTTGAGGTGGGCACCTGATGGGGCAGGGCAGGGCGAAGGGGAGATCAAAGGGTGCATTGCACTCAGTTCCTGCCCTGGAGATCCTCCAGCTGTAGTCAGAGGACAAAGGAAAATGCTTCTCTCAGCGAGAGCTAAGCAAATACACAGCAGTGGGATAAAGTTCTAAACGGGCACTCCCGAACTGTAACTGACAGAATTACAAGCAACTTACCGTGCGCCATGGCTCACACCTGCATTCCCAGCACTTTGGGAGGCCAAGGCAGACAGATCACTTGAGATCAGGAGTTCAAAACCAGTGTGGCCAACGTGGTGAAAACCCGTCTCTACTGAAAATACAAAAAAATTAACCAGGCATGGTGGCTTGCACCTGTAGTCGCAGCCAATCAGGAGGCTGAGGCAGGAGAATTGCTTGAACCCAGGAGGCAGAGGTTACAGTGAGCTGAGATCATGCCACTGTACTCTAGCCTGGGCAACAGAGCGAGAGTCCATCTCAAAAAAAAAAAAAAAGAAGAAGAAGAAGAATTAGAAGCAATTACAGGAAGATTGCTGTGGTTTAGTGGAGGGCAAACAGCTGAATGGGGACTGATGCAGACCCTAGCAATTGGCGTCGAGGAAAGAGAGACTCATTCAGTAGGTTTACTTCACGATGTGTAAGTGTGTAATGTAGAGCTGAGGTTGGAAAGAGTCCATCTGGGGTTTGGATAGTGTTATTCTTTTTTTTTTTTTTTTTTTTTTGAGATGGAGTTTCACTCTTGTTGCCCAGGCTGGAGTGCAATGACGCGATATCGGCTCACTGCAACCTCCGCCTCCCGGGTTCAAGCGATTCTCCTGCCTCAGCCTCCTGAGTAGCTGAGATTACAGGCATGAGCCACCATGCCCGGCTAATTTTGTATTTTTAGTAGAGACAGGGTTTCTCCATGTTGGTCAGGCTGGTCTTAAACTCCCGACCTCAGGGGATCCGCCCGCCTCAGCCTCCCAAAGTGCTGGGATTACAGGCATGAACCACTGCGCCTGGTCCTGGATAGTGTTATTCTTTAGTGTTTTTTTTAGAGATAGGATCTAGCTCTGTTGCTGAGGCCAGAGTGCAGTGGCACAATCACGGCTTGCTGCAGCTTCAACCTCCAGGGCTCAAGCAATCCTCCTGCCTCAGCCTCCTGAGTAGCTGAGACTACAGGTGCATGCCACCACCCTCAGCTAATTTTTAAATGTTTTATAGAGGTGGGATCTCACTGTGTTACCCAAGTGAGATCCTGGACTCAAGTGATCCTACCCCCTCAGCCTCCTGAGTAGCTGGGACTGCAGGTGTGCACCACCACACCTGGCTGTTGGTTTGTCTTTTTGTTCTGCCTGCCTTGGCAGAAATCTACTACATAGTAGGCATTCAGTAAATGCTCAAGTATTCTTAAGTGTGCTGGTTCTGGAGTTGGACGGGGTGCCAGCCTTGGTTCCTGGGCCTCTGTGTGCCTTAACGTTTTCACCTCTCTGGGAACTTGGGGCCCTTGGGTGTCAATTCTCGCATCTTTCCTTTCCTTTTAATTTAATTTAATTATTTATTTTTTTGAGATGGAATCTCACTCCCTTGCCCAGGCTGGAGTGCAGTGGCGCCATCTTGGCTCATTGCAACCTCAGCCCCCCGGATTCAAGCGATTCTCCTGCCTCAGCCTCCCAAGTAGCTGGGATTACAGGTGCCCACCACCATGCCCAGCTAACTTTTGCATTTTTAGTAGAGATGGGGTTTTGCCATATTGCCCTTTTATTTATTTATTTTAATTTAAATGTTTAATTTAAATGTTTTTTTGAGACAGGCTCTAGTTCTGTTGCCCAGGCTGGAGTGCAGTGGCACAGTCTGGACTCATTGCAATCTCTTCCTCTGGGCTCAAGTCATCCTCCCCCTTCAGCCTCCCAAGTATGTGGGACTGCAGGCATGCACCACCATGTTTGGCTAATTTTCGTACTTTTTAGACAGGGTTTCGCCATGTTGCCCAGGCTGGTCTTGAACTGCTGAGCTTAAGCAATCCACCTGCCTCGGCCTCCCAAAGTCCTGGGATTACAGGCTGGCATCTTTCCTTGCTGGTGGCAAAGGCCAATATTTTAATCATGGACAAAGATAATATTGAATTGCTCAAGGTACTTCTGTAAGGCAGGCATAACAGCAGCACCCTGCCTTGAGCTTTTATCTTAACACACACAAGTTCTTAGGACAGCATCTGGTGTGGAACTCACTAGAGTCAACCCTTATCATTTGTTCACTGAATGCATGATTAGGTTGGGGCCAGGCTTGGGGAAGTCTTACAAGCCAGCCACTATTGAAAGTTTTGATGTGGCTGGGCACGGTGGCTCATGTCTGTAATCCCAGCACTTTGGGAGGCCGAGGCGGGCGGATCATGAGGTCAAGAGATCGAGACCATCCTGGCCAACATGGTGAAACCCTGTCTCTACTAAAAATACAAAAATTAGCTGGGTGTGGTGGTGCGTGCCTGTGGTCTCAGCTACTCAGGAGGCTGAGGCAGGAGAATCACTTGAACCCGGGAGGCAGAGGTTGCGGTGAGCAGAGATCGTGCCATTGCACTCCAGCCTGGTGACAGAGCGAGACTCTGTCTCAAAAAAAAAAAAAAAAAGTTTCGATGTAAGGGAGTTTTCTTAATTCAAAAGATAGATTCTGGCGAGGCAAAGTGGTTCATGCCTGTAATTCCAGCACTTTGGGAGGCCGAGACAAGAGGATCACTTGAGCGCCAGAGTTCACGACCAGCCTGGGCAACATATGAGACCCTGTCTCAACAAAACAAAAGCAAAAGAAAACTTAGCCAGGCATGGTGGCACACACCTTTTGTCCCAGCTACTTGAGTGGCCTGAGGTGGGAGGATGGCTTGAGCCTATGAGGTCAAGACTGCAGTGATCCACAGTTGCACCACCTCACTCTAGCCTGGGAGACAAAGCCAGACCCTGTCTTAAAAAAAGAAAAAATATATATATAGTATATATAATACATAAATACATATATGTAAATACGTATGTATAAATACATATGTATGTATAAATACATATGTATAAATATATATATTTACATATTTGGCTGAGGCTGAATCCTGAGGTGGCGTGGCCTGGCTTTAGATCACATGGAACAACCTGGCAATATAATGGGATATATAATATATATAGTATATATTTAATAAATATATATCATATATAAATATATAATATAATACAAGGATATAATGTTTATAATATATTAATATATCATAAATATATAATTTAAATAATATATTTTATAATTATAAATATGCAATATGTAAATACATTATAATTATATATTTTATATGTATGTATATATTAAATATGAATATGTATGTATTTTATATATGATATATAATATATATTAATTTTTTTTTGAGACAGAGTCTCGCTCTGTCAACCAGGCTGGAGTGCAGTAGCGCAATCTCAGCTCACTGCAACTTCCGCCTACCAGGTTCAAGCGATTCTCCTGCCTCAGCCTCCCAAGTAGCTGGGACTATAGGTGGGTGCCACCATGCCCGGCTAATTTTTGTATTTTCAGTAGAGACGGGGTTTTGCCATGTTGGCCAGGCTGGTCTTGAACTCCTGACCTTAGGTGATCCACCCGCCTCGGCCTCCCAAAGTGCTGGGATTATAGGCGTGAGCCACTGCGCTATATATACAAAGATGTCAATAAGCATCTTTAGCCTCTTAAATGCCAGAAGAAGACACATCGCAATTGCTTTCAGTGATGGGGAAGTTAGTGCAGAAATGCAAGGGGCCAGGACGTGGCCAAAGCATCACCTCTTCAGCACCCGGTGGCTGTGAGTCCCAGTTTTCCCAGGATGGCTATTTTGCAGATGTCTCAGCACATTAGAATGGTACATAATTTAGTCTTGTCTGCCCTTGGTGGTGTGCATTTATCCAGTCATGGATAATTTATTTATTGAGCACCAACAGTGTACAAGATGCTCTTACAGGCACTTGGGACCCCGCAGAGAGTGAAATGGATTCGGCCCCTTCTCGCGTGCAGCCTGGTTGTAGTGGGGGAGACCTGAGTTGTCAGCCATGAGCAGTGGCTGTATCCCCCACCCCTTCATCTTCCTCTGTCTCTAAAACAGGAGAGGGACTCTGTCCTCCAAAACCCCTAAAGAACCCAAGGCTAGGAGACTTCTATGGGGACCCCCAGAGTTCCATGTTGGGCTGTTTACATCACCCTGAGGAGCCAGAGGGCAAATTGGGACCTGTTCCCTCTACACAGCAGCACGGGGAGGAACCAGGAAAGGCCGTCTCCAGGTAGGTGGCTCTGAACATTCCGGCAGGTCTCCCCACTGACAGTCCACATAGCACAGCAGCTCAGCAGACAGCAATGCTTTGGGAAAGAGACCCACAACCTATCTAGTGCTGTGACCCACTCCCTCCCAGAGCTCAGGGCCCTCGGATCTCGCTTCTCCTAGCTTTCCTCGCTGGTAAGAAGGGTTGATGTTTTAGCCGGGCATGGTGGCTAATGCCTGTAATCCCAACACTTTGGGAGGCCGAGGGGGGAAGATCACTTGAGGTCACGAGTTTGAGACAAGACTGGCCAACACTGCAAAACCCCGTCTCTACTAAAAATACAAAAATTAGCTGGGTGTGGTGGCGCACCTGTAATCCCAGATACTCAGGAGGCTAAGGCAGGAGAATCGACTGAACCCAGGAGGCAGAGGTTGCAGTAAGCTGAGATCATGCCACTACGCTCCAGCCTGGGCAACAGCGAGACTCCATCTAAAAAAAGAAAAAAAAGTTTTAACTGTGGGCAAAGATAACATTGCATTTTTCAGGGTTACAGAACTCATATTCTGTCTGCTGGTCAAACCCATCCTTCTTCCACATTCCTCCTCTTCCTTAATCAAGAAGGGAACAAAGGAATTGTTGTTATGTGAGCTAACGACCAATAAAAAAAGAAAAGCAATCAGGGCTGAGTGCAGTGGCTCATGCCTATAATCCCAGCACACTGGGAGGCTGAGGCAAGAGGATCGCTTGAGCCCAGGAGTTCAAGAGGAGCCTGTGTAACATAACAAGGATGACCCCATATCTACAAGAAATAAAATAATTAGCCAAAACAAAACGATATACATATCCTTATTTATTTATTTATTTATTTGAGACAGGGTCTTTCTCTGTCACCCAGGCTGGAGTGCAGTGGCACAATCTCGGCTCACTGCAACCTCCACCTCCCGGGTTCAAGCGATTCTCCTGCCTCAGCCTCCTGAGTAGCTGGGATGAAAGGCGCCCGCCACCACACCCAACTAATTTTTGTATTTTTAGTAGAGACGGGGTTTCACCATGTTGGCCAGGCTGGTCTCGAACTCCTGACTTAAGGTGATCCGCCCGCCTCGGCCTCCCAAAGTGCTGGGATTACAGGCGTGAGCCACCACGCCTGGCCCTTATTTATTTAAATATAACCCTAAGTTTCACTAGTTTTTAAAGACACTATGTTTCTTGCATCCACAATTTCCTTTCCCTAGAATGTGCCGTGTCAGGGCTGGAGTGTCCGTCCAAATGAGAATATCCCTATTCCCAGTTCAGAAGGCAATTCCTGGGATTATAAATGTAACAAAGTCACCTGTTAAGGCAGTGTATTCTCCAGGTGGGACTCTGCACCCTCCTTGACAGTTAAATGTTCTCAGGTCACTGCTTCTCCATCCCCATCCCACTCTTTCAAAGCAGGTTTTCCAGGGCCTTCCATCTAGCAGACATTTTTTTTTTTTTGAGATAGGGTCTTGCTCTGTCACCCAGGCTGGAGTGCAGTGGCGTGATCATAGCTCATTGCAGCCTGAACTCCCCTGGCTCAGATGATCGTGACATTTCAGCCTCTCAAGTAGCTGGGGCCACAGGCACACATCACCACGTCCAGCTAATTTTTAAATTTTTTGTAGAAAAGGGGTCTCACTATGTTGCTCAGGCTGGTCTCAAACTCCTGGGCATCCACCCACCTCAGCTTCCCACAGTGCTGGGATTAAAGGGATGAGCCACCACGCCCAGCCTAGGAGACTCTTAGCACTGGTTTCCTGTTGGATTTTGTTTTGCGTTTGTCTCGATAGGTGAGTGACAACCTAGGAGGATTTCAGATCCCCCTCGTTTGTTTGTTTTTGACACAGAACCTTGTTCTCTCACCTAGGCTGGAATGCAGTAGCACAATCTTGGCTCACTGCAAACACCATCTCCTGAGTTCAAGCCATTCTGCCTCAGCCTCCCAAGTAGCTGGGATTACAGGCGTGCGCCACCACATCCAGCTAATTTTTGTATTTTTAGTAGAGATACGGTTTCACCATGTTCCCCAGGTTGGTCTCGAACTCCTGGCCTCGGTGATCTGCCCGCCTCAGCCGCCCAAAGTGCTGCAATTACAGGTGTGAGCCACCGCACCCGGGCAGATCTCCTTCAGTTTTATCTTTTCCTACATAGCTCCCCTGATGAGGAAACAGGATCTCCCTGCCGGCTCCTCCGTCAACCAGAAAAGGAGCCAGCTCCCCTTCCTCCTTCCCAGGTGAGCTCGTCCTGTGGCCTCGTGGATATAGAAGCACCACTGCCTCCCTTAAAGTTCCGGCTCTGTGTCTCCCTTCTTTGTCACCAATTGCTCACTCATGGTCTACAGGGGCTGGAGGGAATGTGCCCAGAGGGCAAGGGTGGAGTTCTCTCAAGGCTACAAGAAAGGAGCAGGTTTGGGGTTGCTTTTTTCCTAAGACCTCATTCCTCTCTTATCTTTATTGCTGCTTTGTTCTTGTATCCGGTTTACAGAACTCATTCGGGAGGTTTGTTCCCCAGTTTGCAAAATCCAGGAAGACAGTGACAAGAAAAGAAGAGATGAAGGATGAGGACCGTGGGAGTGGGGCCTTTAGCCTGGTAAGGCTCTAAAATCAGCCAGGCTGAGCCCAGCGCAGGTGCAGCCTCCTGGCCCAGCCTCGGCAGCCCCATTTAACCCTGGAGTTCTTTGGCAATGGTGAGGCCTGCACCTCTCCACCCACCGTTTTCAGTACATTGCGCTATGGATGTGTGTTGACTATGCAACAATTCTTTATTTTATTTTTTTTCTTTTTTTTGAGACAGAGTTTCACTCTTGTCACCCAGGCTGGAGTGCGATGGTGCCATCTTGGCACACTGCAACCTCTGCCCCACTGGGTTCAAGCAATTCTCCCGCCTCAGCCTCCCAAGTAGCTGGGATAACAGACGCCTGCCCACCGCGCCCAGCTAATTTTTGTATTTTTAGTAGAGACGGGGTTTTACCATGTTGGCCAGCCTGGTCTTGAACTCCTGACCTCAGGTGATCTGCCCGCCTCAGCCACCCAAAGTGCTGGGATTACAGGCATGAGCCACTGCGCACGGCCTTAGCACAATTTTTAAAAAAACACAAAATGGTACAGAGTGAATTTCCGGTGTTCTCTGTTTTAGCTTCACCGAGTGGTAACACCATGCATAACTATAGTCCATCACCAAAACTAGGCAATTGGCCAGGTGCAGTGGCTCATGCCTATGATCCCAACACTTTGGGAGACTTCCCTTGACCAGCCTGGGCAACATGGCAAGACTCTGTCTCTACAATAATTTTTTTTTTTTTTTGAGATGGAGTCTTGCTTATCGCCCAGGTTGGAGTGCAGTGGTGTGATCTCGGCTCACTGCAGCCTCCACCTCCTGGGTTCAAGTGATTTTCCTGCCTCAGCCTCCCCAGTAGCTGGGACTACAGGTGCACACCACCACACCTGGCTTATTTTTGTATTTTTATTAGAATAGGGGTTTCACCCTGTTGGCCAGGCTGGTCTCGAACTCCCAACTTCAAATGATCCGCCTGCCTCGGCCTCTCAAAGTGCTGGGATTACAGGCATGAGCCACTGCGTCCAGGCTACAATAATTGTTTTAAAACTTGGCCAGGTGCAGTGGCTCCCACCTGTAATCCCAGCACTTTGGGAGGCCGAGGCAGGAGGATCACTTGAGCCCAGGCATTCAAGACCAGCCTGGGCAACATGGCACAACGCCATCTCTACCAAAAAAACCACAAAATTTAGCCAGTTGTGGTGTGTACCTGTAGTCCCAGCTACTTAGGAGGCTGAGGTGGGAGGGTCGTCTGAATCTAGGAAGGTCAAAACTACAGTGAGCCGTGATCACACCACTGCACTCCAGCCTGGACGAAAGAGTGAGACCCTGTCTCAAAATTATGAAAAATAAATAATAAAAATAATAATAGCCGCTGGGCGCAGTGGCTCATGCCTTTAATCCCAGCACTTTGGGAGGCCGAGATGGGCAGATCACCTGAGGTCTGTAGTTTGAGACCAGCCTGGTCAACATGGAGAAACTCTGTCTCTACTAAGTATACAAAATTAGCCGGGCATGGTGGCGCGAGCCTGTAATCCCAGCTACTCGGGAGGCTGAGGCAGGAGAATTGCGTGAACCCGGGAGGTGGGGGTTGCAGTGAGCCAAGATCGCACCATTGCACTCCAGCCTGGGCAACAAGAGTGAAACTCTGTCTAATAATAATAATAATAATAATAATAATAATAAACAGGAAATTGACATTGGTGTGGTCTGAATGCCACCTTGATTTTCATATCCCTGATCTGATTGAGTACCTGGTGCTGGTGGAGAGAAGAGCTTGGTGGAAGGAGAGGTTTCTGTGCTTCCAGATCCCCCTCCAGTCGCCGGCCCTGGTACTGATGCCTATTTCCATGCATGATGGCCGGTGCCAATATCTGAGTCTTTGAACAGGGTGGTGACAACTATTAGATTGGTGCAAAAGTAAGTGCAGTTTTTGCCACTAATTTTTTTGTGTGTATGAGACAGAGTCTTACTCTGTCGTCCAGGCTGGAGTGCAGTCCTATCTCGGCTCACTGCAACCTCCGCCTCCCGGGTTCAAACAATTCTCCTGCCTCAGCCTCCTGAGTAGTTGGGACTACAGTCAACTGCCACCATGCCTGGCTAATTTTTGTATTTGTTGAGTAGAGATGGGGTTTCACCATTTTGGCCAGGCTGATCTTGAACTCCTGACCTCAAGTGATCCGCCCACCTCGGCCTCCCAAAGTGCTGGGATTACAGGCATGAGCCATCACGCCTGGCCAATTTTTGCCATTAAAAGTAATGACAAAACCCGCAATTACTTTTACACCAACCTAATAGAAAACTCTTCGGAGAACTTGGTTATCAAAGGCCCCGGGGCTGAGTCTTTTTCTGTCCACAGGAAACAATCGCAGAGTCCAGCGCCCAGAGTCCAGGATGCCAGCTGCTAGTGGAGACCCTGGGGGTCCCCCTCCAGGAGGCCACGGAGCTGGGGGACCCAACGCAGGCAGACAGTGCCCGCCCTGAGCAGAGCAGCCAGAGCCCTGTGCAGGCGGTGCCCGGCAGTGGGGATTCTCAGCCTGATGACCCTCCAGACAGGGGGACGGGGTTGTCCGCCTCACAGAGGGCCAGCCAAGACCACCTGTCAGAACAAGGGGCCGATGACAGCAAGCCTGAGACAGACAGGGTTCCAGGTGACGGTGGCCAAAAGGAACACCTACCAAGCATTGATTCTGAAGGGGAGAAGCCAGACAGAGGAGCCCCCCAGGAGGGAGGGGCCCAAAGGACAGCAGGGGCTGGCCTGCCTGGAGGGCCCCAGGAGGAGGGAGACGGTGTCCCCTGTACCCCAGCATCAGCTCCTACCTCAGGCCCTGCTCCAGGACTGGGCCCTGCCTCTTGGTGCCTGGAACCCGGGTCTGTGGCCCAGGGCTCCCCTGACCCCCAGCAGACCCCCAGCAGGATGGGTAGGGAAGGGGAAGGGACTCATAGCAGCCTGGGATGCTCCTCCCTCGGGATGGTTGTCATCGCAGACCTGAGCACAGACCCCACTGAGCTGGAAGAGAGGGCTCTGGAGGTGGCTGGGCCCGATGGGCAGGCCAGTGCCATATCACCTGCCTCTCCCAGGAGGAAGGCCGCTGATGGAGGCCACAGGAGGGCCTTGCCAGGCTGCACCTCGCTCACTGGGGAAACCACAGGAGAAAGTGGGGAGGCAGGGCAGGATGGCAAGCCCCCCGGCGATGTCCTAGTGGGCCCTACAGCCTCCCTGGCTCTGGCACCTGGGAGCGGAGAGTCCATGATGGGTGCTGGAGATTCCGGTCATGCATCCCCGGACACAGGTCCATGTGTCAATCAGAAGCAGGAGCCAGGTCCTGCTCAAGAGGAAGCCGAGTTAGGTGGCCAGAACCTCGAACGAGACCTCGAGGGGTTCCGTGTGTCCCCGCAAGCCTCTGTTGTGCTGGAACACAGAGAAATAGCAGACGACCCTCTCCAGGAGCCCGGGGCTCAGCAGGGCATTCCAGACACCACCTCAGAGCTGGCAGGGCAGCGAGACCACCTGCCTCATTCTGCAGACCAGGGCACCTGGGCAGACTCTTTAGCTGTGGAACTCGACTTCCTGCTGGACAGCCAGATACAGGATGCCCTGGACGCCTCTGACTTCGAAGCCCCACCTGAGCAGGTGAGAGCTGCCCTGAGTGACAGACATACCTGCCCAGGGCAGGCACCCAACCTCCACAAGCCCCCTCCTCACTCGGTGCAGTGGCAGAGGGGGAGCTGGGGCTCAGGGCTTACCATTTACACAGCCAACGACTATAGGAGTCCGAGTTGCAGCTCTACTGGGTGTGGAGTCGGTGGTTTTCCAGAAAGTGTAGACCTGCCTTTTGGTGGTTGTCGACATATCTAGGGATGGTGACACACAGCTGCTTTCTCAGCCGGGCCCCCCACATTGAACTGGAGTCCCCAGGAGTGCCAGCCCCTGGCAGCTTCTGCTTCAGTGCCTGACCCTGGCCGTGGGGTCCCAGGGGATGTATTGAGGCGGGTAGACACAGATGGAGAGAAGCTGGGCCTGGGGATGGCTTTATACCTGGGCCTGGGGAGGGGGCTTCACTCCCAAGCTGCAAAAGAGCCTTTGCCCATCTCCTTAGGGTCCTCTGGGGGTCCTGATATGATTCTTTTCCAAACATACATAAGTCATTTTGTTTTTCTGCCAGAACGTGTAAGGGCTTTGCCTCCTTCAGGGATCTGCCCGCCCCACCGGCTGCCCGGATGTGGCCTCCTCTGGCTCCAGAGCCGGTGCCAGCCGTTGGCGTTCATTCTCCTGTCTGGGCAGATGGCAGCCTTGCTTCAGCCCTGCCCCCCAGGGAAAGAGCGACCTCCCTAGCCGTTGGCACACCTGAGCCTGGGCTGAGGGCATCACAGTCACGCCCAGGGAGGTAGGCAGTTCTCTGTCCACACACTGGGTGTGGCAGTGAAGACTCTGGAGGAGTTCGTGCGCCTGCTAGAGGTGAGGCAGGTGGGAGGGGAGGAGGCCAGGCTGGCACCCAGGTCATGCCCCAGCCGCCGCGTCCTGGAACGCAGAGTCCAATTTGCTTTTCAAATGTCAGCCTCTGTTTCTTTGGCTGTCCCTGTGTTGAGATGTTAAAAAAAAAAAAAAAAATTCATGGCCAGGCACAGTGGCTCCCACCTGTAATCTCAGGACTTTGGGAGACCGAGGCAGGAGAGCAGGACCAGCCTGGCCAACATGGTGAAGCCCCATCTCTACCAAAATACAAAAATTAGCTGGGCATGGTGGCGTGTGCCTCTAATCCCAGCTACTCCGGAGGCTGAGGCAGAAGAATCACTTGAACCTGGGAGACTGAGGTTGCAGTGAGCCAAGATCGCGCCACTGCACTCCAGCCTGGGCAAGAGAGCAAGACTCTCTCAAGAAAAGAAAAAATTAGCCAGGCATGGGGATGCATGGCTGCAGTCCCAGCTACTTGGGAGGCTGAGGCAGGAGAATCACTTGAGCCCAGGAGTTTGAGGTTGCAGTGAGCCGAGATTACACCACTGCACTCCAGCCTGGGTGCTGAACTCCCTGTCTCAAAAAAAAAAAAAAAGTGAGTCACAGTGTGGTTCAGTGGTAGAGGCTGAACACGAGCATGTGGGAAAGGCAGGAGTTCTGGTGCTGGGCACAGCTGAAATTTTATGAGAGCTTCATGCCTTGCAAAATGCAAATCCCTCGCTTGAGAGAAGAGCCGCCTCCATTGCCTCCAGTCTGTGGTCTCGTGAGTGGTGGCTTGGAGAGAAGGCTGGGAAATGGTTAAGGTGTTTGGGGCCAGGTGTGCCTAGGTGGCATCCAGCAGGTGAAGCCCCTAGCCCTCCTAAACGGGCTGCCAAACTGCAAGCTTGGAAAAAGACCCTGAAATCCAGACTTGGGGGGATCCAGACAGACAGCCAGGCTGGTCAAACCCGACCAGCATTAGCAGCCTTTCCCCAGCCAGGGGAGGAGGCACCGCCCTGACAGCACTGCCAGGGCCTGGGCGTGTTTGGCTTTGACACGAGGCGTTCCCCAGCAAGTTGAGGCGACCCAGGCAAGGAACACATTCCCGTGGGAAGGTTCCGGGTGGCTCCCGGCAGGAAGGCCGAGGCCCGTGTCTCCCAACATGGGCAGGGGCACGGGGAACAGCAAAGATGGATCGAGCGGGCCGTCTCAGCACCTCCTCCTGACCTCACTGTGGCCACACACTGTGCTAGAGGAGGGGACTCAGAGGTGACACAGCAGAGACAGAGCTTTCAAACCTCAAACCAAGGTCTCGTCATGGGAGGGTTTGGTGTTACTTTCTCATAGATCCTTTGCACTCACTCTTGGACTGATGGAGCTTCTGCAATCTGCATATGGAGTCATTTAATTTAAATTTTAGAGACAGGGCCTTGCTCTGTCGCCCAGGCTGGAGTGCAGTGGCACAATCACAGCTCACTGCAGCCTCAACCTCCCGGGCTCAAGCAGTTGATCCTCCTGCCTCAGCCTCCCAAGTAGCTAGGACCACAGGTGCGTGCCACCATGCCCAGCTAATTTTTTTTTTTTTTTTTTGTACAGACAGGGTCTCGCCGTGTTGCCCAGGCTGGTCTGGAACTCTTGGCCTCAAACAATCCTCCCACCTCAGCCTTCCAAAGTGCTGGGATTACAGGTGTCCCCAGCCTGGCTCATTGCCTCTTTTCTGAGGGACATCATAGGTCACCACTGTAACGGAGCTTAACATTTTCCATGGAAATTAAACCACCATTGACGCTTAGAAGCTTAAGCGCCGTGGAGTTACCAGGCTTTCCCCTGTATTCACTGGGAGTTTTCCCCTCGTGTTATATTTGCAAACTCCTTTCCTAACAGGATGTCTGTGGCACATTCAGCCAAGGTAGACGACTCCACTTCACCGCAGTTGCCCCCGCTTTGTGTTTTCTCTGTACCCGTAAAGACAGTGAGGGGCATGCAGGAGACTGCAGTGGTGTCAGGGCCAGAGATCATGGCACAGTGGTGCCCCCACTGCCCAGATCAGCCTGTGGGAGGCCCGGGCCTAGGAGCGGACACCAGGGTTGGCTGTGGCCTTTCTCTTTCCAAGGGGAAAGGACGGGCGCAGCCCAGGCTGGTAGCCTCGGGTCTACCCATCGTGGATTTCCTCCCCGTTACCGCTCTTCCTCTGCAGGAGTCCCAGCCAGCCCCGATGTGACCTGCTGTGGCCGCGGTGAAGCCAAAAGCATCAGCGTGACTTCTGGTTCCCCTGTGCAGAGCTTGCCCGACCCAGGCCTCGACCACTCACACCTTGTGCTCTCTTTCCAGCTCTTTCCTTCGGGGAACAAGCCGGGCCCTTGCTGGCCGGGCCCCAGCTCACATGCCAATGGAGACCCTGTTGCAGTGGCCAAGGCCCAGCCGAGGTAGGTGTGGCGTGGGTGAGAAGTGGCTCCAGGACCCTCACAAATTTTACCAAGGAGGGTGACAGATGGAGGAGACAGACCCCAGTTCTCCCTCCCTGGGCCTCGACTTCCTCAGTCCAGCAGGGGAGCTGAGCCCTGTCTTTCAAACTGTATACATTCCCCTGCTCCCCGAAAGCAGAGAATGGGCGACAGTGACCAGTGATCGACACCCAACCCAGCATCTCCCCACCCAGAAGCTCCCCAGGAGCCCTGGGACAGTGCCTCCGGCTCTGTGGGCTCTTTCTCTCTGGGAAGAGGGGCCAAAGCTTCCTCCTGAGTCCCTGGGAAGGGGAGGGGACCCAGACAGGGCTCAGAACTGTTGGCTGAGACCATCTTGGAGCTGTTCCTAGCTCTGGCACCAGGCGGGCACCCGAGTGAGTCTAACCTGCCCTCACCTCCTCCCCTCCCCACTTGGCTCTTGCCCTAGGCGAACCACCTCCTCCCTCCCACAGGCCACCAGTGAGCCGTCCTCCAGCCTGCTGTGTGTGAGGAGGGCACCCTCTCCCCCGCACCATGCCCGGGGTCTCCGCAGCCTGTCCCCTCCTCCCGTGCCCTCCCACAGCCCTCCTCGAAGCCAGCGCTGGGTGGCTGCCCTCTCTGTTACCTGGCACTTGAACCTGCCTCTCTGCAGAGGCGGCAGCTTATCAATTATTTATGGCCAAGTTTCTGTTTCTGTCTGGCAGGGGTGGAGGAGGGTTTGGGACTCAGCCCTTGGCTGTGTGTGGCCCCCACACCCTCCTCCTCCTTCTCCTCCCCTAGCAGAGGGCGGCTCTGTCCCTGCCTCCTGCCGTCACTCCCTGTGACTTGTACCTGCTGTGCCACTGGCCACCTCCCTTAGCCACACACACAACCTGCACGTGGACCAGAGGCAGTTCATCAGAGCGGCCCGCTGTGGTTTGAGTGAAGAGCCGGGAGGGTTCACATCTGAATCTCCGACAGCGTCCCAGGGCCAATGCAGCTCCCCTCCCCACCGTCCTGGATGTCTGGAAGCTCCCAGAGGGCCCCGGGTCTGGTTTGGTGGCTTGAGGCTGAATGACACACACAAGAGGCTAAGACCCAGGGGCTGCCAGACACCTCAGGGTGACCAAGGCAGGAGCAGCAGGACAGCAGTTTCCATAGTGACAGCCCCGGAGGTGCTGCGAAGCCTGGGGCATGGGCGGGTTTAGGGCGGGTGGCCCCCACTTACCCGCCTGGCCACCTGTACTGCCTGTGTCTGAGAGTGGCACCTGTTCTGTGGGGTGGGGGAGGTGTTCTGTGGCTCCTTGGCTCTTCCGTGATTTTTTTTTTTTTTTTGAGACACAGTCTTACTCCCATCACCCAGGCTGGAGTGCAGTGGTGCAACCTCAGCTCACTGCAGCCTCGATCTCCCAGGCTCGCATGATTCTCCCACTTCAGCCCCCTAAGTAGCTGGGATTACAGGTACCCGCCACCACACCCGGCTAATTTTGTATATTTTTTTTTAGAGATGGGATTTTGCCGTGTTGCCCAGGCTGGTCTCAAACTCCTGGATTCAAGTAATCCACCTGCCTCAGCCTCACAAAGTGGTGGGATTACAGGCATGAGCCATCGTGCCTGGCGGGATATTTTTTAGATAGAGTCTTGCTCTGTTGCCCAGGCTGGTGTACAGGATCATAGCTTACTGTAGCCTCCATCTCCCAGGCTCAACTGATCCTCCCACTTCATCCTCCTGAGTAGCTGGGACTACAGGCGCGCACCACTATGCCTGGCTAATTTTGTATTATTTGTAGAGATGGGGGTCTCACTACATTGCCGAGGCTGGTCTTGAATTCCTGGGTTCAAGCCATCCTCCCACCTTGACCTCCCAAACCTTCCAAGGATATGAATGCCATCTGGGCTGGCCTTTCTAGCACTGCCCTGGGTGCTGGGGAGGCAGTGTGGGACAAAACACAGAGTTGAATGCTACTGGGGGATTCGGGGTGTGGGGACATGAGAGACAGCAGATTAGATAGTCAGATGGCAGAGTGTTGGGGAAAAAAAGGCAGCGGAGAAGGGGTTAAAATGTAAGGAGGAATCAGGGAAGCCACCACCAGGAGGAGACATTTGGGAAAGAACATTCCAGAATCCTGAGAGGTGCTCAAGGAATGGCCAGGAGTCTAGTGTGGCTAGAGCCGAGGGGAGGGGAGAAGCGGGGGATGAGGGGAGGGCACGGGGCAGGCAGGTGGTGCACAGCTGCGGGAGGAGAGGGCTTGCCTCTGAGCTAGGTTTCCAAGTTCACAGCCCCCAGTGCCTGTGGGGGACAAGCCACAGGGGCAGGAGATAGGGAGGCGGTGGCAGCAGCGTCCTGAGAGGGCAGGGCAGGTAGGGGAGAAGCGGTTGGGTTCTGGGCCTGCTGGGCAGTGGAGCCAGCTGGGTTGGCCATCAGGGTTCTGTCGTGAACAGAGGAGGACAGGCTGGACACCTGGAAAAGATGGCGCGAGGCCCTGCGGAAGCCCCTCCCACTGGAGAGCTCTGGTAGTCCAGTGAGGTCGGGCCACTCTCAATTTCCTTCCCTGCTGGCCAGGACCTTCGTGGGGATCCAGGCCTCTGAGGCCTCCAGGATGGAGGATGCCACCAACGTCGTGCGTGGCCTCATCGTTGAGCTCTCCAACCTGAAGTACGGGGTGGGCTTGGACTCACGGCACAGGGTCTGCGGGAGGCCAGTGGGGACTCAGAGGAGCAGGGAGGGACTGAAGTGTGAAGCCCCTAGGTGGGCAGCGAGGGTCAGGCACCTCACTGCTGCTGGGTCCTCACCGTGGCCCCCCTCCCCCGTCCTTTGCAGAACACAGGCTCTGAAGAAAGGCTGCAACAGGCCCAGCCTGTGCTACAACAGGCCCTTTCTGGTTATGTGCACGTGTGTGAGCCGTGTGTGTGCACCTGAGTCATTGGTGACCATGTGGCTGTGAGGCGCGGCCCCCTCTGTCACCTGGTGACCACTGAGCCCCACACGCATGCCTGTGTTTCCCCCACAGCCGGCTGATCATGGGCACCCACCGGGACCTGGAAGCTTTCAAGCGCCTTAACTACCGGAAGACAAAGCTGGGAGGCAAAGCCCCCCTGCCTTACCCTTCCAAGGGGCCTGGGAATATCCCTCGAGGGGACCCACCCTGGAGGGAGTTGTAGGCCACTTTGAGGTCTGTGTTTCCTTTGCCACCCAGCCCCCATGTCCGCAGACCTCCTCCAAGATGCTCCAGGGGGTCCTAGTGGACCCTACAAACCTCCCTTCAGTTGCCCGGAAGTTGGTCTTCCATGGACAACACAAAGGAGGCCGTGAGGTCCTGGCCTCACCTGGCCAGGGTCAAGGTCATTTGCCACCCTTGGCTTCAGGGAGGGAAACTGTGTCTCCCACAGCCCCAGTGACTTCAAGCGGGCCTGGGCTCCAGGAAGCTGGCCACCTCTGAGCAGGGCCCATCCTGTCCGGATTTGCAAATTTTAGGGTCCTGAGCCAAGTATGGATGGTTCAGAATTTGTTTCTTTCCTGGAGGAGAAGAGAGCTCCCTTTGTTTTCTTTCTCCCCATTTCCATTTTATTTCTTCTGGGAAGACCCATAATAAATGATTCTGTAGAGGCCCCGTGACCTGCTGTTTGGGGCTGAGGCTTCAGTTCCTTCACCTTCCGCCCACAAACCTCTCTACCCACTTCCTCCTCCTCGCCCTCTACGAGTTTTATGCCTCAGCTTCCCTGGGAAAGCAAGGGGGGGGCGAATCTCCAGGGGTGGGTGACTGTGTGCCCACATCTGTGTGCAGGCTCTTGAGCATACACGCGGGTCGAAGCCTAAGAGACGCCCTGGGCGATCATCCAGCTGCAGGGTGAGTCCTGCGCTCCGGTGGCTTGGCCCATCCTCCAGGACAAGCTGCCTGTGGGCCCCAGACAGGAAGGAGGCCATCCCAGGAGGTTATGGATGCAAACATGGCTGAAGTCGTGGCATTTCTCATCCCACGCAAGCCTCTCGAGCCAGATGACAGTCCTGTTAGCAACCACAGGGGCTGCTGTCATCCCCAGTTTACAGAAAACAATGCCTCTGTGAAATCTGTCACTGAAAGGCTGACTGGACCTTCGACATCATGAAGCACTCTGTGACTCCTGCACCCCAGCTCCCATGGCTCAGGCGGGGTCCTCCTCCCACCCTGCAGCCTTACACCCTGGAGACCTGATGCAGGAGGGGAGGAAAGAGCAGGGTGGGTTCACACCCAGGTGAGCCCCCTGTCCACCAGGACATGCCCTGGTGTAAGCCCAGTTCCCCGGGTCTCCAGCCCCAGCGGCTCTGCCCTAGGAAACTGTAACTCCATTCCCAGACCCTGGGAGCCGCTGGGATCCTTCTGTTTTCTTTCTCCTCCTCCCCACTTCCCCCTCCACGACCCAGCTGTCTGCAAGAGCCCACCCCCATCCCCAGGGCCTCCGGTTCCAATTTAAGTCTTTTAAGTCGGAAAGCCAAGGGCAGAGGGGACAGCAAAGAGCTCGATTCCTGCTCCCCGCTGCCAGACCACAGGCCTCAGGGCTGGTTTGTGGGACGGGGGCGGGGTAGGAATGTGGACTGCACAGTGGGCGCACTGGCTTCCTGAGCACTGCCACCTGTTGCCCCAACAGGACAAGATCTGGAGGTGGAGGAGGCAGGCAGGGGTGTGGGGATTCCCCCACATGCATTTCCCCCCCGCCCTGCCAGAACAGCCCCATCCTTCTGCTCCTGCCCAAGCCCACCCAGGACATGGTCCCATTCCCTGCCCCCTAAATGTCCCTCCCTTGCTCTAAACTGCCTGGCTTGTCACTGGGGCATCCATGGTGACATAAACATTCACCTTCCTTAGTGATGAGGATGTCGGGGGGGGGGGCTCTGTCTAGTTGTGTGTCAATTTCTTCCTCAAATGAAGCCCCCACCTCCAGTACGGAGCTGGGGGTGGGATGGGAGGAGTCCACCCATCTTGCATGTCAGTGCAGGGGGTGGCTGAAAGACCAAATGTCCACAGAAAGGGTCTCATGATGTCGATCTGGCTTTGAGGTGCCATGAACCCCCCCAGCTACCCCAAGGCACCCACTTGTGTTTCTCTGCACAAAGCAGCTCACCCCAGCACCCCAGGGTGCCGAAACTCAAAGAAGGAGAAGGGGAGATCTAGGTACAGGACTCCCAGCAAGGTTCACACTACACCTTGTCCCAAGACCAGGGCTTGTCTGTTGTTGATCCATTCATAAGCATTTATTGAGGGCTGACTGGATGCCCAGCACTAGGGAAACGGCAGATGGCACAAAGGGTGGGGTCCCCAAGGACAGGGCGATTTCAGCTCTTCCCTTGCCAACCCCGGGTCATCCCCAGGGCTCAATCCCAGGCTGGGGGGAGGGTCTGGGAGTGGGGGCAGTCGTCATAGGGTGGGTCTTCCTGGAAATCCAGCCGAGCCCGGGTGCCCTTGCCCAGGTGTAGGCAGCCTCCTAGGTGGACATGGAGGGAGAGCAGGAGGGCGAAGGCTCAGACTTCCCGGCACCTCTGAAACCTAGTGGAGGGGGAGGGAGAGAAATGCTTAATCACAGGCGATGACTCAACGCTCCCCAAGTTGCCCACGGACTCGGCCTCCGGGCCTGCTGGACCTCTGGCGCCACCCAGGGGCTGCTCCGGAGACAGCGACCCCGTGACGTCTCTGGCTCCGCCGGGCGGCCCCGCTGGGACCCAGAGCCCGAGACAAAGCACAGGAGTTCCGATTCTGCGACTGTGGTGCCCTCTCGTGGCCGCCGTGCTCTGGGGTCCCCGGATCTGTTACTCCCAAAAGTTGTTCATCAGAAAGGCTGGCCGCAGGACACCATCTTCCCTATGTCCTTTTGGCCTCCAGCGTCTCCCAGTGAGACAGCATCAAACCTCACAGGAAACACTATCTTCTCCTGGAGGCAGTCTTTCATGCTTTCTTTTTTTTGTGAGACGGAGTCTCACTCTGTCGCCCAGGCTGGAGTGCAGTGACGTGACCTCAGCTCACTGCGACCTCCACCTCCCGGGTTCTAGCGATTCTCCTGTCTCAGCCCCCCGAGTAGCAGGGATTACAGGCGCATGCCACCATGCCCAGTTAATTTTTTGTATTTTCAGTAGAGACGGGGTTTCACCATGTTGGCCAGGCTGGTCTTGAATTCCTGACCTCAGGTGATCCACCTGCCTCAGCTTCCCCAAGTACTGGGATTACAGGCATGAGCCACCATGACCAGTGCTTTTTTTTTTTTTTAAGACGAGGTCTTGCTGTGTTGCCCAGGCTGCAGTGCAGTGGCACCATCTCAGCTCACTGCAGCCTCTGTCCCCTGGACCCAAGCGATCCTCCCTCGTCAGCCTCCCAAGTAGCTGGGACTACAGGCACACACTACCATGCCCAGCTAATTTTTTGTAGACACTGGGTTTCACCATGTTGCCCTGGCTGGTCTCAAACTCTTGGGCTCAAGCGATCCTCCTGCCTTGGCCTCCCAAAGTATTGGGATTACAGGTGTAAGCCATCACACCTGACCCTTTCATGACTTTAAGAAATGTTCACTGCAAAGCTGCCTGAGAGTAGTTGGGAGGGGTCGTCCTCTCCCAGTCACTATCCTCCAGGAGCTCACAGTCTGCTGGGGGAGGCAGTGCCCAAACACACCTAGTTAGACTGGCCCCTCCTCTGTTAGCTGACTTCCTCAAAGGCAATTTAAGTTGCTAGAACGAGTTTCTCTTTTAAAACCTCACTGGGGGCCAGGCATGGTGGCTCAAGCCTGTAATATCAGCACTTCGGGAGGCTAAGGCGGGTGGATCTCGAGGTCAGGAGTTCAAGACTCAGCCTGGCCAAGATGGTGAAATCCCGTCTGTACTAAAAATACAAAAATTAGCCGTGCGTGGTGGTGGGTGCCTGTAATCCCAGCTACTCGGGAGGCTGAGGTAAGAGAATCGCTTGAACCCGGGAGACAGGTTGCAGTGAGCCAAGATCGCGCCACTGCACTCTAGCCTGGGTGACAGAGCAAGACTCCATCTCAGAAAAATAATCAAATAAAAGAAAGAAAGAAAGAAAACCTCACTGGGGCCAGGCGTGGTGGCTCACGCCTATAATCCTAGCATTTTGGGATGCCTAGGCAGGAGGATCACCTAAGCCGTGTTTGAGACCGGCCTGGGAAACATAGTAAGACCCTGTTTCTATGGGAGGAAAAAAAAAACACACCAGGAATGGTGGTGCACGCCTGTAATTCCAGCTACTCGGGAGGCTGAGGCAGGAGAATCGCTTGAACCCAGGAGGCAGAGGTTGCAGTGAGCCAAGATCGCACCACTGAACTCCATCCAGCCTGGGTGGATAGAGCGAGACTCTATCTCAAAAAAAAAAATTAAAAAAAAAAAGGAAGAAAAATAAATTGATAAATAAATAAAATAAAAGTCTTCTTTCTGCATCTATAATAACCCTGCGGGCCAGATGTGGTGGCTGATGCCTGTAATCCCAGCACTTTGGGAGGCTGAGGAGGGTGGATCACGAGGTTGGGAGTTCGAGACCAGCCTGGCCAACATGGTGAAACCCCATCTCTACTAAAAATACAAAAATTAGCTGGCCATGGTGGCAGGCGCCTGTAATCTCAGCTTCTCAGGAGGCTGAGGCAGAAGAATCGCTTGAACCCGGAAGGCAGAGGTTGCAGTGAGCCAAGATCATGCCACTGCACTCCAGCCTGGGTGACAGAAAGAGACTCTGTCTCAAGATAAATAAATAAATACATAAACAAACTGGCTCGGTGCGGTGCTCACGCCTGTAATCTCAGCAGTTTGGGAGGCCGAGGTGGGCGGATCACGAGATCAGGAGTTTTGAGACCAGCCTGGCCAACATGGTGAAACCCCATCTCTACTAAAAATACAAAATTTAGCCGGGCATGGTGGCAATTAGCCGGGTGTGGTGGCGCGCGCCTATAATCCCAGCTACCCAGGAAGCTGGGGCAGGAGAATCGCTTGAATCCAGGAGGTGGAGGTTGCAGTGAGCCGAGATGGCGCCACTGCACTCCAGCCTGAGCAACAGAAAGAGACCTGTCTCAAGATAAATAAATAAATACGTAAATAAAATCAACTGCTGTTCTAAGCTCTCTCTAAGGTCTTCCCCTAACCCTTGGAGGTGGGTACTGGGGCTAATCTTACTTCACAGGGGGGCTCAGCCACTACCCTCGGACAGGTCCCCCCCAGCCACCTGTGCAGGCACCTGCTCCTCCTCCTCCTCCTCGGCGGTGGCCTGTGTCCTGTGTCTTCGCCTTGTCAGGCCGGACCAGCTTCTTGCCTGCCGAGTTTCGGGTGGTGTGGCTGTAGACGGAGGTGTAGCCCTGGCCAGTAAGTGGGCAGAAGCGTCGGGTGTGGGCGCGCTCACGTGTGGCGCCGCACTGGGGACACACGTAGTCCCGCAGGATGGGACACAGCACCCTGCCAGCCTCGTCCTTCAGCACGTGGGACTGGTAGATGGCCCGGGACTCGCCGTTGTGTTTGCAGAAAGAGCACAGGCGTTCGGGAGCTGGCGAGGACTCCAGGCTGCGCTTCTGATCCTTGGGTCCCGGCACTGGCACCGACTCCGGCGCTGGCATCGGCTCCAGGGCTGACACCGGCTCCAGCATTGGCTCTGGCTCTGGCTGGGGGCTCAGCCTGGTTTCAGGACCCTCTTTCCCACTCAGAGCCCTAACCAGGTGTGCCAAACCCAGGTAATCTGTCCACAGGTCAAAGGTCCCCATAGCTGGGCAGCATGTGCCAGGCGGAAGGAGTCACAGAGACAAGTAACCCTGCCTGGCTTAAGCTCCCTCCTTCTGACCCCTCTCTGCTGCCCCTTCCTTCCCCTCTCTGGAGCCTGGGAGTCTGTGCTGGCCGACCCTCCTTTTACCTCCAAGGGGGTGTGAAGAGGGAGGAGCAGGCTGTGGGAGGTTCCTTATTGTCACAGGGGGGCCTGGTGCCCCACTAATACTCCTCCTAAAGGGCTGTATGGCCTCTGGCTGTGCCGGGGGACTACAGGACACAGGGTGTGTGGGGGGGCATCCTGCGAGGTGCACCACAGCCCCCCGTACACACCTCCAGGGAATTGGGGGGCTACCCTGCCTCCCCTCCTTGTAGGAGTCCTTAGCCCTCCAGCCCCACTGGAGGATGGGGAGAATGGGTTGGAAACCCCACCCCCAAAGACTAGCAGTTACCAGTAACTTAAAGAAGTTAACTTAGTAACTTCTTTATAACTTTTTCTTCCTTCCCCTGGGCGGGGGAGTGGCCAGGTGCCCCTGGGTTCTTTGTGTGTGTGTGTGTCCAGGCGGGAGGTTGCTGATGCTCCAGCTGTCTCTGAAAGGAGTGTGGTAGTCCCAGGCTCATGGGCTGGTTGCGGGGGTAGGGGGGAAGGATCATGCCCCCCGGCCCCCAGCTCTGGTCTCCCTCCAAGAGTTTTCACATCGGTTGTCTTAGTGGAACCCCCATTGAATGGATGAGCAAACTGAGGTGTGAAGCCACCTGCCCATCCAGTTATTTATAAAGACATGCACCAGGCCAGGGAGTGGTGGCTCATGCCTGTCATCCCAACAGTTTGGGAGGCCAAGACAGGCGGATCACCTGAGGTCAAGAGTTCGAGACCAGCCTGGCTAACATGGTGAAACCCTGTCTCTACTAAAAATACACACACACACACACACACACACAAAATTAGCTGGGCATGGTGGCGGGTGCCTGTGATCCCAGCTACTCAGGAGGCTGAGGCAGAAGAATTGCTTGAACCCAGGAGGCAGAGGTTGCGGTGAGCCAAGATCAAGCCACTGCACTCCAGCCTGGGAAACAGAGTAAGACTCTGTCTCAAAACAACAACAACAAAAAGCACCACATCTGCCTCCTTCTTCTAGTTACTGGGGCCCCCTGAGGCTAGGTGCTGGGGAGGGAGCCCTTTCCTGGCGGGGGCTGCAGAGGGGTGAGAAAGAACCCTCTGGAGTTGGGAGGTGGGGGATAGCAAGTTGGGCTGTTAGGAGGGGACCCCTAGTACCTACAGGTCTTCAGTGTCCTCCCCGAGATGAGATCTCAGCTCAGTCCCAGGAGGGGAGGGTGTGCTCAGGACTTGGACACAGAGGAGAGACGCTGTGCCGCTTACACAGCTCATCCACCCATCCATTCATTTAAGAAACTTTTATTGGCCAGGCACTGTGGCTCATTTTGAGAGGCCGAGGAGGATTGCTTGAACCTAGGAGTTGGAGACCAGCCTGGGCAACGTTTTGAGACCCTGTTCCTACAAAAACACTTTTTCGAAATAAGCTAGGTGTGGTGGTGCGTGCCCGTGGTTCCGGCTACTGGGGAGGCTGAGGCGGGAGGATCAACGCTTGACTCCAGTTATTAGAGGCTGCAGTGAGCTAAGGTCACACCATTGCACTCCAGCCTGGGTGACAAGAGCGAGATCCTGTCTCTAATTTAAAAAACAAAACTATGGAGCACTCCACGGAGCAGAACTTACCACCCACATTTCAGAAAGGGGTTTTAGGCCAGGCAAAGTGGCTCATGCCTGTAATCCCAGCACTTTGGGAGGCCGAGGGGGGAGGATTACTTGAGGTCAGGAGTTTGAGACCAGCCTGGCCAACACAGTGAAATCTCGTCTCTACTAAAAATACAAAAATTAGCCCACTGTGGTGGCAGATGCCTGTAATCCCAGCTACTTGGGAGGCTGAGGCCAGAGAATCACTCAAACCCTGGAGGCAGAGGTTGCAGTGAGCTGAGATTGGGCCACTGCACTCCAGCCTAGGCAACAGAGTGAGACTCTGTCTTAAAAAAAAAAAAAAAAGGGGATTTTAGCTGCCCTGCCCCAGCCTGTTTACCCCCAACCCTCTAATATTTAGTCCCAAATCCAGCCAGAGCCCATCCAGATTCCAGACACCAGCTCTCCTCTCCAAAGAGGAGTGGTTGGGGTCAGGGCAAAAAACAGGCTGAGTGACTGTGGCGGTGGGGGGTCCTGTCCCCAGTCCCCATTCCCCTTAAGCCGTGTCTGGCCCAGCCACAGTGACATTCATCCCCCGGTGGGTCTGGCCTCAGTCCTCACAACCCACCGACAACAATGAATGTTGATTGTGACCTCGGCTGTGGCCTAGGGGAGGGGACGTGCCCAGGCTGGATTGGGGGCTCCCCAGGCCCCCCTAGATCTGGAAGGTCAGAGTCACCGGCAGGAGGATGGCAATTCCAGGCCTCAGGGTCCACTCAACGGTCGATGGTTTGCCTGAGCTGCCCAAACTCACCGACAGGTTGAATGTTCCCCCAAACCCTTGGCAAATTTTCCGGGACCTGGAGTCGGGGGTGGGGTAGGTGGCAGGGAACCAGAGAGCATGAAGAGGGAGAGGAGGAGAGAGTAAGGAACCCCTTTTCTCTCATGAAATAAACAAACGCTTTTCAGGTGCTGTTTGCACCTAGATCTGGGAAAAACACAAGGCAAATATAAATGCTAGTAAATAAAATGTAGCCTTTGCTATGGGGATGGAGATGTAGCAGTGCAGGGGAGTGCTGGCCTCAAGCCCGCTCCTTAAGTAATTCACAAAGTGATCCTGGAGGTGCAGATTACCCCCCTTTGTCAACTGGGGAGACTGAGGCCAAAGGCCACTGCTAGTCCGAGGTGGAGGAGGCATTCCAAGTGTTCCCGGGAAGTCTGGCAACGGAGGATCCTGGCCCCGAGGGCATTGATGCAACGTGGAGATAAACAAGCCATTTTAATACAATGTAATACGTTCTGGGAGCTTCACTGAGTTCCGGGCACGATGGTTTAGGAATCACAACAGCGTGAGTGGAGCGCTTGGGGGTGGGGGGTCGTCAGGTCTCTCCACTTTACAAGTGCACTGGGGCCCCACTAGACAGGGGAGAGGCAGGAGGTTCAGAGAGGGCGCCGCTCGCCCCGCGTGCGCGGTCACACAGCATCTGAACTCGGGCACTTCCGGAGGGAGTCCGCGCAGCCACGTGGGGGCTGCCCCTTGGGCCTCAAAACCGGCTGCGGCGCCCCCTCTCCATTTCCTCATCCCTCAAATGACCCCCAGTCCCTTCCTCCAGTGATCGCACAGAGTTCGGCGACCACCCCCCCGCCCCGGGTGCCCCCAGGCCTACAGGTACGCACCCCTATCTCCCACCCCCCGCAAGCCAAGCAGTGACGACCAGGGATGGGCGAGCGCGCCTTCGCCCCTGACCTGGGTCTGCGGACGGCCTAGGAAGGTGCACCCGGCATGGCCGGGTGCTGCGGCTCAGGCCTGTAATTCAGTATTTTGGGAGGCTGAGGCGGGAGGATCTTTTGAGCCCAGGAGATGGAGACCAACCTGAGCAACATAGCGAGATACCTGTCCCTACAAAAAAATTAGCTGGGTGTGGTGTAGTGAGCCTGTAGTCTTAGCTACTTAGGAGGCTGAGATGGGAGGATCGCTTGGACCCCAAGAGTTCGAGGCTCGAGGCTGCAGTGAGCCGTGATCGCGCCACTGTATTCCAGCCTGGGTCACAGGACGAGACCCCGTCGTCGCAAAAAAATAAGTAATTTCCTGGCCCCTGGCATTTCACCGAGGGGAATACTGAGGCCCAAAATAACCGCCTGGCATAACCCCAAGGTAGATGAGGGACCCCCAAGTGTGCCGAGCTGCGTGAACCACCCCCCCACCACACCCCTCACGGTGGTGGCAACGGAACCCGGCCGAGCCCCCGAGGACGCGCCCCCGAGAGCCCCGCCCCCGAGAGCCCCACCCACAGTCTGGAGCCACCAGCCAAGGCCCCAGCCCAGGCCCTGCCCCTTAGAGCCCCGTCGCTTTTGACCTGTTCCCCAGAACACACTCCCTCTAAAACCCGCCCATATAGACTCCCACGGAGCCCACCGCCAAACCCCTAAGCCAGTCCTCAAAGAGCCCAGCTCCCTTAGGGCCCGCCCCCTTAGAGCCCTCCACAAAAGCCTGCTCTATAGACGCCCCGGGACTGCGTCCTGCCCCCACGAAGCCCAACCCCCCACTAAGGTCCGCCCCGACCGGGCACGCCCCCAAACCGAATTTCGTAGGGCCCCTCAAGCCCGATCCCGGCTAACTCGCCCTCCCGAAGCCCCCCTCCCGCCTCCCGGCACCTTCTAGAGCCCTTTCCCCAGAGCCCGCCCTCTCACCCGCCCCGGGTCGGGGTCACGTTCCCACCCCTCTGTCTGGAGCTGGAGTGGGGCGCCCTCTCTCGCAGCTCATCCGCCACGTCCAGCAGATCCTCCCATTCAGGCTGTGGAGTGGGGGGGCCTGATCGGCTTCTCTTTATCCGCCACCTCCACCCCAGGTGTCCAGGCCCTTCCGAGGGAGGTGGCCGGTCCCCTGCCTTGTGGATCATCATTCTAAGGAGGAGAACGCCTAGGACTTGGGAAGGAGAGTGAGTTGGGAGCACAGGTGTTAATAATTACATTACTGATGATAACGCTACATTCATCACGCTGTGAGCAGGATATACCCATTTTGTGGACTGGGAAGGTAAGTGGCTCTGTTAGTCCAGAACTCTCAAGATTCCTCAAAAGCTTGGTTCTTGTCTGTAGTCCCAGCTAGTTGGGAGGCAGGAGGATGGCTGGAGCCCAGAAGTTGAGACTAGCCTGGAAAACACAGTGAGACCCCCATCTCTCTCTCTCTCTCTTTTTTTTTTTTTTTTTGAGATGGAGTCTTGCTCTGTCACCCAGGCTGGAGTGCAGTGGCGCGATCTCTGCCCACTGCAATTTCCACCTCCTGGGTTCAAGCAGTTCTCCTGCCTCAGCCTCCTGAGTAGCTGGGACTACAGGCACCTGCCACTATGGCCAGCTAATTTTTGTATTTTGAGTAGAGACAGGGTTTCACTATGTTGGCCAGGTTGGTCTCCAACTCCTGGGCCTCCCAAAGTGCTGGGATTACAGGCATGAACCACGGCACCCAGCAGTGGTTCTTTAAAACCCCGTTTCTTTAAAAAAGAAAAATCTTTATTCTCTTTTTTGTTGCTGTTGTTGTTTTGTTTTGTTTTGTTTTGAGACGGGGTCTCGCTCTGTTGCCCAGGCTGGAGTGCAGTGGCGCAATCACAGCTCACTGCAGCCTCGACCTCCCAGCCCCAACCAATCCTCCCACCTTAGCTTCCCAAGTAGCTGGGATCACAGGTGCCTGGCCTGGCTAACTTAAAACAAAAACAAACAAATAAAAAAAAGTTTTGTAGAGATGAGATCTCACTATGTTGCCCAGGCTGGTCGCGAACTCCTGGGCCTCCCAAAGTTCTGGGATTACAGGCATGAGCCACCTCGTCCCACAGGAATCTTTCTTCTTGATGACTGTGAACAGCTTTAATGTTGGGGGCGGGGGGTCATCAGGCAGGAGACATTCTGGCTATGTTGGAGGGGGTTCCCCAGACACCTCCTGTGTGTCCTTTCTGCCTCCCACTCCTCCCTCTGAGGGCTTTGGCCTTGAACTGCCAAGGAGGTTGTTCCCTGTAAGGTTTCTCCCTAAGACAAGACACAAGACCACAGTGGAAGAGGGGTCTGGTCTTGAAGGCCAGGAAGCTGGGGCTGGGGCGACAGGAGGCCGGCAGCCCCAATCCTGGGTCTGACTATCTCTCTTCTTTGCCTGTGGTCCGTGCAGGCTTCTGGCCCTCAGTGTCCATCTGGGTCCACCTGTCTCTTGGTCATCCCAGGGTCGTCTGTCTGGGTCGGACTATGCCCCTCACACATCTGTTCTCCATCTGGGTCTCCTGCCCAGCCCGTGCACCTGCCTCAAACTGTCTGGATCTGCCTGTATGTGTCTAGCTGTTTACCCCCCATCTCCATCTCCTGTCTGTGACTGGTGACCGTGATACCTGTCCCCTCCTGTCCCCTGAGGGAGTCTGCAGCCCTGCCCTGCTTGTCTGGTTGCAGCTGTCTGCTGGTTTGACTTTGAAGTCCCTCAGAGTGGGAGGTGACAAGCTGTCTCCTCCTGCTTGTGACCCTGAGCCTCAGTGCATGGGGGGTAGGGGTGTCTTTCAGGGCCTTCATTTTGCTTCTTCTTTATCCTTAGTTCCTGGGACCCCTCACCTGACCCCAGTGCAGCTGGGAGGGTCTTTCTGGGCAGGGGAGCTGGGGATAAGTGGGGTGTGGGGGACGGCCCTCTAAAAGCCACGTTATGAGCCGGGCACGGTGGCTCATTCCTGTAATCCCAGCACTTTGGGAGGCCGAGGCGGGCAGATCAGTTGAGGTCAGGAGTTCGAGACCAGCCTAACCAACATGGTGAAACCCCATCTCTACTAAAAATACAAACAAACAAAAAAAAAGTAGCCAGGCATGGTGGCGCACACCTGTAGTCCCAGCTACTTGGGAGGCTGAGGCACGAGAATTGCTTGAACCTGGGAGGCAGAGATTGCAGTGAGCCGAGATTGAGCCACTGCACTCCAGCCTGAGTGACAGAGTGAGACTCCGTCTCAAAAAAAAAAAAAAAAAAAAAAAAAGCCACGCTATCCCAGGGCCTTGCCCCCACCCCCCCACACATAGCACCAGGAAGGTGCAGGGCAGCTGGCACAAGTCGGGGGATCAGAGTCGGAGGTGAGAAGTCCTAGCAGAGGCAGGTGAGCAAGTGATGGATGGATGGATGGATGGAGGCAGCTCTACCGTCAAGCTGAAGAACAAGGCTGGGCGCCGGGTGGCTCATGCCCGTCATCCCACTGCTTTGGGAGGCCAAAGCAGGAAGACTGACTGAGCACAGGAGTTCAAGACCAGCCTGAGCAACATGGTGAAACCCTGGCTCAACTAAAAATAGAAAAACTTAGCCGGGTGTGGTGGTGTGCGCCTGTAGTCCCAGCTATTTGGGAGGCTGAGGTGGGAGGATCACGCAAGCCAGGGAAGTCGAGGCTGACGGAAGCCAGGGAAGTCGAGGCTGCAGTGAGTGAGACGCAGTCACGCCACTGCACTCCAGCCCAGGCTACAGGAGTGAGACCCTGTCTCAAAAAAAAAAAAATAGTTGAAGAACAAGGTGGGCATGGCTAGAAGGCCAGGTCTCCAAGCTCCCAGGGGTGTCTGGCGGCCCGTGTGTCCTGCCCGTGATTCTTGAAGTCTTGACTGTGAAGTCCCTCAGGGTGGGAGGTGGCAAGCTGTCTCCTCTCGATCTCAACCCTGAGCCTTGGTGCATGGGGGTTGGGGGTGTCTCTGTATGTTCACGCATGAGTACCTATATATATGCTCCTGTGTGTCTGTGTGTTGTATGTAACTGTATGTGTGTGCGTGTGTGTGTGTGTGTGCGTGCGTGTGTGTGTGTGTGTACTTGGGCCTGGAAGGGGGACACGGGGTGGGGGAGGTCGTCAGGACCTGGCAGACAAAGAGCCCATTATGGGGGTTCCAGCGACACCAAGAGCCCTGTGGGGGTCTCCGTGGGGTCACGGTGATGGCCCAGGCTGTCTAGACTGGCAAGCAGGGGTGTCTCGTTTCAGTGATACCTGCGTGGGCTCTGAGGTTCCCACCCCACCCTCCGCAGGCCACCTCCCCCACTTCCTTTCCAGCTGCGGGAGTCTTTCATGCCAGGGGTCCTCAGACAAGGGGCTCCTCTGTCCCACCCAGCCCGTGGGCGGTGGGTGGGCTAGGAGCCCAGCTTCCTTCCCAGGCCTGCCAGATGTGAGGCCAGGGCTGGGGAAGGCGAGAAGGTTCTGGCTTCTCCAGGAATGGGATTGGGGGCTATGGAGGGGCCAAGCTGAAGGAGAATTCAGGCCGGGCACGGTGGCTCATGCCCGTAGTCCCAACGCTTTGGGAGGCCGAGGCAGGAGGATCACTTGAGCCCAGGAGTTCAAGATCAGCCTGGGCAACGCAGTGAGACCTCATCTCTACAAAAAACAAATTAAAAAAATTTTTTAATAAGGGAAATTCAGACACTTCTACTGAGGCTTATGGTGCTGGGTGACCCTGGGTTTGGGGTCAGGGTGGGCTCCGTCTCAAGAACTCTTGTAGGATGTTTCTATGGGTCTATAAATAGGGGCTTCAGGTCCAAGCTACTTTGCTGAGGTATTTTGGGGGGTTCTGTGGGTGTCTGTAAGTCCAGGTGGGAGTGTGCTATAGCAGGTGGCTGTCTCTCCACCAGCTGTGTGTGTGCGTGTGTGTGTAAGTTCCTGTGGGCTTCTGTTTGTGTGTGGATGTCAGCATTGCTGTGGGTGTATATCAGGCTAATTGTGTGTAATTCCAGGTCGACATGTGAGCCAGTGTGCGTGGGTGTCTGGTGTCTGCTGGTGTCACTATGAGTGACTGGAGTCTGTATCATCCAGTCATGGTGTCCCCCCCATCCCATTCCCCACTAAAATGTCAGGTGTGGGAAGACAGGGATTTCATTCTTTTTTTTTTTTTTAAAAGAGACTAGGTCTCGCTGTCACCCAGGCTAGAGTGCAGTGGTGCCATCATAGCTCACTGCAATCTCAAACTCCTGGGCTCAAAGCGATCCTCCCGCCTCAGCCTCCCTAGTACCTGAGACTATAGGCGCACACCACCACGCCCAGCTAATATGTTTTTTAAACTCCTCATCTCAAGTGATCCTGCCACCTCGGCCTCCCAAAGTGCTGAGATTACAGGCGTGAACCACTGTGCTCGTTCAGATTTCCCTCTTGTTCACAGCTGCATCCCCAGTGCTAGAACAGTGCTGGGTACATAACAGATGCTCAATAAATGAGTATTGGGGCCGGACGCACTGGCTCACACCTGTAATCTCGGCACTTTGGGAGACCGAGGTGGGTGGATCACCTGAGATCAGGAGTTCAAGACTAGCCTGGACAACATTGTGAAACTCTGTCTCTATTAAAAATACAAAAATTAGCCAGGCATGGTAGCGGGCGCCTGTAATCCCAGCTACTCGAGAGGCTGAGGCAGGAGAATCGCTTGAACCTGGGAGTTGGAGATTGCAGTGAGCTGAGATTGTGTCACTGCACTCCAGCCTGGGTGACAGAGCACTCCAGCCTGGGTGACAGAGCAAGACTCTGTCTCCAAAAAAAAAAAAATATTATTGGGTTTGTGGGCATCCAGATGACAGGATTTCTGCCTGCCTGTGTGTCATTTCCCCGTGAGTCTATGCATGCCAGTGTGTATGCATGTGTTACTGTGTCTGTGTGTATGTCAGTATTATTGTAGATGTGCAGGTGTCTGAGTGCCTAAACAAGTCTCAGGGTAGGTGACGATGGGCATATGGCCACTGGGTTCGTGCTCATATATCTTTGTGGGTGACAGTGTCTTTGTGGGTGGCTAAGAGGATCCATTTTACTGTGAACAACTGTGTGTCCATGTGTGCAGTTGTGTTCTTGGGCGGGGGTGGTCTGTATGTGTGTGTATATCAAGATTACTGAGACCTGCTACTCGGGAGGCTAATGTGGGAGGATCATTTGAGTCTGAGAGTTTGAGGCTGCTGTGAGCTATGATCGTGCCACTGAACTCCAGTCTGGGTGACAGAGCCAGACCCTGTCTCAAAAAACAAAACAAACAAACAAAAATTTGGGCCAGGCATGGTGGCTCGGCGCTCTGGGAAGCCGAGGTGGGTGGATAGCTAGAGCTCAACGAGTTTGAGACGAGCCTGGGCAACCGGCAAAACTCCATCTCTACAAAAAATACAAAAATTACCCAGGTGTGGTGGTGCGCACCTGTTCTCCCAGCTACTCGGGAAGCTGAGGTGGGAGGATTGCTTGAGCCCAGGAGATGGGCCTAGATTGCAGTGAGCCTAGATTGCAGTGAGCCTAGATCGTGCCACTGCACTCCAGCCTAGGCAGCAGAGTGAGACCCTGTCTCAAAAAAATAAAAAGGAAACTGTGGCCGGGTGCGGCGGTTCACACCTGTAATCCCAGCACTTTGGGAGGCTGAAGCCAGCGGATCCCCTGAGGTCAGGAGTTCAAGACCAGCCTGGCCAACATGGTGAAACCCCATCTCTACTAAAAATACAAAAATTAGCCTGGTGTGGTGGCACGCGCCTGTAATCCCAGCTACTCAGGAGGCTGAGGCAAGAGAATTGCTTGAATCCGGGAGATCGTGCCACGGCATTCCAACCTGGGCAGCCAAGAGAGACTCCATCTCAAAATAAATAAGTAAATAAAAATAAAAAAGATTATGTGTGACCTGCTGTCAGATGTGTTTCTGCAGGCCTTGTACCGTCTGTGTGTGTGTGTATGTGTGTGTGTGTGGTGGGGGTGACTGTGGGTGACTGTGAGTGTGCAGGTGTGAACTTGGTTGGGAGGACACATGGATGTCTGTGTGTGTCCCAGGTATTGTGAACGATGGAGTCGGAGTCTGTGTGTGCCTGACTGATGGGCTTTAGGGATCTGCGTTTGTCATTGCTACCCTGAGTGACATGCTGTGGGTGAACACCCACTTCTGTGTGTCAGTGTTATGCGAAAGGCTGTGTCTATGTTGTAGCTGCCTTCGTTGGTGGCTCCATTTCTGTGTGACAGCCTTTCAATGGGCACTATCCCTGGATGTCCGAGCCCTTGTGGGTGACGTGTCTACACACGTGGCAGTGTTATTGTGGGGACTGTATGTGTGTGTCAGCATCACTTTCGACTGCGTATTAATCGGGGTGCTGTATGTCTGTGTATAGCGTGTAATTTTGGGGGTCTCCATCAGGGCCTTGGGAATATCTAATCGTGGCTGGCTTAATGCATCTGTGAGCAGTCCAGGGGTGTGGAATGGGTAGGGAAAGAGATGGGGGGAGGGGAACCGAAGTGTGGGACCGTGGGGGGGACGTCTCAGTCCCTATCAGCCAATGAGGTGTCTTTTCCACCCCCCCACCCCCAGCCTGCCCTCCAGGGCAGGTCGCCGTGAAAGGCGCCCTGTAGCTTTAAAAGGGCTCCCCGGCAGTGGGATTCGGGGCCATTTTCCCTTTTTATGGCCAGTTTTGGAGGGCGGGTTCCTGTTCGCAAACCTTGGCCCCAGTAAATACCCTGCAGCTGCTGCCGGTAATGACAGGCCGGAGGGGCGGCCCGCGCAGGGCGCCAGGGCTTCCGGAGGTGGCGCGGCTGCAGCACCCCCAGCCCGCGGCCAGGCCTGAGCGGGGCCCCCGCCAGGATCGGTCTCCGCAGGCCCGAGCGCCCATGAACTTGGCCGGAGCAGCCTTCACGAACGCGCGCGCGCCGGGCCGTACTCTCTTCTGGCATTCGATTTCCGAGCGCCCCACCCGCCCCGCGCCCCCAAGAACAAAGCTCGCCGCCGCCCCGGCCCGTGGCCTCCCCGCGCGCGGTCAGGTGTCGGGCGGTCGGGGCGCCGCTGTCCCCACGCCCCCCATCGCGCGTCCCCGCCCCGCGAGGGCATCTCCGCTTGCCCTCCCCCTGGCGGCCCCGGCTCCGGGACTCGGGGGTCTGTCCCCTTTGCAGAGTCCGACCCTCCCGGCGCCCCCTCTCCGGAAAGGCGAGACGCAGAGATGCCGCCGGGGCCTCCCCGCCCCCCTTCCAAGCCCCAACAACAATGGAGGGCCGGGCCGCAGAGGCCGGGGCGCCCGCCCCGGGGCTGCGAGCAGGTGCGCGAGGGGGCTGCGGCCGCGTCCCGCCCCGCCCCGCCGCGCCCCCTGCCCGCGGGCGGCCCCCGCCCCGCCCGTGCCCCCGGCCCGCCCGGCGCCCGCGCTCACCTCGATTGGGGCCGCCGCCGCATTTCCCCCTCTTCTTTCCAAAACCCGCCCGGAAAAGCCCCCCGGGCCCGAGGCGCCTGCACGGGAAATTGCATTTCGGCGGCTCCGGGGCAGGGCGGGGGCTCCCTAGGCCGTGGGCGGGGGGGGGGAGGGGGCCGCGGGGCTCCGGCGCCGGCTCGAACCCGTGGCCGCCGCCGCCCGCCCGCCTGTCTGTCTCGGTGACGTGCCCGCGCTCCCCGCTGCCGCCGCCCCCTCCCTCCTCCCCGCGCCGCGCCGGGCGGTGGGTCCAGCCGCGGCCGTGCGCGTCCCGAGGCCTCCTGCCAGGCGCACCGGGACGCACTCGGGGGATGCCCGTGGGTCTCCAAAACGCAGCTCCCGGGGCCCGCGCGGGGGAATCAGGGACACGGGGGCGCGGGCGGGCACACGCAGGGACCCAGACGCACGCAGACCTCAAAGGCGCCGGGGGGAGCACACGCGCACAAAGGCACGCGGGCCACAGACATAGGGAACGGTGTGCAGGGGGCTGCGAGACACACACCCAAGGGAGGGGGTGGCGGGACGTGCGGGCGTGCCGGGCCGCACGAGGGTGGTCATAAAACCCAGCTACACACAGAGGGACACCCGGGGGCACCAGACACATGCAAGGTACACAGACACACCACATTCAGGACAGGAGGGAAGGTCCTTAGAACCGAAATATGCAGAAACGCGGCTGAACCCCGGGCACGCACAGCTCACACAAGACACACGGACACGCAGGAGATCACAGACGCACTGGGGTATCCACAGACCTGAGATATACCCCCCAACATACACACACAGTACCCCAGGTACACAGCCACAGGAGCACCGTGACACACACAAAATAACCTAATACATGGATATAGACATAGAACCAGAACACACCCATGGAGACACAGATCCACAAAGTTCACAGACACACACATATATGCACAGCCACTCGGGTCAAATGGACCAGTCGCAGAGGCAGAGAAACACAGCCAACAGCCACATGCACAAGACCCCCAGCAGGTCCCAGAGCCACAGGGGTCCACATGGACACACGCAATTCAGGGGCACGTGGGGATGTGTACCTGGGACCATGAGGCACAAGCATATATACAGGCCAGGTGCACAGACCACATGCAAGCTGTACAAAGGATGGGGCTCCCCGGATCTCCCAAAGATCCTTGCACAGACGGTACTCCTCCCCAGACATCCCCCCTCCCCCTGCCCAGGTATAAGAGCATGCACAAGGCTGGAATGATCGTACCCTGGCTGAGGCTCCACACACTGCCCCTGCCCGCAGTGGCCACCGCGGCTGGTAGAGGAAGGTCACATCAGGGCAAACCATGGCGCCAGGCAGCCTCCCATTGGCCCGGGCTGAGCTGACAGATTTCTCATTCTGTTTATTTATCCCCCACCCCAGTCTGAGAGGGGGATGGAGAAACCTTTGACTGGCCCCCTTCCAAGCCCAGACCTTAACCCTTATGGGGCCATGGCCCTTCCCCACCTGATCGCGCACCCCTCACTTCCTTTCAGCCTCCTCCACCACAGTCCTGCCTCAGTTTCTCCTTGACAGGTTCACCCTCCCACATCGTCCAGCTGCCTTCAGGTCTCAGCCCAGAAAGTCTGGTTCCAGGTCCAGGAGAGTGGATGTCTCCAGGACCACTCCCCCGACCCCCAACCCCACCAAAGGTTAGAGGGGCCAGCTGTAGTCTACACCTAACCTCTCCCAAAGGAAGTCTTCTCCCAGAGTGGGGATGGAGAGACACGTGCAGGGGAGAGAATGGGAGTTCATTGCAATCTAGTAATCATACCTCCATGGGGTTGGGGGGGGCCAGTCAGCTCTGTTGATGGCCCTCCTGTGCCGCCCGCCCCCCTGCCGGCCAGCCCTTCTTACAGAAAAGAGGCAAGGGGGGCCGGGCACAGTGGCTCAAGCCTGTAATCCCAGCACTTTGGGAGGCCGAGGCAGGAGAATCGCTTGAGGCCAGGAGTTCAAGACCAGTCTGGGCAACACAGCGAGACACTGTCTCTACAAAAATAAAATTAAAAAAAAAATTAGCTGGGTGTGGTGGTGAGCGCCTATAGTCCCAGCTACTTGGGAGGCTGAAGCAAAAGGATCCGTTGAGCCCAGGAGTTCAAGGCTACAATGAGCTATGATGGTGCCACTGTACTCCAGCCTGTGCAACAGACAGAGACTTCATCTCTAAAAAAAAGAGCGTATTGGGGAAAGAGTTCCTCTCTTAGAAAAAGAGGCGGAAGGGGTTGGGGAGGGACTTGCTTTGGAATATGCAACATTCACATTTATTCATTCACTCATTCATCCACTCATAGACGTGTATGAGCCTCGTCTCCCATCCAGACCAGAGCAACCCTTGAGGCAGGGACTATTCTCTTTAGAAGGGTGGGCCCAGGGTAGAGTTCTCCCCAGCTGTATCTTCGAACCTTCTTCCTGGTCCCAGGAATGCCTATCATCATCTCAGATTCTTCCCAGCAGGCCAATGAAGTGAATACTGCCCTTTCCACAGATGGGCAACCGAGGCCCAGATGGGGCCTGCCCTTGCCCAAGGTGGTACCGCCTGTAAGAGGCAGGGCTGGGGCCAGGCGTGGTGGCTCACACCTGTAATCACAGCATTTTGGGAGGCCGAGGCGGGCGGATCACGAGGTCAGGAGTTCGAGACCAGCCTGACCAACATGGTGAAATCTCTTCTCTACTAAAAACACAAAAATTAGCCGGGCGTGGTGGCACGCGCCTATAATCCCAGCTACTCAGGAAGCTAAAGCATGAGAATCACTTGAACCCGGGAGGCGGAGGTTGCAGTGAGCCGAGATTGTGCCACTGCACTCCAGCCTGGGCCACAGAGCGAGACTCCGTCTCAAAAAAAAAGAAAAAAGAAAAAAAAAAGGCAGAGCTGGAATTCTTTCTGTGCGAGGCCTTTCCCCCCGTCTCTTCTCCAGGACCGGCCAGCTGTCCTGCTCGCTGAATTTCCTGCAGCCACCAGCAGGGGGCAGCAGAGTCCAGCGCCCTCCCAGCTGTGGAGGCCGGCGGGACTGATCTCAGCTCTCAGCGCAGTCTCCTCCCCCTCCTCCCCGCCACCTCCCACTCCACGGTAGCTGAGGACTCTGCCTGGACACCCCAGGCTGGAGCCTCCACTGCTCAAATGCAGAGTCCCCAGAAGGAAGGGCCCCTTCTTAAATAAAGCCCCCTAGAAGTGCCGTCCACACAAATGTCCAACTCACTCGGTGTTTCTCTACGTCTAACTCTCCTTCTTGCTGCAACGCATTTGCCGGGGCGGGCGGCCTCTGCATTCCTGAACTGGGTCAGACCAGGAGAGAGGATTCCTGGATCCTGGCCCAGTGGCCAATCCGCCCTGGGCTTCTCACCCCCCAGACTCCTCTGAAGATCCCCAGAGCCCAGCACAGGATGGGAGGAGCGGTGGGGGAAGCCCCAGCGCCCCAGACGCCTTAGGGCGTGGGAACTGCCCTCCCCCCTACACACCCCCGGTCCCCAGTTCCTGGGGCCCCTGCCAGTGCTGACTCATAGGGGGAGCCCAGGGCTGCGACACAGCAGCAGCTCTTCCTGAACCTCTCCCTGGGAGATTTCACCTCCTGTCCCCTTGGGGGTCTCCGTGGGGACCCAAGGTGGGTGTAAGAGCCAGGCAGCCCTTCTCAACTCCATCAGCCCGGAACTCCAGCCCCCGAAGTCCCCCAAGGCTGTGGCCATTGGACACTGGGTGGATGTGTCAGGCCGTGGGGGTCTTCGGAGGTGCCCCTGTATACTCAGATGTGGGTGTAGTTTGCACACTCAGGCATCGACCGAGAGAAAGCCCCGAGGAGGCAAAGCCTAGGCCATGTGGGTGCTTTCCTCCGCACCCCACCAGAGTCTGGGCAGGGACACTTCAGGGCCAGAACGAAGCCCTGGGCTCAGAGCTCATTTCCTCAACTGCAAACGGTCTCCCGCCATCTTCCCGGTCTCCGGAAATGGCAGCTCCATCCTCCCAGCTGCTCAGACAAAAACTTTTATTAACAGATGCAACCCATTAACAATTTTGCTTACTGTCCTTTTTTTTTTTTTCTTCTGAAACAGGGTCTGGCTCTATCGCCCAGGCTGGAGTACAGTGGCACGATCTCTGCTCACTGTATCCTCCGCCTCCCGGATTCAAGCCATCCTCCCATTTCTTTCAGCCTCCCAAATAGTTGGGGCAACAGGCACCTGCCACCACGCCTGGCTGATTTTTTTGTATTTTTAGTAGAGATAGGTCTTGCTATGTTGCCCAGGCTGGTCTCGAACTCCTAGACTCAAGCAATCCACCCGTCTTGGCCTCTTAAAGTGCTGGGATTACAGGCATGAGCCACTGCTCCCAGGCTAGTTACTGTCCCTTCTAATGCATCCAGAATCCTGACTTCTCCAAGGCCCACCCTGGTCCGGCTTCCATCATCTCTCCCCAGAATTGCTCCAGTTGCCACCTCTCTGCACACCTTGCAGCCCCCGACAGTCTGTCCCCATCCCCCTAATCCCCTCCCCACCACAGCAGCCGGGGCGGGGCGCCTGTGAGCACCCAAGTCAGGTCCAGTCCCTCCTCTGCTCAGAACCCTCAATGGCTCCCACCTTATTCAGAGCAAAAGCCAAAGTCCTCCCCAGGACCCAGAAGGCTTTGCACAGTCTCCTGTCTCCTCTCTGCCTCACCCTCTCCACTCCCTCCCTCATTCACCCCATTCCAGACCTCCTCAGCTGGGATTACAGGCAACCACCACGACACCCAGCTAATTTTTTTTGTATTTTTAGTAGAGACAGGGTTTCACCATGTTACCCAGGCTGGTCTCAAACTCCTGAGCTCAGGCAATCCGCCCACCTCAGCCTCCCAAAGTGCTGGAATTACAGATGGAGCCCGGCCGACTCCCCTATTTCAAAATTGCACCCACCTTGCTTTCTCCTCTATTTATTTCTCACAACCCTGTCACCTTTTTTTTTTTTTTTTTTTTTTTTTGAGATGGAGTCTCGCTGTCGCCCAGGCTGAAGTGCAATGGCGCGATCTCGGCTCACTGCAACCTCCGCTCCCGGGTTCAAGCCATTCTCCTGCCTCAGCCTCCCAAGTCGCTGGGATTACAGGTGCCACCACCATGCCCGGCTAATTTTTTGTATTTTTAGTAGAGACGGGGTTTCACTATGTTGGCCAGGCTGGTCTCAAACTCTTGACCTCGTGATCCGCCTGCCTCGGCCTCCCAAAGTGCTGGGATTACAGGCGTGAGCCACCGCGCCTGGCCCTGTCACCTTTCAACACACTACATGTTTTACTACACATCTTGTTTCTTGTCTGTCTCCTGTACTTGATTGTCAGCTCTGCCAGCACAATAGCTGTTGTCTTTTTTTTTTTTTTTTTTTTTTTTGGAGAGATGGGGGTGGGTCTCACTTTGTTGCCCAGGGCAGTCTCGAACTCCTGGGCTCAAGCGATCCTCCTGCCTCAGTCTCCCAAAGTGCTGGGATGACAGGTATGAGCCACCGTGCCCAGCCTACAACGTTTGTCTTCATCACTGCTGGAGAACTTAAAAAAGGCCCTTAGTCAATATCTAGTGAATTAATGCATTAATAATCACTATGTTCCTGGCATGCATGTGGGGTGAGATGATGGGAAGTGGGGGAGGGACAAAACAGACTAGGAGCTTGCCTGCCACCATCTGGCAGGGGGCTAGTCATGTAGCTAGCCAATTACAATGAAGAGTTTTCAGTGCTGAGAGTCAAGGCCCAGCCTGGAAGATGAAAGTGCAATCTGGGAAGGCTTTTGAGGAGGTGACGTCTTATAGGTCCTTGATCAGTAAGGAGTTTGGATTTAAGTATGATGAGAAGGCTTAGGGATTTTTGTTTGTTTGATTTGTTTTTTAGAAACGGGATCTTGCTGTGTTGCCCAGGCTGGAGTTCAGTAGCACACTCCTAGCCCATTGAGGCCTCAACCTGGGTTTCGGCAATTCTCCTGCCCCAGCCTCCCAACTAGCTGGGACTACTGGCACACACCACCACACCTGGCTAATTTTTAAATTTTTTTGTAGTGACAGTGTCTCACTATGTTGCTCAGGCTGGTCTCAAACTACTGGGCTCAAATGATCCACCCTCCTCAGCCTCCCAAAGTCTTGGGATTACAAGCATGAGCCACCATGCCCAATCAAGGGTTTTATTATTTTATTTTATTTTGTTTTGTTTTTTGAGACGGAGTCTCACTCTGTTGCCCAGGCTGGAGTGCAGTGGCATGATCTCGGCTTATTGCAATCATCTCTCCCAGGTTTAAGCGATTCTCGTGCCTCAGCCTCCAGAGTAGCTGGGATTACAGGCGCCCGCCACCATGCTCAGCTAATTTTTGTATTTTTAGTAGAAATGGGGTTTTGCCATGTTGGCTAGGCTGGTCTCAAACTCTTGACCTCAAGTGATCCGCTCGCCTTGGCCTCCCGAAGTGCTGGGATTATAGGTATGAGCCACCGCACCCGGCCTCTACAAAAATTTTAAAAATTAGCTGGGCGTGGTGGTGTACGCTTGTGGTCCCAGCTATTCAGAGGCAGAAGTGAGAGGACTGGTTGAGCTCCAGAGGTGGAGGCTGCAGTGAGCCATGATCACACCACTGCATTCCACCCTGTCTAGAAAAAAAAAATTGTTTTTTTCAATAAAGATAGGATCCAACAGAGCTGGGATTAGGGATAGGTGAGTGACATGAGTCACACAAGGGCAGGACTCGGGCCTGTCTGGACTGCATTTTCCAATGACGTTACTACTGGTCACGTGGCTACTGAGCACCTGAAATACAGCTATTCTTCGAAGTAATGGCAGCCGGGTGCAGTGGCTCACGCCTGTAATCCCAGCACTTTGGGAGGCCGAGGAGGGTGGATACCTGAGGTCAGGAGTTTGAGACCAGCCTGGCCATCATGGTGCAACCCCGTCTCTACTAAAAACACAAAAATTAGCCAGGTGTGGTGGTGCATGCCTGTAATCCCAGCTACTCGGGAGGCTGAGGCAGGAGAATCGCTTGAACCCGGGAGGCAGAGGTTGCAGTGAACCGAGACTGTGCCACTGCACTCCAGCCTGGCAACAGAGCAAGACTCTTCCTCAAAAAAAAAAAAAAAAAAAAAAAAAGCAGGCGCGGTGGCTTATGCCTGTAATCCCAGCACTTTGGGAGGCTGAGGCGGGTGGATCACAAGGTCAGGAGATCGAGACCATCCTAACACGGTGAAACCCCGTCTCTACTAAAAATACAAAAAAAATAGCCAGGTGTAGTGGCGGGTGCCTGTAGTCCCAGCTACTCGGGAGGCTGAGGCAGGAGAATGGCGTGAACCTGGGAGGCGGAGCTTGCATTAGCTGAGATCGCACCACTGCACTCCAGCCTGGGGGACAGGGTGAGACTCCGTCTCAAAAAAAAAAAAAAAGAAAAGAAAGAAAGAAAGTAATGATGGCAAGAACCACAATTACTTTGCACCAACCTAACAGTTTGAATTGAGATGTTATAAGTATAAAATCCACATCAGATTTTTGAAGACAGTACCAAAAAACTGAAATATCTCATTCATAATATTTACCTTGATTATATGTTAAAAGGATACTATTTTGGATATACTCAGTTAAATAAAATCTTATTAAAATTAATTTTGTAGCCAAGTGTAGTAACTCACACCTGTAATCCCAGCACTTTGGGAGGCCGAGGCGGGTGGATCACCTGAGGTCAGGAGTTCAAGACCAGCCTGGCCAACATGGTGAAACTCCGTCTCTACTAAAAATACAAAAATTAGCCAGGTGTGGTGGCAGGCACCTGCAATCCCAGCTACTTGGAGGCTGAGGCAGGAAAATCACTTGAACCCAGGAAGTGGAGGTTGCAATGAGCTGAGACCATGCCACTGCACTCCAGCCTGGGCAACAGGACAAGACTCCGTCTCAAATTAAAAAAAAAAATAATTCTGGCAGGCTCACTGGCTCATGCCTGTAATCCCAGCACTTTAGGAGGCTGAGGCAGGCAGATCACTTGAGGTCAGGAGTTCAAAACCAGCCTGGCCAACATGGCGAAACCCCGTCTCTACTAAAAATATAAAATTGGCTGGGCATGGTGACATACACCTGTAATCCTGACTGCTTGGGAGGCTGAGGCAGGAGAATCACTTAAACCCGGGAGGCAGAGGTTGCAGTGAGCCAAGATCGTGCCACTGCGCTCCAGCCTGGGCAACAGAGCAAGACTCCGTCTCAAAAAAAAAAAATTAATTTTGGCAGGCTCACTAGTTTATGCCCGCAATCCCAGCACTTTGGGAGGCTGAGGCAGGTGGATCACTTGTGGTCAGGAGTTCAAAACCAGCCTGGCCAACATGGCAAAACCCCGTCTCTACTAAAAATATAAAATTGGCTGGGTGTGGTGGCACGCACCTGTAATCCCAACTACTTGGGAAGCTGAGGCAGGAGAATCACTTGAACCTGGGAGGCAGAGGTTACAGTGAGCCGAGATCCTACCACTGCACTCCATTCTGCGTGACAGAGTGATACTGTGTCTCAAAAATAAATAAATAAATGTGAATAAAATAAAATTAATTTCACCTGCTACTTTTTTAAAAAAATGTGGCTACTAAAAAAGTTTTCATTACATATGTGGCTTGCATTTGTGGCTCACAATATATTTCTTTAGACACTGCCTTTATTGCCTTCCCTCCCATTTACTTATCAGGCGGCTGCCTGATCACACTACTGATATCAGACTTCAGAGTCAGGCCAAGTTCTCAGCTGTAGCTGTCCTTGAGCTCCGTGTAGTATCTGTCACCTTTGCCTGGTTCCTCCTTGGCCTTGGGACACTAGATCCTCCTGACATCCCTTCTCTGTCTCAGTCTTCTTTGTGAGACAGCATCTGCTTCTCAAATACTTTGTTCCTGGGACATAGCTTTGGTCTATTTTATTTTCATTTTTATTTTATATTTATTTATTTATTTATTTATTTTTGAGACAGAGTCTCACTGTGTCGCCCAGGCTGGAGTGCAGTGGCGTGATCTCGGCTCACTGCAACCTCTGCCTCCCGGGTTCAAGAGATTCTCCTGCCTCAGCCTCCGGAGTAGCTGGGATTACAGGCACGTGCCACCACGCCCAGCTTTTTTTTTTTTTTTTTTTTTTTTTGAGACGAAGTCTTGCTCTGTTGCCCAGGCTGGAGTGCAATGGTGCAATCTCGGCTCACTGCAACCTGGGCCTCCCACGTTCAAGCGATTCTCCTGCCTCAGCCTCCCAAGTAGCTGGTATTAAAGGTGCCCGCCACCATGCCTGGCTAATTTTTGTATTTTTAGTAGAGACAGGTTTCACCATGTTGGCCCGGCTGGTCTTGAACTACTGAGCTCAAGTCATCCACCTGCCTCAGCCTCCTAAAGTGTTGGGATCACAGGCATGAGCCACCCCGCCCAGCCTCATTTTTATTTTAGAAACGAGGTCTCGTCATTTTAGAAACAAAGTCTCACTCTGTTGCCCAGGCTGGAGTACAGTAAAAGAATCCTAGCCCATTGCAGCCTCGACCTCCTGGGCTCAAGTGATCCTCTTGCCCCAGTGTCCTGAGTAGCTGGGACTACAGGCGAGGACCACCATGCCCAGCTAATTTTTGTAATTTTTGTAGGGATAGGGTTTCACTACATTGCCCAGGCTGGTCTCAAGCTCCTGAGGTGAAGTGATCCTCCCACCTCAGCCTCCCAAAGTACTGGGATTACAGGCATGGGCCACCACACCCAGCCCGTATCACATATTATTTGGCAATAAAAAGGAATAAGGTACTCACGCTTGTTACACTTGTTATAACATGGATGAACTCTGTTGACAGCATTTATACTCAGAGACAAAAAGTAGACCAGGGTTGCCAGAGGCTGAGAATGTTGGGGGGTGAAATAGAAAGTGATTTCTTTTCTCTTCTCTTTTCCTTTTCTTTCCTTTCCTTCCTTTCTTTCCTTTCTTTTTTTGAGACAGAGTCTCGCTCTGTCACCCAGGATGGAGTGCAGTGGCATGATCTCGGCTCACTGCAACCTCTGCCTCCCGGGTTCAAGTGATTCTCCCAACTCAGCCTCCCGAATAGCTGGGACTACAGGCATGTGCCACCATACCTGACTAATTTTTGTATTGTTAGTAGAGACGGGGTTTCACCGTGTTGGCCAGGCTGGTCTCGAACTCCTGACCTCAGGTGATCCACCTGCCTTGGCCTCCCAAAGTGCTGGGGTTACAGGCGTGAGCCACCACACCCGGCCAGAAAATGATTTCTAATGGGCTTGAGATTTCTTTTGCGGGTGATGGAAATGTTCTAAAGTTGGGCAGGGCGTGGTCACTCATGCTGTAATCCCAGCACTTTGGAAGGCCGATGTGGGAGGACTGCTTGAGCCCAGGTGTTTGAGAACAGCCTGAGCAACATAGCAACGCCCTGTCTTTAAAAAAAAAAAAAAAAAAAAATGGCCAGGCGCGGTGGCTCACGCCTGTAATCTTGCGGATCACGAGGTCAGGAGATTGAGACCATCCTGGCTAACACGGTGAAACCCCGTCTCCACTAAAAATACAAAAAATTAGCCAGGCGTGGTAACGGGCGCCTGTAGTCCCAGCTACTCGGAAGGCTGAGGCAGGAGAATGGCGTGAACCCGGGAGGCGGAGCTTGCAGTGAGCAGAGATGGCGCCACTGCACTGCAGCCTGGGCGACAGAGGTAGACTCCGTCTCAAAAAAAAAAAAAAAAAAAAAAAAAAAATTAGCTGGGCGTGGTGGCGGGCGCCTGCAGTCTCAGCTATTCCAAAGGCTGAGGTGGGAGGATTGCTTGAGCCCGGGAGGCAGTGGTTGCAATGAGCCAGGATGCCGCCACTGCACTCCACTCTGGGCTACACAGTAAGATCCTGCCTCAGCGAAAAAAAAGGCCGGGCGTAGTGGCTCCTGCCTCTAATCCCAGAATTTTGGAAGGCTGATGCAGGCGGATTGCCTGAGCTCAGGAGTTGGAGACTAGGCTGGGCAACACGGTGAAACCTCATCTCTACTAAAATACAAAAAATTAGCTGGTGTGGACCAGGCACAGTGGCTCACGCCTGTAATCCCAGCACTTCCGGAGGCCAAGGCGGGCAGATTACTAGGTCAGGAGTTCGAGACCAGTCTGGCCAACATGGTGAAACCCTGTCTCTACTAAAAATACAAAAATTAGCTGGGCGTGGTGGTGCTCGCCTGTAATCCCAGCTACTTGGGAGGCTGAGGCAGGAGAATCGCTTGAACCTGGGAGGCGGAGGTTGCAGTGAGCCGAGATCACACCACTGCACTCCTGCCTGGGTGACAGAGTGAGACTCTGTCTCCAAAAAAAAAGGAATGTTCTAAAATTTATTGTGGTGATGGTTGCATAAGTCTATGAATATTCTAAACACATTTGACTGTATACAGTCGTCCCCCTTATCTGCAGTTTCGATTTCCTCGGTTTCAGTTATCCTTGGTCAACTTTGGTCCAAAAATATTAAATGGAAAATTCCAGAGGCTGGGCGAGGTGGCTCACGCCTTTAATCCCAGCATTTTGGGGGGCCGAGGCAGGCGGATCACCTGACGTCAGGAGTTCGAGACCAGCCTGGCCAACATGGTGAAACCCCGCCTCTACTAAAAATACAAAAATTAACCGGGCGTGGTGGCACGCGCCTGTAATCCCAGCTACTCGGGAGGCTGAGGCAGGTGAATGGCCTGAACACGGTAGGCAGAGGTTGCAATGAGCAGAGATCACACCACTGCACTCCAGCCTGGGTGACAGAGCGAGACTCGGTCTCAGAAAAAAAAAAAAGAAAGAAAATTCCAGAAATAAAACAAGTCATACCTTCACATTCCAGGCCGTTCTGAGTAGTGTGATGAAATCTCCCACAGTCCTGGGATGTGAATCATCCCTTTACCCAGCTTATCCATGCTGTCTGTATAGGCTACCAGTCTGTTAGTCCCTTTATAGCCATCTCAGTCAACAAATAGAAAAAGCAAAGTGGTCAGCCGAGGTGGCTCATGCCTGTAATACCAGCACTTTGGGAGACCAATGCAGGAGGAGGATTGGTTGAGACCAGGAATTCAAGACCAGCCTGGGAAACATAGTAAGACCCTGTCTCTAAAAAAAAATAAAATAAAATAAAATAAAATAAATGTGTATAAATAAGCTGGGTGTGCTTGCACATGCCTGTAGTCCTAGCTACTTGGGAGGCTGAGGCAGGAGGCTCACTTAAGGCCAGGAGTTGGAGACCAGTCTAGGCAACACAGCAAGACCCTCACGCCCCGACCCCCACAAGATAAATAAATTAGCCAGGTGTGGTGGTGCTCACCTGTAGTTCCAGCTACTCTGGAGGTTGAGGTAGAAGGATCCTTTGAGCCCCGGAGCTTGAGATGGCAGTGGTGAGACCTTGTCTTAAAAAATTTTGATCCTGGGCTGGGCGTGGTGGCTCACGCCTGTAATCCCAGCACTTTGGGAGGCCGAGGCAGGTGGATCACCAGGTCAGGAGATCGAGACCATCCTAGCTAACATGGCGAAACCCCGTCTCTACTTAAAAAATACAAAAAATTAGCCAGGCATGGTGGCACACGCCTGTAGTCTCAGCTACTTCAGAGGCTGAGGCAGGAGAATCGCTTTAACCTGGGAGGTGGAGGCTGCAGTGAGCCGAGATCGCGCCACTGCACTCCAGCCTGGGTGACAGAGACTCCATCTCAATAAATAAATAAATATTAAATAATAATAATTTTTTTTTATCTTAAAGCTGGGTGTGGACATATTTGCCTGTATTCCCAGCTACTCGGGAGGATCCCTTAAACCCAGGAGTTTGAGGCCAGCCAGGGCAACATGGAGACACCCCTATCTCTAAAAAATAAACAAACAGGTCAGGGCCCAGGGGCTCATGCCTGTAATCCCAGCACTTTAGGAGGCTAAGGTGGGCGGAACTCTTGAGGGCAGGAATTCGAGTCAGGAATTCCAGACCCGCCTGGGCAACACAGCATAACCCTGTCTCTACAAAAAAAAAAAAAAAAATACAAAAATTAGCTGGGTGTGGTCGCTCTCACCTGTGGTCCCAGCTACTTGGGAGGCTGAGGTGGGAGGCTCAGCTGAGTTCAGGAGGTCGAGGCTGCAGTAAGACGTGATTGTGCCACTGCACTCCAGCCTGGGCGACACAATGAGACCCTGTCTCAATACATAAATAAATACAAATTGGCCAGGCGCAGTAGCTCACGCCTTTAATCCCAGCACTTTGGGAGGCCAAGGCAGGCGGATCACCTGAGGTCAGGAGTTCGAGACTGCCCTGGCCAACATGGTGAAACCCCATCTCTACTAAAACTACAAAAATTAGTTGGGCATGGTGGCGTGTGCTCGTAGTCCCAGCTACTTGGGAGGCTGAAGCAGGAGAATCGCTTGAACCTGGGAGGCAGAGGTTGCAGTGAGCCGAGATTGTGCTACTGCACTCCAGCCTGGGTGACAGGGTGAGACTCAGTCTCAAAAAAAAAAGTAAATAAATATAAATAAATAAATAATAAAATTAAAAAAAAAAATCTCAATTCTTCCGCTAGTAGAGTGCCTCCCTGGAATCCCATCCAGCTTGCTGTCCTTCTCACTCCAAGTTTAAGAAGGATAGAAAGGTGGGGGAGACTGTTTCGGGGCAGGCAAGGAGGGGAGGCCTAGGCAGGAGGTGTGGTGAAACCCACCATATGTGCCCTCAAGCACCCTCTTTCTCTGCCAGAGGCCACAGGCTTGGAAGAACCATGTCTCTTCCCAGGTTTCCTTCTCAGCCTGACTCGAAGCGTCCTGGCCTGCCCGCCCCACCAGACAGTCTGACTCAATTTGCCCGCTGTGTGCGTGGGCCCTGCGCGTGTGACCCTCCACCATTCCAGTGACTCAGGCAGCCTGGAAGCCCCCTCCCCGGGGGACACCCAGCTTCCTATGGTGACTTTTCACAGACATGGCTGAAACTGGCTGGCGCCTCCCAGACCCAGGCCGGGCTCCTGGGGGCAGCCCAGCAGGGCCTCGGCCCCACAGCCCACCCCTAGAGAGGGCCTAGGGGGTGGGAGTAGGGGGTGGGGAACTCTTCTCAAAGGGCCTTTGTGGGAGCAGCTGGGGGGGCTAACGGGGGACCCCGCCCTGTGTGACTCAAGCCTCATTGCTGGGCGGTGACTCACCCCCAGGCCCCCCTTCTGCCTGCCCGCAGCAGGTGCTGTGAGCCAGCTTCGGGATAGGGGCCTCTGCAGCCATGGTCATGCCACCCTGCCCTGGACCTGTGACTTGCCACCCACTTCTAGGGGTTCCAGTCTTGCCCTCACCTCCTTGCCCTCCTGAGCTCGGACCACAGAGAAAACCTCCTACATCCCGTCCCTCCGTGGGGCAGCAGACATGGTACTGAAATGTGCCACGCATTGTCTCACTATGAATTCACGGGATTCTCAAACCACCCGAGAGGCAGGGTGTTTGTTCTTGCTACTGCCCTGTAACAGATGCGGAAATTGATTCTCCGTGAGGTTGCAGAGTTTAACACAGGAGATTCACGTGCAGAATCTGGGTGTCCCAAACTTGCTGCCCCGCAGTGTCACTGCGTGATCATCTCAGCTGCTTTAAATGCCAGTGGTGGGTTACTGCACCCTCCAGTGTCGCTTCTTTTACTGACGGGTAAACTGAGGCAAGGAGCCTTGAAGTCACAGATCAAGAGTCAAGAGTAAGAGGCAGGGCTGGGATTCGAACCGAGTCCGAGAGCCCGGGACCTGCTCCGCCGCTTCCCCACGGGCCTCCGGCGCCCACTTGGGGGCTAAGGCGCCCCCGCCGCCGGGCCCCTCCGGACGCCGAGGCCAGCCGAGATCGGGCCGCCGGCCAGGCTGCTGGGCGCCGCGCCCGTCCGCATCACGCCGCGGTGAGTCACCGCGCGCCGGCCCCGGCCCCGCCCCCCGCGCCAACAAACAGCGCGTTGCTCGGCAACCGCCACCGCCCTCCAGCGCGGACCTGGGTTCGAGCCTCAGGCCGGGGTGCGCGCTAAGAGGGATTTTGGGACTCCGTAGTCTTCCCTAGATTAGGGGTTCAGATCAGGCCTGTAATCCTGGTGGGCACGGAGGTGATGGTGAAGGAGACAGCTGTGGTCCAATGAAGGTGGGGAGGGCTGAGGGTGGCTCTCTCCAATCCAGACCCACCGGGGCTCCCCAGAAGTGGGCGGTCAGGTCAGGAGATGGCGGCTGGGCCAGAGTTGCAGCTGAGAGGTCGAGGCCATTTTCCTAAGGGATTTGGGGAGCTGGCCTGGCGGGAGCTGTCAGGAGCGCTGTGATGAGGGCTTTTTTGCATCCTCCCCACCCCTGCCGACCTCCCAAACTAGCTAACACTTAATGAGCACGTTCTATGTTCTAAGCCTGTTCTATGCATGTGTGGGCCTATGTGTATTAACTCATGTAATGTTCACCATGAAGTCGGGCGCGGCGGCTCACGCCTATAATCCCAGCACTTTAGGAAGCCGAAGCCCGTGGATCACTTGATGTCAGGAGTTCAAGACCAGCCTGGGCAAAATGGTGAAACCCCGTCTGTACTAAAAATACAAAAATTAGCCGAGCGTGATGGCCAGCACCTCTAATCCCAGCTACTTGGGAGACCGAGGCAGGAGAATCGCTTGAACCCGGGAGGCAGAGGTTGCAGTGGGCCAAGATCGTGCCACTGCACTCCAGCCTGGGTGACAAGAGTGAAACTCCGTCTCAAAAAATAATAATAATAAAAATTAAAAATAGTGTTCACCATGGCCCTCTGACGTTTCATTGACATTCTCATTTTACAGATGGGGAAACTGAGTCAACAGAGGGTCAATGTCCTTTGCCAGAGGATGCACAGCCAAGCTGGCATCCGGGCTCCCAAACCTGTCTCAGGAGGGTGCATGCCTGGCCTTGGCAGGGCCATATCTGTGGGAGTCTTCAGGCGTTGTGGGGATAGGTGCCAAGGCTACATTGAAGTGTGGGTAGGTTATGCAAGTGGGGGATGGCGCCTGGTGGGCTCCTTGGGGGCTGTCGACACATGATACTGAAGGCTGTGCACTACAGAGGTTGCACCAGCACCCCCCTAGACTTCCCATGCCATCTGAGTGCAGGGAGAGAGTTTCCCAGCACCAGCTTCAGATGGCCTGAACTCCGGGCTCCCTGGCACCCCAATAGTCACCACTGAGCCGCCCACAGGACCCTTAAGGGAGCTGCCTGAGGGGCCTTCCGGAGCCCCAGATCCTATGGGGCGGGGAGAAGAGTAGATACTAGCATCTCAGACACGGAGATGGACCAGCTGCCTGGGAAGTGACCAGCTTTGAGTCCTGTAAGAAATGTCCATTTGGCTCACATGACCAAGTCAATCACTCAAATGGTTGAGTTGGGGAGATGGCTGAGTTACAGGGATCCTGGACAGTCTAAAGCCAAGAAGGTGAGGAGGGCTTCTCGGAGGAGGTGATACCCTGGGAACTGAAGGATGCTCGGGAGTTGGCGAATAACAGGCAGGACCTTCCTGCGGGAGAGGTTGGGACACCAGGAACTTTTCCAAGTGGAAGGTAGAGGGGACACGTGATTGGATTTAACGGGCTGTCTCTGGAGAATGGCTAGAAGGCATAAGGAAAGTCGGAGAGGACCAGGGAGGTGGCTGTTGGAATATATTTAGGCCAGAGATGATGGTGACTTAAGGATACAGTTGGCAGATTTAACAAATAAAAAATACAGGACATCAGTTAAATTTGAATTTCAGATACAGAACAAGTAATTTTTTTTTAGTATAAAACTTTTTTTTTAGTATAGCGATGTCCCCAAAATTGCATGGGACATACTTATACTAAAAAAAGAGATCCGCTGTGTATCTGAAAAATTAAGTTTCACTGGGTGTCCTGTGTCTCATCTGGGAACTGTACTTGGTGGAGGGGGGTGGGTCTCAGGGGCCCCTGGGGAGGGGGAAACGATCATAGCTAACACTCAGGGAATAAATGCACTTTATTTTTCTTTTTTATGTGTTTTCATTTTACTTATTCACTTTTTCGTAGAGATGGGGGTCTCACTATGTTGCCTAGGCTGGTCTCAAACTCCTAAGTTCAAGCGATCCTCCTGCCACAGCCTCCCAAAGTTTTGGGATTATAGAGTGAGTTGACACTCCTAACCCAACAAATGCACTTTGAAGTGAGTACTGCTATCATGCCCATTTTACAGCTAGGTAAACTGAGGCCTGGAGCAGTTTTGCTCTTGTCGTGTGTGTGCGGGGGGGGGGCTTTTTTTTTTTTTTGGTAACTTGTTTATACTGTTAGGTTAGGAAGTGGGTGACCCTCGATTGGAACCCAGGCATGTTGGCTGCAGTCCCTCAACTCTCAGAACTTGAACCCCCTCCCCCACGGGATTGGTGGGGGTGGTTGGACACTATGGTTCCCTGGGTTCCTGGTGACCCAGCTAAGGGCCTTTCTCATGGGATGCGCTTCCCCAGTCCCCCAGCGCAGCCTAGGCTCTGTGGCACCCCTACTTGCCCCCCTCCTGCCAGGACAGCGAGGCACTGGGAGGGACGGGAGGCGGCCTCAGGGGGCCTCCTCTCCCGGCTGAGGCTCGGCCTCGCCCTCCTCCAGGCTGGGAGGATCCGCCGTCTGCGCCGCCGGCAGGGGGAGGGGGCGGGTTATTTTTACCTCCCTCCAGGCAGCCGGGGCGACAGGAAGTGAGCGCGCGGCCCGCCAGATGTGGGGAGCCAGGGAGCTGGGAACAGCCACAGCTGGACTGGCGGCCGGCCGGGAGCGGGGTTAGGGGGGAGGGTGTGTGGAGGGTGGATCCCCAGGCCTCCGGTCCCCTCTTTGTTCCCCGCCGCCCCAGCCTCCCCTCCAAAGACCCCTCGTCCCCATCCCCCGCTCATGTGGGTCGTGGCCTCGCTGTCCCTCATCTGGGCGCCAATCCCCTCGCTGGCTCGAGGGCTCTCAGATCCTGGGCAGGGAGGGGGACCCTGCCCCTCGCCCCAGGGACCCCCAGGTCCCAGCAGAGTCGGGGGTAAGAGGGGGAGACGGCCTCTCGCCGGCCCCGCCTGCCACCGCCATTGTTTACCCGTCGGCTGCCTCCTAGGAAACTTAACCCGCCCGCGGTAATTTTATTTGGGAACTTCGGCCAGTTGCCATAGCAACCCCCAGTGACGTCAGAGGGGCTGGGGCCCGAAATCCCCGGGAAAGTGGGGGGGATGGGATGGGGGGGAGACCCCCAGAAGGGCTCTCCTTAACCCTCTGCGTACCAGATCCCAGCCAGGCAGGGACAGCCAGATGTGACACTTCTTGGGTGCGCCCCCCCAGTTCTGGCCTGGGGCCAGGTCAGGGTGGCAGGCCAGGCCTTGATGTCATCGGGAGCTGGGTGGGTGGTGAGTCATTCCTGAGGTGGGGGCTGGGCCAGGCCTGGGGTCTATTCCTGTCTGACCTGCCCCACCAGTGCCCTTGAGCAATACTGGGACCCTTCCCCGGGGATTTCAGGCACCTGGCTGGGAGTCCCCACAGATCCCTGGGACCTCTCTGCCCTTCTGAACCATTATGTAGGTAGACAAAGTCTTTCCTGGTGCTCCAGACACCAGGCAATTGAGTTTGTCACGGTGAGCTGGGGCCACCGTGTAATGTCCTTCTCCGGATGTGGGGAGTGGCTGGTGCCCTGGTGAGGGGGCAGGGATGTGGTGGGATCCCGGCTCAGTCCATAACACAGCTGGTCGCCAGGGCAACAGGAGGCAGGGGCCCTGACTGGCATGGGGGTCACTGCCGCCAGCCGGGGGCTGGGCTGGGAGGAGCCACTCTAACCGCAGTGACGTGGGACTTCCTCGGCAGGGCCTGTTTGATGTCTCTGTGTGTGGCGTTGCCATGGGGCCCAGCAGGCAGCCCTGCATGTGAGCTGGGGTGACCTGTGGGCCGGCTGGGCCTGTCAGGGTCCCTTGATCCAGGTGTACCTGGTGTATCACTTACCCTCTTTCTACCTGCGATCAGCACATCACACGTCTCACCTCAAAGCCTGGTAACAACTGCAAATTGCGCATTTTCAGCCCCATTTTTCAGCCGACAAAACTGAGGCTTAGGAAGTGTAATCGCCTGGCCCCAAAGCCATCCCAAAGACATCCAGCTAGAAAGCTGGGGTGTAGGGCCTGGCGCTGTGGCTCACACCTGTCATCCCAGCACTTTGGGAGGCTGAGGCGGGCGGATCACTTGAAGTCAGGAGTTCAAGATCAGCCTGGCCAATATGGTGAAACCCTGTCTCTACTAAAAATAGAAAAATTAGCCGAGCATGGTGGTGCACGCCTGTAATCCCAGCTACTTGGGAGGCTGAGGCAGGAGAATCGCTTGAACTGGGGAGGCAGAGGTTTCAGTGAGCCAAGATTGTGACAATGCACTCCAGCCTGGGCGACAGAGTGAGACTCCTTCTCAAACAAAACAAAACAAAACAAATCTTTGTTCTTCTTCCATTCCACTCCTCTCTCTGCCTCCATGAAACCGGTCTGCTTTGCTGGTTTTCCAATGTTCCAGGCACCGTCCTACCGCAAAGCCTGTGCACTGGCCGTTCTCTACCTGGAACTCTCTTCCTCTCGATGTCTTCCTGGCTTTTCCCTCAGTGCCTAAAAGTCTTTGTTCAAAGTCACCTCCTCCTCAGGGAGGACTTTCCTGACCTAACCTCCACTCATTTCATCTCTCATCTCTCTTGCCTTTTTCTAGATTACCCATAGACTTTCCACCCAACACATTTTATATATATATATATATATATATATAATATAATTTAAAACAATATATATATAATTTTTAAACATATAGACACATAATTTTAAAATATATATAGATATATAATTTTTAAATATATAGATATGTAATTTTTAAAAATATATATAGATATATAATTTTTTTTTGAGACAGGGTTTCCCTGTGTCGCTCAGGCTGGAGTCCAGTGGAGCAATCTTGGCTCACTACAACCTCCGCCTCCTGGTTCAAATGATTCTCCTGCCTCAGCCTCCCGAGTAGCTGGGTACAGGCGTGCGCCACCATGCCCGGCTAATTGTTGTATTTTTAGTAGAGACGGGGTTTCACCATGTTGGCCAGGCTTGTCTCGAACTCCCGACCTCAAGTGATCAGGCTGCCTCAGCCTCCCAAAGTGCTGGGAAGACAGGCATGAGCCACCGCTCCTGGCCACATTATATATCTTTATACCTATCTATCTGCTTATCATGTTTGTTTCTCCCATAGATGCTGGTCCCAAAAGTACAGGGATTTTTTTTTCTGTTTTGTTCTCTTCTGTGTCCCCAAATGCCCGGAACAGAGCCTGACATACATACAGCAGGCACTCAATGTTTGTAGAATGAACAAAAGGGTGTGTGGTGTGTGTGTGTGTGTGTGTGTGTGTGTGTGTGTGTGCCATGCCATTTGACCACTTGACCTGGTCTCACCTTCGCCCTGTCCCTTCATCACTCCCTCACCTGCTGTCCCCTGGGTAAACCGGCAGGCTCAGGACCGGGGCCTGTGGAAGTAAATGTCAAGGGACCCAGAGGGAGAGGTGGGGGTTCTGGGAGGACCCTCCAAGCCTGGGCTGAGGGATACTAGTGAGCCGGGGTGTGGTCCAAGCCACAGGCAACAGAACAGCGAAAATTAGATAAAAAAAAAATCTGGGGGAAGAGGTATCCCCAGAGGCCAGCATGGAGGAGGTGTTCTCCCTGAATGTGAATTGGACTGATGACGGGACAGGCAATGTCTGGATGGAAGGCCTTATTATGGGGTGAAGGGAATTCTGGAGGGGCAATATGGATGGGGATGCGGTAGAGATCCGAGTTTTGTTTGTCATTGTAATTTGGTCACTTTCTACTTTTGCAATGACAAGTTTGTCTGTGTGCGTGTGTCCCTTACAGGGAGACCCCCACCCCCACCCCAGGCCCGCCCTGGAAATGCCATTCTTGTGTGTAGCTGCTCAGAAGGCCATGTGGTAAGTTGCTCCCACCTTCTGCGCCCCACCCTGAGTTGGGGAATTCTGTGCCACCCCAAATCTTCCCCTGGGGCCCCACTAGGCGGCTCTGCCCCCTCCTGCCCCAACCTGTCAGATCCTGCATCCTGGGCCAGCCTGCCCCTTGGGCCCCACAGGGAAGAAAAGGCCCTGGAGTCCCCAGGGCTGGGCCCCACGGGATGGTAGCTGGGTGTGGCTCCTAACTCCCTCTCCCCAGTTCCACCAGGTAGCAAGGTGAGAGCCAGCTGAGCTGATGAAATGGGGGACCCTGGAGGAATTCTGGGGTGCAAGGTGACACAGAAGCATCCAACTAGTCCCTCCAGTCCCTTGGAGGGCCTGGCCTGCTGCTGGGTACCCCCGCGCCCCCACCCCCAGAGTTACTCAAAAGGGGAGGCTGCTATCTTACCACCCAGGACGTGGATGAAGAATTGGATCCCTAGCCCCAAGGATGACACTTCAAAAATATTGGGGGCTGAGTGGAAAACATCATCCCCCAAAGCAATGCCCACCCAGGTCTGGGAAGGGTCCTGCGGGTTCCAGACCCCCACTGTGACACGATGGTGGTCGTGGGTGGTGGATAGGGGTCCATCGGCCTTTGTCGAGTCCTGGAGAGGGCAGATGGCAGCGGGACATGCCCAAGGAGACTGGCATGGTTGCAGAGGGCACCCCGCCCCTCGATCTCAGAGTTTTGTTCCTGGCCACCCACCTGGGCACTGGGCCAGGCCCCGAGGCAGGGCCTCCTCCTGAGGAACAATGCAGCCGCGTTCCTCCCGGTGGAGGCTGGAGGATGGAGCGGGAAAGACAGGCACACCGGGAAAGAGGGAGGGATCCAGGGAGGGCCTTGCTCCCAGAGCTACTCCGGGAGCCCGGGGAGTTTCCCAGAGGTCCCAGCGGGTGGGGGAGGGTGCCGGGAAGCCTAGGGGGAGGGGACCCAGACCCAGGGGCTGCATGGCCTGGGACCAGAAAGTCTTTTCTATGGCAGCAGGAGAGGGTTAGGTAGGATAAGAGGAGGAACTTCCTAAGGCTGGAGAAGGCGCTGTGGAACTGGAGCAAGTGGGGGTTCCTGTTTGGTGGCATCCCAGGGCAATACCCAGACCCAGGCCCCCCTCCCCGGGAGGGGTCTGCAGTGCCCAGTGTGCCCTGGGTCTGGGACCGAGCCCACCCGCCAAACCGCCCCTCACCAATCTCTATTCCCAGGGGCTCACGGCCTCCTGGGTTGCCTCTCCCTGGGCAGGCGCAGGCCTTAGACCAACAGGGGTTCCAGAGGTGGGATAGGGGGTTAGACCCTTTGCTCCCACCCTACCCCCGCAGACAGAGCCTTGGGCTTAAAACTCGGGACTGGGACTCAAGTTCAGGGTCCAGAGGGGGAAGTTGGGCTGGGTATGGGGCCCAGGCTGATTTCGGGACAAGGAGGGAGAAAGTTGGCCTTGAGTTGGGGGACGGGACAGAGTTGGGGGACAGGACAGAGAAACTGGGGGCGGGCCGGCTCGGGGGCACATGACGGCGACGCCTGCCCCGCCCCGCGCCCGCCCCCTGCCCGGCCCGGGGAGGGGGGGAGGAGACGGGAAGGTTTTAAAAGCGATTCGGCCCCGCGGCTGGCCGGCCAGTGAGTGGGGTGGAGCGCGGCCGGCGGCCGCCCCCGGCCGGTCTCGGGCCCGCAGCCCGCCCGCCTGAGCCTCGGCCGGCCCGGCCCGGGGCGGCGGCCGGAGCCCGGAGTGCGCGCCCGGCTCCCCTCCCCCCGCGGGTAAGTGGAAGTCAGGAGGGACCCAGGAGGGAGGCCGGGAGCGATCGGCGCCTCGGCGGCAGCGGCGCCGGCAACTTTTCCGCGCCTGGCTCGTGGGCGGAGTGGGGCTGCGCCCGGCGGGTCCCCAAGAGCGTTGCGAGAAGGCGAGGGCGCCGCCCCGCGCGCCTTGAGCGCCCCGCCGCCCGGGGTGGGTCGGGGATCGGGGACAGTGCGTCTGACGGTGGCGACGGCGGCCGCGGAGTCCCGGGGCGCCCCCTACGGAGCGGGGGAAGGGCGGCCCGGCCTCTGTTCCCTTCCCAGTGGCCCCTCCACCCCGACCCCCCAGGGGACGCATGGGAATGCGGTGGGGAGGGCGGGTCCCCGCGCGACTTGGGCAGGTCAAGGTGGGCAGAGAGTTGTCAGGGTGGGAGGGCTTGTGTCCGGCTCGGACATGGGGCTTGGGTTGAGGGGCTTGGATATGCATATGCCTACCCCACTCCTAGCCCCCCGACCTGGCCTTTGGACGGGAGGAATGGGTTGGGGGGGTCTCTCAGAGTTCTTTGGGTGGGGGCGGGGGTGGATACCGGTCCAAGTTCTTGACGTGTCGCCCGCTGGGTAGGGGGAAGGTCTCTTGTTGGGCAGGGGCTGGTGGGAGCTGGGGGGATGTCTCCTTTCCCTTCGGAGAAAAGCGCTCATTCAAGGTTGCATAGGAAGGAAAGCCAGGTTGGGGACCAGCCCTGTGCAGCTTGGGGTCCCCGTGCCTTTTGGCTGAAGGAGGAGGTTAAAAGGGCCCAGACTGAACCCCGACCCCTCTGTCTTAGCCCCAGACTGTTTTCTGATTTTAGCACTAGATTTGGCTGCCCCTAAAGCCCTTAGCCCTAACTGACCTTCCTGCCCAGCCCAGCCCAGCCCAGCCCAGCCAGGCCCCAGACCCAGTGGCTTCTTGAATGTTTTGGCTGTGCAGCTGGCTCCTTGTCACCTGCCCCCTTCCCAACCTTCCCCAGCTGGCAGCCTCTGACTCCTGGTCTATGAGGGTGAGGCTGGGGGCTGGGGGACCCCTGGCATAAGGGGTGTCCTCTGGCAGTCCTGCCCCAGCTGGAGGGCTGTACCCAACAGGTGCCCAGGCTTAGAGGCGAGGTGATGTTGGACACACCCTGTCCGCTCGCCCACATGCCCTGCCCGGGCCAGCCTGGGTACATGTGTTCACATGCCGATGTCCTGGGAAGGCACAGGCCCTGGGGCTGGTGCTAGCTTTGTTCTCTGATCCCGTGAGGCACCCATGGCCCTCTGCCCTTGCAGCACGTCCTCTGGGAGCTCCTTCAAGACCCCAACAGGCAGGCCTTGCCTGTGGATCTAGAGGGGGCCCTAAAATAGGTGCCGGCCTGGCCTGGGGCTGGCACGCGGAGCACATGCGTGACAGGGCGTGTCCAGAGGGTCGGGCCTGTCTGTGCTGGCCTGGCCACTGAGCCTCCGCCGACCCTTGCTCGCTGGAGAAAGACAGCAGAGGCGGATGCTTTAGGAGGGACCCCCGTGTCGTGCCCACCCTCTAACAATGCAAGTGGACGCCAGATGTTCCATGCAGACCGCAGCTGCGGGGCAGGCCCCCATCTATCTGCAATCCCAGGGTAATTAGCCCGGTGGGTACACTGGGGTGACCCGCTCGCCCGATCTAGGTGGTGCTTTGATACCTCTTAAAGCATTTTTTGGAGTTTGCCCTTCACCTTGGAAAGCTGGGTGGGGGATTCTGTCCTCCATGAATAACGGCGCCAGGAACCTTGGGCGATCTTGAGAAAACTCCTTCCTGTAACCTCTGTTTTCCACGTTGGATGTGTTTTAGGCCACAGTCAGGCCTGGCTTTTTTTTTTTTTTTTTTTTAAGACTTATTCCATGACCTTAAGCCCCAGTCTGAATCTCTGAGCCTTAATTATTCTATCTATAAATGGGAAGCATTTGGAAATGGGACGGAGAGAAGTGTACACTTTGCCCCTGGCCGCCTTCTTCCCTCCTGGTGTCCTGGGTGGACACGGAGGTGTGTCTGGGGAAGGTGTGTCCTTTAGGGCCGGTCGCCTGGGAAGGATGTTGAGCGGAGGGCAGTGGGTGTGGGTGAGAATCCCTGGGCAGAGAAGGGCGCCGCCATGCTGGGCACGGCTGAGTCACGCTCCAGCGACGCCTTGCCCCAGGGTGCTGGAGCTGGCGCCACCCTGGGTGTGGTCACTGAGCTGTGGCCCTGGGCAGAGCAGGGCTGGGTGGTCTAGGATGTGGGGCCTCGGTGCCTGGGGAACTGACTTCGAAGATGCCAAGCCCCCTGGCCTCCCGCCTGGCCTAGGTTCTGGGGTCACCCTCCAGGACTGTGGTGGCCCACACCCTGAGAATGCCTTGGAGAGCCTAGAGGCCCTGAGCCTTGGGCCTGGGAATCGGTGCGTTGAGGGAGGTGGATAGGGCGCAGACACCAGTGACTGCATTCAAGGCCAGGGGACCCCCACAGCCAGGCCCTCACTGCAAAATGTACCTATGTGGGGAGAAGGCAGGGGTGGACCTGATGACGGGGTGTACCACTCTACTAAGGGTTCCCAACATGAAGGTGAGGGGGCCCCTGGGAATTCTGTGATTGGTCTGGGAAAGATTAAAGTCTAAGTGGGGGTTAGAGTGTGGACTGGCGGGACGCAATGGGGGCTGGGATGTCACTTTCATGGTTCCCCTATTTATAACAAGTGATTCAGCCCTCACTTACTCACCCCTTCCTGAGCCTCCCCCCACCCCAGCCCTGGGTGGGCAGCGGGGCCCACCCACTTGTCAGTGCCCTGACTTTCCCTACCCAGTGCCACCCTCTGAGGGCTGCCCATCGGGGCGGTTGTTATTGTCGCTGCACTGGGATTGGGGCAGAGGGGCGGGGGGCTCCTGGTCAGGCGGCGCTTGGCCGGGCAGCCCAGGTTGGCGGCTGGCTCGAGGCCCAGCCCACGGAGCTTCTGCTGAGAGTCTGGGCCCATTAGGCAAAGCGTTAGTGACAGGCTGGGAGGGCGGGTGGCGCGGCGGGCAGGGCGGGGCCTGCAGCCCTTGGTATTTTCCGATCCCAGCTGCTCTGTGAGGGTGGAAAGTATTTGGGGACCAGGCTTGGGGGCGGAGGTGGTGGTGGCGCCCCCGGCGGAAGCTGCCCCTGATTCATTCTTGGAGCATGGGGTTGGGGGGGTAGCGGTACACATACATACCCTTGTGTGTCTGGTCCACGCACACGCTGTCTGGAGGGGGTATTCAGGCATACCCACATGCATTGGCTGGCCGGGGTGTCCTGATGCAGCCTGGGGCCTGCTTTGCTCCCCAGCCCAGGGGCCCGCCCTCTCCCTCATGCCTCCAGCTGCTAGGAGCTTGGTTTCCCCCTGGACACCATCTCCCAAGAGCCTGAGAAGTGCACCATGATTGGTAAAGGGGACCCTGTCTCCTGGGCACCTGCATGGCAGCACCCCTTCCACTCAAGACCCAGACCTTTTGTGCCTGCGGGGATGGGGAGTGGCCTTGGCCCCGGCCCTGGGCTCTGTGCAGGGGAAACCCCACAGGAAACGAGCCTGGCCAAATGGCCGCCCTTCCCGTTCTCGTCCCTGGGACACGAATGTGCTGTCTCACTTCCGGAGGCGGCCCAGGGAGGCTGGCCGCCCTGCGGGGCCTCGCCTGCTCCCAGTTGGCGCCTCCAGACCCTAAGGGGACAGGGCTGGGCTGGGGCCTGATGGGAAAGAGTGGCTGGTATGTGTGTATGTGTGTATAGGGAGGGGACAAAACAGGACATCACTCGCCGCCTGTCTCGAAGTGGTGAGCGCCACCACATCGGGCGGACACTGGGGTCCTGGTGTGAGACACCCACGTTTCCGTTATCCTTTGCCTTGGCAAAGACAGCAGCAGCTCTGTCGTGATCATGTTTATCACTCATGGGGTCCTCACCATGACTTATGAAGTCCATACTTATTATCCCTGTTTTGCAGATGGGGAAGCTGAGGCCCAGAGAGGTTGAGTGACTTGCCCAGAGTCACCCAGCTCAGAAGCTGCAGAGCTGGGGCTTTCAAATCTGGGCAGACTTGGGCTCCAAAACTGGAGTCTGCTAGCCAGGTGTTGGGCTCTTATCAAAAGAAGCTCCACTCACTAAAGACTTAGGGCTGGCTTCATGCATTTGTGAAACGGGCAGTCTCACGGCAGCCCTGCTTGGAGGGACCTGGAGGTTAGTTTAATGTTGCACTGCTGGGGTCATGAATTTTTTTTTATTATTATTAATTTTTTTGTCTTGTATTGCCCAGGCTGGTCTCGAACTCCTGGCCCCAAGCGATCTTCCTGTCTTGGCCTCCCGAAGTGCCGGGATTATAGGGATGAGCCACCGCGCTCAGCCTGAAATTATTTTCTTTTTTTAAACTTGTTTTTGTTTATTTTAGAGATAGGGTCTTGCTCTGTCACTTAGGCTGGAGTTCAGTGGCATGGTCATAGATCACGGCAGCCTCAAACTCCTGGGCTCAAGCAGTCCTCCCACCTCAGCCGCCTGAGTAGCTGGGGCTACAGATGTGTACCACCACTCCTGGCTGATTTTTTAGTGAATTTTTTGTGGGCCAGACACTGTGGCTCAGGCCTGTAAGCCCAGCACTTTGGGAGGCTGAGGCAGGCGGATTGCTTGAGCCCAGGAGTTGGAGACCAGTCTGGGCAACATGGCAAAACCCCATCTCTACAAAAATTAGGGCCAGGTGTGGTGGCTCACGCCTGTAATCCCAGCACTTTGGAAAGCCGAGGTGGGCGGATCACCTGAGGTCAGGAGGTCGAGACCAGCCTGGCCAACATGGTGAAACCCCGTCTCTACTAAAAATACAAAACTTAACTGGGCGTGGTGGCGGGCACCTGTAATCCCAGCTACTCGGGAGGCTGAAGCAGGAGAATTGCTTGAACTCTGGAGGTGGAGGTTGCAGTGAACCGAGATCACGCCATTGCACTCCAGCCTGGGCGACAGGGCGAGACTCTGTCTCAAAAAAAAAAAAAAAGAAAAGAAAAAGAAAAAATTAGCCGGGCATGGTGGTGCATAGCTGTAGTCCCAGCTACCCCGGAGGCTAAGGTGGGAGGATCACTTGAACCTGGGAGGCTGAGGCTGCAGTGAGCTGTGATTGCACCCCTGCACTCTAGCCGTGGCGACAGAGTGAGACCCTGTCTCAAAAAAGAAAAAATATTTTTTTTTTTTGTAGAGATGGGGTATTGTCGTATTGCGCAGGCTGGTCTTGAACTCCTGGCCTCAGGTGACTCTCCTGCCTCGGCCTCCCAAAGTGCTGGGATTACAGGCGTGAGCCGCCATGCTTGGCCTGAAATTCTTAGTTTTCGAACTAGAGGACCACGTGTTCATTTTGCACCGGGTCCTGAAAATCCTGTATCTTGCCCTGGTGCTGGGCACTTACTGAGTGACATACATACTCGGTGACATCTCACTGGGCTATGCAAAAGAGGCTCTTGGCTCCATTTTACAGATGGGGAAACTGAAGCTTTGGAGAGTCTTTGGGAAACTGTGGAGCAAGGATTTGAACCTTGGGCTGTTTGGGTGGAGAGGCCTGTATCTTGGAGCTTGGATCCTGTGCTCTGGGGGGCGGGGGGTGCGTGTCTAGAAAGAGAGGGGGGTGCCTTGCTGCCGGCATCCGCCCTGGTGGGTGTGGGCTAAGCCCTGGCCACTGAGGAGACCGGGCCACGGGGGGGGAGGCCCTGGTGGTTTCCTCCTGCCCTCCAGGCTTCTAGGAAGTGGCGCCAGCTGGGGTGAGATCACTTCCTCACCCGCCTGCCTGGCCCCCCTTGGCTTCCTCTCCCCATGGCCCCATTTGGCCTGCCCAGGGCTCAATGAGGGGGGAGCTTGGCCATGCAAGTTGCTGTAGCCTCCTTGTCCCGCATGGGCCCTCTAGGTATCTCTGCCTCTCCAGTCCTGGGGCTGGAACGGAGGGCACAGCTAGGCTCCAGCTCCCCGTGTGGTGGCTCCTGCATATGAGAAAAGAGCTTCCCTGTGATCAAAGGAAGCATCTGGGGACCTGGAGGGGAGGTGTCCCCAAATCTCATTACCTCCTTTGCTCTCTCTCTCTTTCTCCCCTCCAGGTGCCAGCCTCTGGCCCCGCCCGGTGCCCCCCTCACCCCTGTGCCACGGCCGGCTGGGGTTCCTGGGGATGGGATTTGCTTCCTGTCACAAATCACATTGCCAGGGATTTCCAACCGACCCTGAGCTCTGCCACCGAGGATGCTGCCCGGGGACGGGGTGGCAGAGAGGCCCCGAAGCCTGTGCCTGGCCTGAGGAGCAGGGCTTAGCTGCTTGTGAGCAGGGTCCACACCAAGTCGTGTTCACAGTGGCTAAGTTCCGCCCCCCAGGCCCTCACCTCCTCTGGCCTTGCCGCCTGTCCCCTGCTGCCGCCTGTCTGCCTGCCATCCTGCTGCCTGGCCTCCCTGGGCTCTGCCTCCCGTGCCTACTGAGCTGAAACACAGTTGGTTTGTGTACACTGGCTCAGTTCAGCAGGAACAGGGGTCAAGCCCCCTTGGAGCCTGCAGCCCCTGCCTTCCCTGGGTGGGCTGATGCTTGGAGCAGAGATGAGGACTCAGAATCAGACCTGTGTCTGGAGGAGGGATGTGGTGGGTGGGGTTGGCTGGGCCCAAATGTGTGCTGCAGGCCCTGATCCCCAACTCTGCAACTGGGGACCCCTGCATGGCCACAGCTCAGGCTGGGCTGTGGTGCCAGCATAGATAGGTGGGTGAGTGGGTGGCCCTTCCATTAAAAGGGAAGCCAGCTGTGTCCTTTCCGGGCCTGGAGGCTTGGCCCCTCCTCTCCCAAGCCTGGCAGGGGCACTGGCCCGGCCCGCACCTTCCTAGCAGCCAGTTACCCAAGAGGAAGCTGCCTTGGGCCTCCAGACCGTTAAATGCCAACTCCTGGCTTCCGGTATCAGGCTGGGTTGACCTGACCTGGCCCCTTCTTGCTGGGCCCTGCAGCTTTCTAACTTGCCGGGAGGAGCAGTGACACCCGCCCCACATGTGGGGCATGGAACAAGTTCCTTGTGGACCCAGAAGGGACACAAGCAGGTGTGCTTAGTCCTGAGGCGCTGGGAATAGCTGATCCTCCCTGCCTTGAGGGGGTTCTCAGGGCAGGGAAGAGTTAGGACTCTGTTTTTTTTTTTTTGTTTTTTTTTTTTTGAGATGGAGTCTCGCACTGTCACCCGGGCTGGAGTGCAATGGCTCGATCTCGGCTCACTGCAACCTCCACCTCCCCAGTTCACACGATTCTCCTGCCTCAGCCTCCCAAGTAGCTGGGATTACAGGTGCACACCACCGCACCTGGCTAATTTTTGTATTTTTAGTAGAGACCGAGTTTCGCCATGTTGGCCAGGCTGGTCTCGAACTCTTGACCTCAGGTGATCTGCCCGCCTCAGCCACCCAAAGTGTTGGGATTACAGGCATGAGCCACTGCGCCCGGCCAATTTTTTTTTATGTTTTGTAGAGACGGGGTTTCGCCATGTTACCCAGACTGGTCTTGAACTCCTGACCTCAAGCAATCTGCTCGTCTTAGCCTCCCAAAGTGCTGGGATTACAGCTGTGAGCCACCGTGCCTGGCCTTTTATTGTTTGTTTTTGAGACGGAGTCTCACTCTGTTGCCCAGGCTGAAGTGCAGTGGTGTGATCTTGGCTCACTGCAACCTCTGCCTCCTGGGTTCAAGCGATTCTCCTGCCTCAGCCTCCTGAGTAGCTGGGCTTACAGGCACCCACCACCATGCCCGGCTAATCTTTGTATTTTTAGTAGAGACGGGGTTTCACCATCTTGGCCAGGCTGGTGTGATCATGGCTCATTGCAACCTTGAATTCCTGGGCACAAGTGATCCTCCTGCCTTAGCCTCCCCAGTAGAGCTGGGACTACAGGTATGCGCCACCACACCTGGCTAATTTTTTTAATTTTAATTTTTGTAGAGATGGGGGGGCAGGTCTCACTATGTTGCCCAGGCTGTTCTCGAACTCCTGGCCACAAGCCATCCTCCCACCTTAGTCTCCCAATGCGCCGGAATTACAGGTGGCTCAGGTGTGAGCCACCGTGCCTGGCTTTTCTCCACTATCTTGAAATCAGATGGGAGGAGGCTTTTTTCTGGGTGGGACTGAGGAGGCACACTGAAGTCCCCCAGGTCATCGGGGCTGGGCCATTGCCTTTTTCCCCACCCTGGGTAGTCGTGGACAGAAGCTTGGGATGGGATGGAGAGGAGAGATCGTGCTGTGTGTCATGTCTGTTGTTCAAGTAAATAAAAGTTGCCCTGACTTCATTCCTGAAGGTCTGGTCTGTGATTCACTCCTGCCTCCCATCGCTGGAGTTTCAGCTTTTGATTGGCCTGAATTTACCATCCTGGCACTCCGGGCTCCTGCCTGCCCATCCCTGCCCCACCTGCTCTGTGCAGCAGGGTATCCTGTGCTTGGAAAGGTGACCTTGGGGGTGTCCTGGATCGTGGGGTGACCATGAGGGAAACCCTAGAGTGGAAAGATTTTCACATCGCTGATCAAGGGAGGATGGAAGCTGATCTGAAGTGGTGGTGGTGGGGTGACCCTGAGGGAAACGCTGAGCCTGAGGGGTGACATGTGGCGATAACCAGGATCTGAGGGTCTTGAGCTAGTGACATTTGGGGGCAACTTGGACCTACGGGATTACTCAGGCCTCAGGGGAAGATTTGGGGTGCCTGGTATCTGAGAATGCTGGAGGGGAACTTGGGTTTGAGGGATGTGACATGAAGGAAACCCCAGTTCTTAAGGGGGGACATTTGGATGTGGCTGGGACCTGCGTGACGCCCCAGGAACATGGGAACATTCGTGGGTGACACCTGAGGGGCACAGTAAAGGGTCCCCCAGGTCCGAAGGCGGCAGGGACCACAAGGGGTGCACTCCGGGCTCTCCACCCACCTCCACCGTCCCAGACCTCGAGGCGGCGCCACGGAGCGCGCGGGGCAGTCCCGGGTCCGCCCGCACATACCTGCTGGAATACGCGCGGCGGGGCAGGAGGTGGGGCCGTCTCCGATTGGCCCACTCGAGCGGAGGGGCGGTGCGAAAAGCCAATCCCCATGCACAGCGCCGCCAAAGTCCCGCCCCCGACTGCGGGCCCCGCCCTCTAGCGACGGGCCCTGCCGCTCCGGGAAGCCTCTGTCCTCTCCTGCCCCGGCTCTGGCAGTGACCCAGACACAGCATCTCCATTCATCCAAAAGGCAGGAAGGCCCCGAGGAAACTGCTTCTCGGGGAGCCAGGGACGTTTAGACAACCACGGGCTTTCTCGCCGTCCTTTGGATCCCATCCCTCACTCTATTTGACGACTGGGAGCCTCTTCAGTGGCGCAAGATCCCAGACACGCCCTGGCCACGTCCCCTGGCGAGTGTCCACGCACAGACCACCCCCACTCCGTTTTTCTTCTCTTGGCCAGAGCCCCGCCCACCGAGGTCGAGTCTAAACCCGGGGTTCCCGCTTTTGATCGGGGTGTCTTCCCCATCCAGCTGCACCAACACCTGCCACAGCCTCCCATGCTCAGCAATTTGGAGACAAGGACCCCCAACATTGGTGTCTGGAGCCAGGGCGCCCCCCACCCCCATCTTGGCCCTTCCTAGGGGCTCAAGGACCCTGCAGTCAGGGGTGGGCAGGGGTCAGTGGCCCCAACCAGGTCCTAAATCAAACGTCCTAGCTAGGTGCCCTTCCCCCCTGCCCCCCACCCACGGAGTCTCGCTCTGTCGCCCAGGCTGGAGTGCAGTGGGGCGATCTCGGCTCACTGCAAGCTCCACCTCCAGGGTTCACGCCATTCTCCTGCCTCAGCCTCCCTAGTAGCTGGGACTACAGGCGCCCGTCACCACGCCTGGCTAATTTTTTGTTATATCTTTAGTAGAGACGGGGTTTTACCGTGTTAGTCAGGATGGTCTCAATCTCCTGACCTCGTGATCCGCCCGCCTCGGCCTCCCAAAGTGCTGGGATTACAGACGTGAGCCACCGCGCCCGGCCGCTGGGTGCCCTTTCTTTCCACTTTGCAACCTCAGTTTTCTCATCTGTAAAATGGAAAAGATAATCCTACCAACTCATAGGGCTGTGGTGACGATTAAATGACAGCGGTAACGCATTCAGCCCTGTGTTCCCTCATGGTGAGCTGTCCATCTCTGTTTTGAAATATTTACATAAGGCCGGGTGCGGTGGCTCACGCCTGTAATCCCAGCACTTTGGGAGGCTGAGGCGGGCAGACCACCTGAGGTCAGGTGTTCGAGACCAGCCTGGCCAACATGGTGAAACCCCGTCTCTACTAAAAAATACAAAAATTAGCCCGGTGTGGTGGCGCATGCCTGTAATCCCAGCTACTTGGGAGGCTGAGCCAGGAGAATCGCTTGAACCCGGGAGGTGGAGGTTGGAGTGAGCCCAGATCGCGCTACTGCACTCCAGCCTGGGCAACAGAGAAAGACCAAAAAAAAAAAAAGGGAAATATTTACATAATTACCATGGAATGAAGCCAGCAGTCGCTCCCATCCCACCCCTCGCTTGGCGCTGCACCCAGAAATAAGGCCAGACATTTTTTTTTTTTTTTTTTTTTTTTGCGGAGGAAACGAGGTTGAGGGTGTGAGTGGCTCTGGAGATGCACCCCAGTCTCAAAATAAAATTAAAAAGAAAAATTTCTGTTCAATCTTTGAAAAAAAAAAAGGAAAAGGACATGTAATACACCGTTCAATAAATAGAAAAAAAGTTACAAAATGATGTGGTATTTTGTCCTTAATATACAAGAAGGGAAAAGATGTGGGGGTGACTTGGGGGGGTGATGTTCTCCCTTCTCCTCCCTGGGTCAAGGTGGGGGAAAGGAAGGATGGCCAAAGAGAGAGGGCGGCAGGGACTTAGGTGCAGAGAGAAAGGCAGGTAAGTGCCGGGAAAAATGGAAACAGAGTAAGATGAAGGGGCGAAGCAGAAAGACAGGAGGCGAAAGGGTGAAAAAGCCAGAAAAACACCAAGATACAGGTCTCTTTCCTTTCCAGATCGGGGGTGGGGGTCTCCGGCTCTCTCGCGTCTGTGTCCCCCAACCCCAGGTTGGAAGGGGCAGTGTGAGCCTCGCTCAGTTCCTGAGTTGTACGTCCAGTGACTAGCAGGTGAGAAGAGAGGGCAGCGAGGACTTCCCCAACCCTGAGCCCACCCTGGGACCCTAGTGCCCAAGGAAATGGGGGTCCTGGCCGGATAGGATAAGGGGGTGAGGTATGAGGCTGAGGCCTGAGGCCTCTTCAATTCCTTCAGTGGGGGTGAGCCAATGGTCCTGGCTGGGCAGCCACTTTGGAGGTGGCATAATGGGGGGCCCTGAGCAGTAGGGGGTGGGGGAGGACCCTTGGCCACCCAGGGTGGGGTTGGGGGAAAATGTGCTACATTGACTTAGAGGGTCGATTTCTGGAAAGTCCTGCCTCCCAGCCTCCCTCCTGGAGCCCAAGCCAGTCTGGGTAAGGGGAGTTTGCCTATTGCTTTTGGGGTGCCCAAAGTGGGGTCATACCAGCAGCCCAAGCACACACCCCTTCCAGGCTTCTGGGTGGCAGTATGGCTTCTGCTTCTGGAGTCTTGCACACTTGCTCACAGACTCCCAGGCACACACGTGGCAGGATGCTGCTCCCCCTGCCCCCATCTCCAGCCGGGCTCCTTCCCTGACTTAATAATACTGAAATGCCACGTGGGCCTAATTGGAGAGCAAGGGTGGGGGACGCAGGGGCGAGGGGGATCCCCACTCCCACGCACCCCACTGTCCCTCAACCAAAACGCTCCCGCACCAAAAGCATGAGTTTCTTCTTGCCCTTGTAGGTCTGTTTGAGGTTCTCCAAGAACTGTGAGAACTGGAGGTGCCCGTCGGGCGCCAGCAGGAAGGTCTCCCGGGCCTTGCCCAGGAATTCGATGAAATCCCCATAGTGCCGCGGGCTGATGTGCGTGAGGCGCGAGTGGCTGGTGGTGATGTAGGCGGTGACTGCCGCGTCCAGGAGCTGGCAGAGCGGCGCCCGGTCGGCACCCAGTGGCTTGGCGGCCCGGCGTGCCCCTAAGGGGCCCAGACCGGGCGCCGAGAGAGTCCAGCGGCGCAGAATATCGGACAGCATTGGGGCACAGTGGATGCTGCGAATGATGAGGGGGACGATGGCAGAGAGCTCGTGCCGGCCCAGGGAGTGGCTGAGAGAGCAGGCCCAAAGCACGTCGTTGACGGCAGGGTGGCTGTCCTGGTTGAAGGCGATGCTGAGCTGCGCCAGGGCCAGCGTCGCCAGCTTGTAGGCCCGGAGCGGCAGCCCGCGGTGCTCCATATAGCGGGCCACAGTGAAGAGGTGGGCGTGGCCCAGGCCGCCGGCCGCCGCGTCCAGCACGATCTGGTAGGCCGCCTCGAAGGCCGAGTGGTTCTTCTCGCACAGGGTCAGGGCAGGCAAGGCGCAGTTCTGAGGGTCCTTCATCGCGCACTGCAAGGCCAGGGTGCGGGCGCAGGCCCAGAGCTCCTCCCTCCGCGATGTGTCCAGCTGCAGTCGCAGCAGAGTGGCGTGTGTGGTGCCCGTCACTGCCACGATGGTAGCCGCCTCCACTGGTGTGAATAAGGAATACCAGTTCTGCATGATATTCATCAGGGCTTGCGGGCCTGGTGGGAGGTGAGGGAGGGAAATCCGTCAGGAGCGGGGGCAGACACACGTACATGTATGCGTGGGTTAACCATGACACTGCCACCTCCACTTCCACCTCCACACCATGCTGAACAGAAACTTCCTTTCCAAATCATCAGGGCGCACCTGGACTAGGTGGGAATCACGTGTGTAGAAGGCTAAGCTTTGGAGCCTCTTTCTGCAACCCCCTCAACCCCCTGCAGCCACATTAGCCTGGCCAGCCTCTAGGCCTTTGTCCAGCTCCATGCTGGCCAGCCATTCCCTCCCGGCCAAGCCCTGAGCACAGGCTGGAATCGGAGAAGAGTCTCTGAAGAGTCTCTACTTCTCTTTCCTTTTTTTTTTTTGAGATGGAGTCTCGCTCTGTTGCCCAGGCTGGAGGGCAGTGGCACCATCTCGGCTCACTGCAAGCTCCGCCTCCTGGGTTCACGCCATTCTCCTGCCTCAGCCTCCTGAGTAGCTGGGACTACAGGGGCCCACCACCACGCCCAGCTAGTTTTTTTGTATTTTTAGTAGAGACGGGGTTTCACCGTATTAGCCAGGATGGTCTCAATCTCCTGACCTTGTGATCTGCCCATTTTGAGATGGAGTCTTGCTCTGTCACCCAGGCTGGAGTGCGGTAGTGAGTTCTCGGCTCACTGCAACCTCTGTCTCCCAGGTTCCAGCAATTCTCCTGCCTCAGCCTCCCGAGTAGCTGGAATTACAGGCACCTGCCACCACATCTGGCTAATTTTTGTATTTTTAGTAGAGATGGGGTTTTGCCATGTTGGCCAGGCTGGTCTCGAACTCCTGACCTCAAGTGATCCACATGCCTTGGCCTCCCAAAGTGCTAGGATTACAGGTGTGAGCCACTGCGCCTGGCCCTCTTTCTTTTTGTTAAACAATTTTTTAGAGACAGGGTCTCACCCTGCCACTCAGGCTGGAGTGCAGTGGCACAATCACAGCTCACTGCAACCTCAATCTCCTGGGCTCAAGTGATTTTCCCACCTCAGCCCTCCGGATAGGACTACAGGTGTGTGCCACCATGCCTGGCTTGCTTCTCTCTCTCTCTCTCTCTTTTTTTTTTCCCAGAGGAGGTTTTCCTCTGTTGCCCAGGCTGGAGTGCAGTGGTATGATCATGGCTAACTGTAGCGTTGACCTCCTGGGCTCAAGCAATCTATCCTCCTGCTTCAGCCTCCCAAGCAGCTGGAACTACAGGCACTTGCCACCACGCCCAGCTAATTTTTAATTTTTTGTAGAGATGGGGTCTCACTATGTTACCCAGGCTGCTCTTGAACTCCTGGGCTCAAGTGATCCTCCCGCTTTGGCCTCCCAAAGTGCTGGGATTACAGGTGTGAGCCACCGCACCCCGCCACTTCTCTCTTTCTTGTCTGCCTGGTTCTCTCAGTGCGCTCTGCAGAACCAGAACAGCGAAGTGGGTGGCAGGTCCCCTTAGGGGCTCTCACCAATCTCTGTGGCACAGCTGACCAGCCAGCGCACCATCTCCCTCCGCCGCCAGGTCATTACGTTCAGAGTCATCCGCATCACCTGCAAGGTAGGGGTGGGGAGAAGGGGGTTAGCCTGAGTCTTGGGCTGGCCTATGGAGGGGCGTTGGGAGATGGAGGACCCCAGAAACACTTGGAGGTTAAAGCTGATCCAATGAACCCGGGTAAGTGATCTCAACTTTCTGGGCCTCAATTACCTAGAAAATGGAGATAAAATAGTATCTGTCTCATAGGATTGTTGTTTTTTCTTTTTTGTTGTTGTTTTGTTTTGTTTTTTTTTGAGATGGAATCTTGCTCTGTCACCCAGAATGGCATGCAGTGGTGCGATCTTGGCTCACTACAACCTCCGCCTCCCGAGTTCAAGCATTCTCCTGCCTCAGGCTCCCAAGTAGCTGGGATTACAGGTGCCCGCCACCATGCTCAGCTAATTTTTGTATTTTTAGTAGAGATGGGGTTTCACTATGTTGGCCAGGCTGGTCTCGAACTCCTGACCTCAAGTGATCCGCCCGCCTCAGCCTCTCAAAGTGCTGGGATTATAGGCGTGAGCCACTGCACCCAGCCTGATTGTTGTGAGAAGTAAACAAAATTGCGTAGGTGAAGCTTTCTGCAAGGTGCTTATTGCTTGAAAATGCTCTCAGGTAATGTCAGCTCTTAATATCACTGCTGTTGTTGCTGTTCTTCTGAAGTGAGTCCTCACAGATCCTACCCCAGATCCCACCTCATAGATCCTATGCCGGAACAAACCAACCTGTCCCTTCGCTCCTGAAACCTCCATGCTTCCTGTTGGCTCCTCTCTCTTGCCTCTAAGTACCTGCTGTATAAGCCCCACCTTCACTAGGTCCCACCACCAATCAGCAGCTCACGTGTTTGCCTCTCCCCTGAGGCCCCATCCACAGGTCCTGTCCTGCAGACCCTGCCTTCTGTAAGCTCCTACCTCTTGAGTAGCCTCTGAAAGCTCCTTGTCTTGCTCCCCACACTACAACGGCTCCAATCAGGAGGCTGTCCAGGGCTGATTCTGCACCCTGCTGGCCCTTGTTTGTTCTAGCTGGGAAGGTCCCCAGTTTCTTTTTTTTTCTTTTCTTTTTTTTTTTTTTTTTTTGAGGGTCTCACTCTGTCGCCGGGGCTGAAGTGCAGTTGTGGTCTCTTGGCTCACTGTAACCTACACCTCCTGGGTTCATGTGATTCTCCTGCCTCAGCCTCCCGAGCAGCTGGGACTACACGCGTCCACCACCATGCATGGCTGATTTTTGGGAGAGACGGGTTTTTGCTGTGTTGGCCAGGCTGGTCTTGAACTCCTGGCCTCAAGCGATCCGCATCGGCCTCCCAAAGTGCTGGGATTACAGGTGTGAACCACAGGGCCTGGCCCCAACTTCTTTTTTCTTTTCTATTTTTTTCTTTTAGAGTTGGGGTCTTCTTGCTCTGTTACCTGGAGTACAGTGGCGCGATCATAGCTCACTGCTGCAGCCTCAAACTCCTGGCCTCAAGCGATCCTCTCGCCTCAGCCTCCTGAGGAGCTGGGACTACAGGGGTGCACCATCACACCTGGCTAATTTTTAAAGTTTTTTGTAGAGATGGGGGTCTCACTATGTTGTCCAGGCCAATCTCAAACTCCTGGCCCCAAGCAATCCTCCCACCTTGGCCTCCCAAAATGCTGGAATTACAGGTGTGAGGCACTGTGCCCGGCCCTATTCCTTATCTTCTTAGTGAACTTCTGCCACCCTTTGAGGCCCCGCCCCTTACCTGTCTATCCTGCAGACCCCACCCTCCTCCAGGTCCCATGGCACTCACACCCTACCAATGACACCTTTCCAGCAAGCTGCACCCAAGATTTGGCCTTGCAGGACCACCCTTTGTTCAGCCCCTGGGGATGACCCAGACACTCAGTTGCAGGCCCTGCATACAGGACTTTTTTTTTTCTTCCCCAAGACGGAGTCTTGCTCCGTCCTTCAGGCTGGAATGCAGTGGTGTGATTTCGGCTCACTGCAACCTCTCCCTCCTGGGTTCAAGCGATTCTCTTGCCTCAACCTCCCGAGTAGCTGGGATTACAGGCGCGTGCCACCACGCTTGGCTAATTTTTGTATTTTTAGTAGAGACGGAGTTTCATCATGTTGGCCAGGCTGGTCTCGAACTCCTGGCCTCGTGATCTGCCCCCCTCGGCCTCCCAAAGTGTGGGATTACAGATGTGAGCCACCACACCCGGGCTCATACAGGGCTTTCAACCACAGACCCCACCCCTAGAGTTGGCATCTCATCTTCAAGACCTTCCGCCAGGCCAGCCCTTCAGTGGTGAATCCCTCTCCTTAGGCGGCAATCCTCTTCAGGCCCTGCCCCCAAGGAAGCTCTTTATTGCTAGGCTCTGCCTCACCCTCAGCTTCAAACTCACCCACCCATGATCCTTAACCAATAGCACATCACTCCCAGGCCCCACCCCCAGGCTCCGCTTGCGATCCATCTGCTGGCTTGCAGGCCCTGCCTCTCCGCTCCAGTGACAACTCTCCCCTAGACCTCAGTCTCCTCCATAGACGGATTCTATTAATAATTCATAGGCTTCATCCCTACTGGGAACCCCATTCCCACACTCCCATGACTTACAGACCTTGGCCTTCTGTGGCCCCGCCCCTAAAGGTGAGGTTCACACTCAGGCCCCACCTGCAGAGGTGTGGCCCAAGTGAAGACCCCATCCCCAGAGACACGATTCATCCAGTCCCCATTCCCAGGGGAGTGGCTCACTCATGCCACGCCCCCAAGGAAGTGGCCCACACTCAGGCCACGCCCCCAGAGGTGTGTCTCACTCACAGTCCCCGCCCCAAGAGTGGTTCTCGCTCAGTCCCCAGCCACAGAGGAATAGCTCACGCAAATGCCGGGCCCCCAGCGAAGTGGCTCACACTCAGCCCATGCCCCGGGAGGCGCAGCTCACAGTCAGTCCTGGCCCCGAGCCACCATCGCCCTCCCGCATCCACCTGGCAGCCCTCACCTGCAGCCCCAGCTCCAGTGCGATGCCCAGCAGCGTGGTGTCTGGTGGGGCGCTGACCGGGGTGGCTGTCTTGCAGGCGTCCTGCGCCAGCTTAAAGAGCAGGGCCGGAGAGTGGATGTTCTGCTGGATGGAGCCCAGTACCGTGTGCAGCCACTTGGGGTCTCCTGGGTGAAGGGCGGGACAGAGGACACCATCGGATACACCTCAGCACCAGCCTCTGACCACCACCCGACCTGTTCACACAGATCCTTCCACCCAGGGGCACATGTGTGAGTGTGGAGGGATGTGTACTGGGCCATGGTTCTGTGAAGATTCAGACCTCAGTGCCCCTAGCCCTTGCCAATTATCTCCTCTCTGGCCCTTTCCTGTTACAGAAAGCCACCTAGGGGCCGGGCGCAGTGGCTCACACCTGTAATCCCAGCACTTTGGGAGGCTGAGGTGGGTGGATCACGAGGTCAAGAGTTTGAGACCAGCCTGGCCAACATGGCGAAACCCCATCTACAAAAATTAGCTGGGCATGGTGGCGGGTGCCTGTAATCCCAGCTACTTGGGAGGATGAGGCACGAGAATCGCTTGAACCCGGGAGGCAGAGGTTGCAGTCAGCTGAGATGGCACCACTGCACTCCAGCCTAGATGATAGAGTAATATCCATCTCAAAAAAAAAAAAAAGAAAAGAAAAGCCACCTAGGGATCCTATGGACCTCTCCCTCATCTCAAGGGCATTGGTTGCACACCCAGAATGCCAGGGTTCAAATCCTGGTCCTGCCACCCACTAGCTGTGTGACCCTGAGCAAGTCACTTCACCTCTCTGTGCCCTGGCTGCCCCATCTGTAAAATGGGTAACACTCAGGCAATGGAACCCACCTCACAGGGTGGTGGTGGGCCCATACTTGGCAAGGCCTTAACATGGCAAGGAGCTGCTCAAATGTTAGCTTTTATTATTATTATTATTATTATTATTATTATTATTATTATTATTTTGAGATGGAGTTTTGTTCTTGTTGTCCAGGCTGGAGTGCAACGGTGCAGTCTCGGCTCACTGCAACCTTTGCCTCCCGGGTTCAAGTGATTCTCCTGCCTCAGCCTCCCAAGTAGCTGGGATTACAGGTGCCGGTCACCACGCCCAGCTAATTTTCATATTTTTAGTAGACACAGAGTTTCACCATGTTGGCCAGGCTGGTCTCGAACTCCTGACCTCAGGTGATCCCCCGGCCTCGGCCTCCCAAATCGCTGGGATTACAGGCGTGCACCACTGTGCCTGGCTAATTTTTGCATTTTTAGTAGAGATGGGGTTTCACCATATTGGCCAGGCTGGTCTTGAAGAACTTCTGGCCTCAAGTGATTTGCTGGTCCCGAACTCCTGGCCTCAAGTGATTTGCCCGCCTCAGCCTCCCAAAGTGCTGGGATTACAGGCATGAGCTACCGTGCCCAGCCAATAATTAGGTTTAGATGAGGTCATGAAGTTCAGGTACTCATGAGAGGGTTAGTGACCTTAGAAGAAGATACACTGGAGAAATTTAACTTCTCCTCTCTGTCTCTCCTCTCTCCCTCTTCTCTTTCTTCTCTCTCTCCTCTCTGGCACCTGACTCCTCTCTCTCCCTCTCTCTCTATCCCCCCCTACTATCTCTCCTTTCTCCCTCTCTCTCTCTCCCAGCCTCCTCTCTCTCACTTTCCTCTCTACTCCCCACTTCACTCCCCCCAACTCTCAACAAAGCAAGAAGGTGGCCGTCTGTAAGCTGAGAAGAGAGCCCTCACCAGGAGCTAGCCATACTGACATAGTGATCTTAGACTTCTAGCCTACAGAAATGTGAGAAAATAAATTTTTGTTGTTGAAGTCACGCAGTCTCTGGTGTTTTGTTACAGCAGCCTGAGCTAAGACACCAGGTACCTGCAAGGCTCCACCTCATCTTCAGGTCTCTGCTTAAATGTTCAACTGTTTTATTCCACTCCATGGCACCTGTTACCGTCTCATTTACTGCATCACTCTCTTCTCCCCACTAGAATGTCATTCCACAGGGCAGGGGATCTGGGACAGTTTTGTCACCTGCTACATCCCCAGCACCTGAGACAGTGTCCGGTACATATAGGAGGTGCTCAAAGAATGCAGGGGGAAGTTTGTGAAAGGATAAGAGGAGGCAGGAAAGTTAAGAGGGAAGGAAGAAGGAGATGACAGAGGAGGAAGACAAAGGAATCGGGACAGCTGCCAGCCTCACCCTTGGCGGCCGTCAACATGGTGGAAGCCAGTTCACACTGGCGGGTCTCCAGGTGGCCAAGGATGAACCAGCGGGGGAAGCGGTTGCTCATGATGGAGTCCAGCGGGCTGGGATGAGGTTCTCCAGCAGGAAATGCTGTCTCCAGTATGGGCAGCCTGGGTAAGGGGAGAAGTGAGCCATGGTGAGGAGGGGCTGCTGTCCCCATTCTCTCTAGGAGACAGAGAAGCCTCCTGGCCCAGCCTCCCCACTTCAGCCAGCAGAGCCCTGAGAGCCCAAGATGATGGAAGATGTGTGTGCAAGATGTTCACTGCAGTGTTGTTTATAAATTGATACATTTACTTATTTTAGAGACAGGGTCTCACTCTGTTGTCACCCAGGCTGGAGTCCTGTGGGACAATCATAGCTCACTGAAGCCTCAAACTTCTCGGCTCAAGTAATCCTCCCACTTCAGCCTCCTGAGTAGCTGGGACTACAGGCACGTGCCACCATACCTGGCTTTTTTCTTTCTTTTTTTTTTTTTTGAGACGGAGTTTCACTCTTTTTGCCCAGGCTGGCGTGCAATGGCGCAATCTCGGCTCACTGCAACCTCTGCCTCCTGGGTTCAAACGATTCTCTTGCCTCAGCCTCCCGAGTAGCTGGGATTACAGGCGTGTACTACCACACCTGGCTAATTTTGTATTTTTAGTAGAGACGGGTTTTCTCCATGTTGGTCAGGCCGGTCTCAAACTCCTGACCTTAGGTGATCCGCCCTCCTCGGCCTCCCAAAGTACTGGGATTATAGGCGTGAACCATGGCTCCTGGCCCTAATTTTTGTATTTTTAGTAGACATGGGGTTGCATCATGTTGGCCAGGCTAGTCTTGAACTCCTGTCCTCAAGTGATCCGCCCGTCTTGGCCTCCCAAAGTGCTGGGATTACAGACATGAGCCACCATGCCTGGCCACTGATCTGTATTTCAATGACTTAATTCTGTCATTGTTCTGCCAGAAAAGCCACAGACAATTCACAGATGAATGGACATGGCTGTGTGCCAATAAAACCATTTCTGGACACTGAAATTTGAATTTCATATATTTTTCATGTGTTACAAAATATTCTTTTGATTTTTTTCAACCGTTTATAAATGTAAAAACCATTCTTATCTCATGGGCTGTACGAAAACAGGTGGTTGGCCAAATTAGGCCCCATGGGCTGTATTTTGCTGAGAAAAAAAATTCTTGCATAGAAAAGTCTGTTGTCTAAATCTTGGCTCTTACAGGCTGTTCTTTCTAAATATTCTGGAAAAACACTCCAAACTGTGTGTGTGTGTGTGTGTGTGTGTGTGTGTGTGTGTGTGTGTATGTGTGTGTGTGTTTGTGTGTTTTAAAGAGATGGGCCAAGGCGAGAGGGTCGCTTGAGGCCAGGAATTTGAGACCAACCTGGGCAATGTAATGAGATCCCATCATTACAAAAAAAATTTTTAAACTAGGCCGGGTGTGGTGGCTCATGCCTGTAATCCCAGCACTTTGGGAGGCTGAGGTGGGTGGATCACGAGGTCAGGAGATTGAGACCATCCCGGCTGACATGGTGAAAACCTGTCTCTACTAAAAATACAAAAAATTAACCAGGCGTGGTGGTGGGTGACTGTAGTCCCAGCTACTTGGGAGGCTGAGGCAGGAGAATCACTTGAACCCGGGAGGTTTGGAGCTTGCAGTGAGCGGAGCTTGCAGTGAGCTGAGATTGTGCCACTGCACTCCAGCCTGGGCGAGAAAGTGAGACTCCCTCTCAAAAAAAAAAAAATTTAAAACTAGCCAGGCATGGTGACAAGTACCTGTAGTCCCAGTTACTTGGTGGGAGGCTTAGGTGGGAGGATCCTTTGAGCCCATGTATATGAGGCTGTGAAGAGCTATGATCCTGCCATTGCATATCCAGCCTGGGCAATGGAGCGAGACTGTCTCTAAAAGGACAAAAAAAAGAGAGAGATGGGGTCTTGCTCTGTTGCCCAGGCTGGCGTGCAGTGGCAATTCATAGGTGGGATCATAGATCACTACAGCCTTGAATTCCTGGGCTCAAGCAATCCTCCCTCCTCAGCCTCCCAAGTAGCTAGGACCATAGATGTGTACCAGGCTGGATCCCAAGTTGTTTATAGGTACCTCTGAAGGATGGTTTCAGAAGGTGTGGAATAGGTTGCACCTTTTTGGGCATGGTTTACTATTGAGTTGGCCTTTTTTTTTTTTTTGGAGACAGAGTCTCGCTCTGTCTCCCAGGCTGGAGTGCAGTGGTGCGATCTGGGCTCATTGCAACCTCCACCTCCCGGGTTTAAGTCATTCTCCTGTCTCAGCCTCCGGAGTAGCTGGGATTACAGGTATGCACCTCCACACCCAGCTAATTTTTGTATTTTTAGTAGAGATAGGTTTTCACTATGTTGGCCAGGCTGGTCTCAAACTCATGACCTCAGGTGATCCGTCCGCCTTGGCCTCCCAAAGTGCTGGGATTACAGGCATGAGCCACCATGCCCGGCCAAGTTGGCTTTCAAATATTCTCCTTCTGTGAATCTGCTGGTGTACGTGATAAATGAAAACCAGGTTATTCATTGCCTTTTTTTTTTTTTTTTGGAAATTGCGTAAATGTCTATCAGCTTCCAAGTGGTTCTTTTATGACGTGTCCTTAGAGTGGAAGGCTACGCAGTGATTCACGTACTGTGTGATAAGACAAATCCTGTAAGATGCAAAGCTCAGTGAGAAAAAGGTGCAAAGAATAGATACAGGATGTACCACTGGTATAAAAGGAGGATCAACGTTCAATTTCCAGATTATGGGTTTGCAGAAACCTCAATTCTTGCAGGATAGACACAAAAGTGATAACCCTGCTTGCATCCGGAGAGATCTGGATAGGCTGAGATAAAACTGCCTAGAAAAGATTTCAGCTTTGTGTATCTTTTCATGTATCATGTGAATATTCTCAAACTCAAAATAATATTACACATTTAGCCAGGTGCAGTGGCTCACGCCTGTAATCCCAGAGCTTTGGAAAGCCAAGGTGGGCGGATCACTTGAGCTCAGAAATTCGAGACCAGCCTGAGCAACATGGTGAAACCCCGTCTCTACAAAAAATACAAAAATTAGCCCAGTGCGGTGGTGCACGCCTGGAGTCCTGGATACTCAGGAGGCTGAGATGGGAGGATCGCTTGAGCCTGGGAGGCAGAGGTTGCACTGAGCAGAGATGGCACCACTTTACTCTGGCCTGGGTGACAGAGCCAGACCCTGTCTCAAAACAAAAAAAACACAAAACAAAAAACACACATTTATACTTAATAATAAAAAGCACGGCTGTGCGAGGTGGCTTATGCCTGTAATCCTAGCACTTTGGGAGGCCAAGGCGGGTGGATCATGAGGTCAGGAGTTCGAGACAACATGGGCAACATGGCGAAATCCTGTCTCTATTAAAAATACAAAAATTACTAACACGGTGAAACCCCGTCTCTACTAAAAATACAAAAAATTAGCCGGGCGTGGTGGCGGGCGCCTGTGGTCCCAGCTACTCAGGAGGCTGAGGCAGGAGAATGGTGTGAACCTGGAAGGCGGAGCTGAGATCGGCCCTGGGAGTGGGCCGAGATCGCGCCACTGCACTCCAGCCTGGGTGACAGAGCAAGACTCCGTCTCAAAAAAAAAAAAAACAAAAAACAAAAATTAGCTGGGCATGGTGGTGCATGCCTGTAATCCTAGCCACTCGGGAGGCTGAGGCAGGAAATTGCTTGAACCCAGGAGGTGGAGGTTGCAGTGAGCTGAGATCGCGCCACTGCACTCCAGCCTGGGTCACAGAGGACTCCAGCTCAAAATAAATAAATAAATAAATAAATAAATAAATAATAATAATGAAAAGCACATGGCATCATCAAATGCCAGGGTGAGAGAGACTGAATTAACTAGGCTGTGAGTTCAGGCTGGATGGGTGGGGCTCTGAGCTACCCCCCATGCCCGCCCCTCTTCCCCCCAGCTCCCCCTGCCACTGCCTTGGCCACCTATCCTCACCTCATAGCTCGCAGCGCGAGGCGATAGGCCAGGTCCGGGTCATGAGGCAGCAGTGCGGTGAACAGGTAGCGGGCACAGGTGTGCATGGGCACGCTCTCCCGGAACAGCACCTCCCCAAAGCCACTGAAGGGACCCCCTGCAGGAACAGCCTGAGCTCAGTCCCCAAGTGTGGGCTCGCCTCTGCCCTTCCCCAGGTCTCACTAGACCCCAGGCTTTAAGTAGAGGGTGGGCTGGCCCCTGGGTAGAGTGGCTGTGGCTAGATGGGTCTCTGGGGTAGGGGTTCAGGTCTGAGACTGAGGCAATCTCTGGGTAATCCAAATAAAAGAGGAGGCCTGGCGCGGTGGCTCACGCCTGTAATCCCAGCACTTTGGGAGGCCGAGGCTGGCGGATCACGAGGTTAGGAGTTCGAGACCATCCTGGCTAACACGGTGAAACCCCGTCTCTACTAAAAATACAAAAAAAATTAGCCAGGTGTGGTGGCAGGCGCAAGTAGTCCCAGCTACTCGGGAGGCTGAGGCAGGAGAATGGCGTGAACCCGGGATCGGAGGGTGCAGTGAGCCGAGATTGCGCCACTGCACTCCAACCTGGGAGACAGAGCGAGACTCCGTCTCAAAAAAAAAAAAAGAGGAGGCAGGGGACCACGGCTCATGCCTGTAATCCCAGCACTTTGGGAGGCCGAGGCGGGCAGATCACTTGAGGTCAGGAGTTTGAGACCAGCCTGGCCAACATGGGGAAACCCCATCTCTACTAAAAATACAAAAATCAGCCGGGTGTGGTGGCGCACGCCTGTAATCCCAGCTACTCGGGAGGCTGAGGCAGAAGAATCACTTGAACCCGGGAGGCAGAGATTGCAGTGAGCCGAGATCGCGCCACTGCACTCCAGCCTGGGTGACAGAGTGAAGACTGTCGCAAAATAAAAAAGGAAAAAAGGAAAAGGAAAAGAAGAGACTCCAGGCACACTCGCAGGTGAGGAGCAGGACTCAGATACAAGGTGGGGCCAGAGGGTGGAGGTGGGGCTGCACCTGCCTTGGGGAACGGGACCAGCGGCCAAGACCAGCAAGTCCGATAGCGTAGGGGGCCTTGAAGGGGCAGGGATAAACGGCTCCCTGTAGCGCTAGGGGACGGAGTCTCACAACACACAGGTCAATAGGGCCTGGCCATTGGCGGGGCCAATGAGGAGCAGGCCGGGACAGGGGCGGTGTCTAAGTTGCGGATGAAGGTGGGACGCCCTCGCTTTAACATCAACCACTTGGCTCACTGGCTCCCGGGAGGGAAGGGGGCGGCGCCTCAGCACACGCAGCAGTTGCTGGCTGGCAGCACGCACTAGGTGGCGGGAAAAAGAGCTGGCTCTCTCCTTTTAGAAACTGCCAAGGTATGAGGGGACAGTATCACCAGGAGGCGGGGCTAGGGGCGGGGCTGGGGCGGGGCCTCCCATCTGGCAGCAACCGGGCCGCTACAGGACCAGGGGCTGGACCCTACCCTTCAGCAACAGCCAGGCCTAGGGGCGCGGCCTCACCTTCCAGCAGCAGCCCCGCCTGCTTGCGCAGCACCTGCACCAACCGCTCATCCAACTCCACCTCCTCCAGCAGGGCCAGCAGCTGCTCCTCGTTGCGCACCACCTTGTCCTGGGCGTACAGCCCCTCCGGCAGGGCCCGCTGCTGCCCCAGCCCCAGCAGTGCCACCTCCAGCGCCAGCACCAAGTAGGACTCCCCAGGGCTCCCGGGCACAGGCACGTGCTGGTAGGCCACCTTCCGCTTCTCGGGGCCTGAGTCTGGGGGAGACAGGGCCAGGGCTGCTGGAGACGGATCCCCTTCCCTAAGGTCCCTGTAGCCCTTGGCCTCAAGCATGGAGACCTGGGCGCAGGGTAGGCTTTAGAGGGAGCCCAGAAGCTCCCAGCACTCACGGGGTTGGGGGAGCGCGGGAGCCCCACCTTCTAGCAGCAGCTAGGCCTATGGTGGCCTCACTTTCAGGAGAAGCTAAGCCTATTGGCTCTGGGCACTGGCCAGAGGAGGTAGCCAAGGGTAGGGGCGTGGCCAAGGGTCAGAGTCTGGGAGTTACCTTATAGGGGTACTGGGCCAGGGGGCGTGGCCAACGAGGCGGGGTTGTCCCACCTCCTCCAAGAGTACCCCATGTGAGTACCTGGGTAAAGGGTAAGTGTCTCCTCCTCCAGACGACAGGCCTCCAGGAGCGCCCTGCAGAGGCAGCCAATGGGGTCCAGGGGGTGCCCCACCCATCCTTCGGTGTTGGTGATGCAGGTGGAGCCCTTCTGGAGCAGCTCTGCAGGTGGAAAGAGGGGGCTCAATGCCCACACACCTGCCCAAGTCTCTAGGAGGGAGGGATATTCCTCTTCTTGACCTGCCAGCCAGCCTAGCCCCATAATGCCCACCACCTGCTCACCCAATGGTCACCTTCAACTTTTTTTTTTGAGGTGGGGTCTCGCTTATTGCCCAGGCTGGAGTGCAGTGGCCCAATCATAGCTCACTGCAGCCTCTGGAGCTCAAGCGATCCTCCTGCTTCGGCCTCCCAAAGGGATTACAGGCATGGGCCACCATGCCTGGCCACTGGACGCTTTCTAAAACACCCGAAGTGTCATTCCCCTCCTCATTGCCCTTATTCCCTCTCCACCTCTCTGAAGATAAAGCCCCAACAGCCTTTAGGGCCCCCAAGGACCAGTATGAAGTTTTTCCATATACTGGTGACCTGCCTCATCTGGAGGCCAATCCTCCAGCCTCGTCCTCCAAGCCACGTACTCTCTTCCCTCCTGGCTGCTGCTCATGGTGTTCCTTCTATTCTGAGCACTTCCTCCATCCCCTTCTCCTGGGTAACTCCTGCACATCCTTTTTCTTTTTTTAAATTTTTTCTGAGATGGAGTTTTGCTCTTGTTGCCCAGACTAGAGTGCAATGGCGTGATCTCAGCTCACCACAACCTCCAGGTACCTCCCGGTTCAAGGGATTCTCCTGCCTCAGTGTCCTGAGTAGCTGGGAATACAGGTACGTGCCACCACACCTGGCTAATTTGTTTTGGATTTTTAGTAGAGATGGGGTTTCACTATGTTGGCCAGGCTGGTTTTGAACTCCTGACCTCAGGCACTCCACCTGCCTCCACCTCCCAAAGTGTTGGGATTACAGGTGTGAGCCACTGTGCCTGGCCATGCACATCCTTAAATACTCAGCTAATTAGCCACCTGGCTAATTTTTAAAATCTAGGGGCCTTTCACTGATGCTGCCAAGCCTGGTCAGAGCTCTGCTCGGGTCCCAGGGCCCCCATGTTTCCTCCACGACACACTTTTCTTCGTTCAATTTCCTGATAGCTGATCCATCAACCCCATCGACTAGCTCTCTCAACTGGTGGCCTCCCTCCTGTCCCCCACCCCCATATCTAGTACACAATGTGGTTTTTGGGGCTCATACAGCCTCCTTCCCTCCCTCCCTTCCTTCCTTCCCCTCTCTCTCCCCCCATCTCTCTCTGTCCCTCCCTCCCCACCTCTTTCTTTCCTCTTCTCTCTCTCCTCGCTCTCCTCTCTCTCTCTTTTTTTTTTTTTAATTTTTTGAGACGGAGTCTCGCTCTGTCACCCAGTCTAGAGTGCAGTGGTGTAATCTTGGCTCACTGCAACCAACCTCTGCCTCCCAGATTAAAGCAATTCTCATGCCGCAGCCTCCCTAGTAGCTGGAAATACAGGTGTGCGCCACCACGCCTGGCTAATTTTAAAAATATTTTCAGTAGGCCAGGCACGGTGGCTTACACCTGTAATCCCAGCACTTTGGGAGGCTGAGGTGGGTGGATCAAAAGGTCAGGAGTTCGAGAAGAGCCTGGCCAACATAGTGAAACCCCATCTCTACTAAAAACACAAAAATTAACTGGGTGTGGTGGTGGGTGCCTGTAGTCCCAAGCTACTCAGGAGGCTGAGGCCGGAGAATTGCTTGAACCTGGGAGGCAGAGGTTGCAGTAAGCTGAGATTGCGCCACTGCACTCCAGACTGGGCGAAAGACCGAGACTCCATCTCAAAAAAAAAAAAAAAAAAAAAAAAAAAAAAAATTTCCAGGCACGGTGGCTCAAGCCTGTAATCCCAGCACTTTGGGAGGCCAAGGCAGGCAGATCACCTGAGGTTGGGAGTTCGAGACCAGTCTCACCAATGGAGAAACCCCATCTCTACTAAAAATACAAAAAAATTAGCCGGGCATGGTGGCGCATGCCTGTAATCCCAGCTACTTGGGAGGCTGAGGCAGGAGAATCCCTTGAACCTGGGAGGTGGAGGTTGCGGTGAGCCGAGATTGCTCCATTGCACTCCAACCTGGGCAACAAGAGCGAAACTCTGTCTCAAAAAAAAAAAGAGATGAGGTCTTGCTCTGTCACCCAGGCTAGAGTGCAGTGGCATAATTATAGCTCACTGCAGCCTTGAACTCCTGGGCTCAAGTGATCCTCCTGCCTCAGCCTACAGAGTAGCTGGGACTACAGGTGTGAGCCACCACATCCAGCTAATTTTTTTTTTTTAATTTTTGTAGAGACATTGTCTCACTATGTTGCCCAGGCTGATGTTGAACTCCTGGCCTCAAGCAATCCTCCCACCTCGGACTCCCAATGTGCTGGGATCACAGGTGCGAGCCCCCGTGCCCGGCTGAGGCTGACCTTTTTTCTGCTGCTTGTAGCTCTCTAGCTGATGCCGCTGCTGCAGCCGGAGTGTGTTGATGATGGCACTTGCCAGCCGCAGGGCCTGGCGGGGGTATCCGTGGGCACGCAGGGTGTCCACACGGGCACAGGCAGTGGGGAAAGGTTCTCCCAGCCACAGTGGGCGGCCCTGGGGGTCGAAAGTCGGTTTGTCCCCACCCACGCTGCCTGTGAGGCTGGGCCCGTAGGAGTCACTGGCCAGGATCCTCTGCAGGTAGGCGTCATTCCAGTGTAGCTCTCCAGCCAGCAAGGCGCGGCCAAATACCGTGTGGCGGGGACTTGTGGCTGCCACCTCTTCCTCTTCCTCCGAGCCTGCAGAGAGGCACCCAACATGGCTCAGTGAGGGGGGGTCCCTATAGCAGTTGAGCCGTGTCCAGCTTTTCCCACCAAGTACTAACTGGGGTTTAGGCCTGGGCAAAGCTATGGGCATACATCATCTGCCCAGTCCTTGAAGCCACCCTTCAAAGATGCATGTGTAGGCTGGGCATGGTGGCTTACACTTGTAATCCCAGCACTTTGGGAGGCCAAGGTGGGAGGATCACATGAGGCCAGGAGTTCGAGACCAGCCTGGCCAACATGGCGACACCCCATCTCTACTAAAATTAACCCTGGCGTGGTGGTGCACACCTGTAATCCCAGCTACTTGGGAGGCTGAGGAATGAGAATCGCTTGAACCCAGGAGGCAGAGGTTGCAGTGAGCCAAGGTTGCGTCACTGCACTCCAGCCTGGGCATCAGAGTGAGACTGTCTCAAAAAAAAAAAAAAAAGGATGCGTGTATGTGTTAGGAGCTAGTACAGGCCCATCACATTGATAGGAAACTGAGGTTGAGCAACTAACTGGCTGTCTGTCTTCCTCTTCCTACTTGCTATTTTTCTTTTCTTTCTTTCTTTCTTTTTTTTTTTTTTTGAGACAGGGTCTCACTCTGTCGTCCAGGCTAGAGTGCAGTGGTGCGATCTTGGCTCACTGCAACCTCCGCCTCCCAGGCTCAAGCGATTCTCCCATCTCAGCCCCCTGAGTATCCGGGATTCCAGGTGTGCGTCACAACACCCAGCTAATTTTTGTATTTTTTGTAGAGACAAGGTCTCACCATGTTACTCTGGCTGGTCTTGAACTCCTGGCCTCAAGCAATCTGCCCCCCTCAGCTTCCCAAAGTGCTGGGATTACAGGCGTGAGACACCATGCCTGGCCTGTACTTGCTATAAATTTTTTTTTCCCTCTCTCCTCAATCTCTCTCTGTCTTCCTTCCTATCTGCTCCTCTGTCTGCCTCTCCCTCTCTCCATCCATCTCTGCCTCTCTTCACTTGTTTCTCTCTCCTCAATATCTCACTTTCCCCTTCTGTTTGATTCCTCCTTTTTTCCTCTCTCATCCTCTCTTTGGTCCCATAGCTAGCAGAAGGCCAAGCCAGACCAGCCCAGGACTGCAGGTGTTTTAAGCATTTTACTTCACTTGCCCACTTGGGCTGCCATTGCTCCTGCCCTTGGCACTCGCTCTTTCCTGGCTAGACAAGTTGGGATTAGTCCTGGAAGAACAGCCAAGGACTGGGGTCTGCTTTGCTCTGCCCCACTCCCTCTCTCTCCTGGGAAGAGGACCATGATGGTAAGTGGGGCCACAGTTAGTGGTGATGGTTTTTGGGGGGCATGGTAAAGACCCCTCTCTCCTACCTGGGGCGGGGGCCATGGTGGGCTGCAGGCTGGGGCCGTCGAAGGAGTAGTTGCCCTCTTCCAGTGGGCAGACGTCGAGCTTGTCCCACCTGCTGAGTAGCTGGAGCCAGCCTGCCCTTTCCTCTGGTTTGCAGTGGGGGCTCAGGACGACGCAAACCCACAGGGCCCCTGAGGAGGCACGGGGCAGGCTCAATATTCCTGCCAACAGTGGCAGCAACACACACTTCCGCAGTGCCCACTGTGTGCCACCTGATGATCTGCTAACCCCTCACCTCGACCCTCGGAAGTTGCAACTCGCAGCCTTTGCACCTTACAGACAAGCAAACTGAGGCACAGAGACATAACACGGCTTGCACAGGGTCACACCGCTGGTAAGTTAGAAGTTGGGATTAGAGGGTCAGGCGTGATGACTCACGCCTGTAATCCCAGCACTCTGGAAGGCTGAGGCAGGCGGATCACCTGAGGTCAGGAGTTTAAGAACAGCCTGGCCAACAGGGTGAAGCCCTGTCTCTACTGAAAATACCAAAAAAAAAAAAAAAAAGCCAGGCATGATTGTGGGTGCCTGTAATCCCAGCTATTCAGGAGGCTGAGGCAGGAGAATGGCTCGAACCCGGGAGGTGGAGGTTGCAGGGAGCTGAGATCACACCACTGCACTCCAGCCTGGGTAAAAAGAGCAAAACTCCATCTCAAAAAAAAAAAAAAAAAAGTTGGGATTACATCCCGGGCCTCTGTAGTCCTAGCTACTTGGGAGGCTGAGGCACAAGAATCGCTTCAACCCAGGAGGCAGAGGTTGCAGTGAGCCGAGATCACACCACTGTACTCCAGCCTGGGCAACAGAGTGAGACTCGATCTCAAAACAAAACAAAACAAAAACAAAAACAAACAAACAAAAAAACCAGGCCTCCAGACTCCTCTCAAGGTGTTTTGGGGTTTTTTGGGTAGCATTTATCACCATCTCATGCAGGGGTCTGCGAACTAGCAAACCACTGCCCATGGTGAAAACTGAACCACCCTTTATTTTTGATTAGCCTGCACGCTAAGATTTATTTTTCCCTTTTTATTTGTACTTGTTTTTATTTATTTATTTTTTGAGACAGAGTCTCACTCTGTCACCCAGGCTGGAGTGCAGTGGCGCAATCTCAGCTCACTGTAACCTCCACCTCCTGGGTTCAAGCGATTCTCCTGCCTCAGCCTCCCAAGTAGCTGGGATTACAGGCGTCCGCCACAATGCCTGGCTAATTTTTGCATTTTTAGTAAAGGCGGGGTTTCACCATGTTGGCCAAGCTGGTCTCGATCTCCTGACCTCAAGTGATCTGCCCACCTCGGCCTCCCAAACTGCTGGAATTAAGGTGTGAGCCACTGCACCCGGCCTATTTTTCCAGTTTTAAATGGTCAGGGAAATACAACCAAAAGAATATTTTGCAACTTGTGGGAATAATATAAAATTCAAATAAATTAGTAAGTATCTATAAATAAAGCCGGTTTTTAAAAAATTTAGAGACAGGGTCTCATCATGTCGTCTAAGCTGCACTCGAACTCCTGGGCTCAAGCAATCCTCCTGCCTCACTCAGCCTTCCAAGTAGTAGGGAGTACAGGCTCCTGCCACTGTGCCAAGCGCCTTTTTTTGTTGTTGTTGAGACAGGGTCTTGCTCTGTTGCCCGGGCTGGAGTGCAGTGGTGTGATCATGGCTCACTGCAGCCTCAACCTCCGGGGCCCAAGTGATCCCCCTACCTCAGCCCCGCAAAGTGCTGGGATTACAGGTGTGAGCCACTGCACCTGGCCTCCCAGCTCTTAAATAAAGTTTTATTGAAATGCTACCATGCCCGTTTGGTATATATGTCTGTGTCTGCCTTTTTTACTATAATAGACAGAGTGAGGTCTTCATGACAGAGACCAGATGGCCTGCAGGGCTGAATAACATTAACTCTGTGTCTCTTACAGAAAACACATGTTGGCCGGTGCGGTGGCTCATGCCTGTAATCCCAGCACTTTGGGAGGCCTAGGCAGGCGGATCACGAGGTCAGGAGATCGAGACCATCCTGGCTAACACGGTGAAACCCCATCTCTACTAAAAATACAAAAAATTAGCCGGGCGTGGTGGCAGGCGCCTGTGATCCCAGCTACTCGGGAGGCTGAGGCAGGAGAACAGCGTGAACCTGGGGGGCGGAGCTTGCAGTGAGCCGAGATCGTGCCACTGCACTACAGCCTGGGTGACAAAGCAAGACTCCATCTCAAAAAAAAAAAAAAAAAAAAAAGGCTGGGCGTGGTGGCTCACGCCTGTAATCCCAACCCTTTGGGAAGCCGAGGCGGGCGGATCATGAGGTCAGGGGATCGAGACCATCCTGGTTAACCCAGTGAAACCCCGTTGCTACTAAAAATACAAAAAAATTAGCCGGGCGTGGTGGTGGGCCTCTGTAGTCCCAGCTACTCGGGAGGCTGAGGCAGGAGAATGGCATGAACCCAGGAGGCAGAGCTTGCAGTGAGCTGAGATTGTGCCACTGCACTCCAGCTTGGGTGACAGAGCAAGACTCCGTCTCAAAAAAAAAAGAAAAAAGAAAAAAGAAAACATATGTTGGCTGGGTGTGGTGGCTCACGCCTGTAATCCCAGCACTTTGGGAGGCTGAGGCGGGTGGATCACGAAGACAGGAGTTCGAGACCAGCCTGATCAACATGGTGAAACTCCGTCTCTACTAAAAATACAATAATTAGCTAGGCATGGTGGCACGCACCTATAATCCCAGCTACTGAGAAGGCTAAGGCAGGAGAATCATTTGAACCCAGGAGGTGGAGGTTGCAGTGAGCCGAGATCGTGCCACTGCACTCCAGCCTGGGAGACAGGGTGAGAGTCCGTGTCAAAAAAAGAAAACAGGCCAGGTGCCGTGGCTCACACCTGTAATCCCAGCACTCTGGGAGGCTGAGGCGGGTAGATCACAAGGTCAGGAGATCAAGACAACCCTGCCTAACACAGTGAAACCCCGTCTCTAATAAAAAAAATACAAAAAATTAGCCGGACTTAGTGGCGGGTGCCTGTAGTCCCAGCTACTAGGGAGGCTGAGGCAGGAGAATGGTGTGAACCCGGAGGGCGGAGCTTGCAGTGAGCCAAGATAGTACCACTGCACTCCAGCACTCCAGCCTGGATGACAGAGCGAGACTCCTTCTCAAAAAAAAAAAAAGAAAAGAAAAGAAAACAAACAAACAAAAATATGTCAGCTTGGTACAGTGGCTCATGCCTGTCATCCCAGCACTTTGAGAGGCCAAGGCCAGAGGATCACTTGAGCCCAAGAGTTTGAAGTTACAGTGAGCCGTGACTGTGCCACTGTACTTCAGCCTGGGCGCACAGTGAGATCCTGTCTCTAAAAAAAGAAAAAAAGAAACAAAACATGTAGGCTGGGTGTGGTGGCTCATGCATGTCATCTCAGTACTTTGGGAGGCTGGGTGAGAGGACTGCTTGAGTCCAGGAGTTCAAGACCAGACTTGGCAAGATAGTGAGACTCTGTCTCTTCAAAAAATTAAAAATTAGCTGGATGTGGTAGTGTGCACCTGTAGACCCAGCTACTTGGGAGGCTGAGGTGTAGGATCACTTGAGTCCGGGAGGCAGAGGTTGCAGTCAGCCGAGATTGTGCCACTGCACGCCAGCCTGGGCAACAGAGTGATACCCTGTCTCAAAACAAAGAAAACGTGTGTACGTGTGTATCAACCCCTGGGCCAATGACATTTGATTGCCTGTGCCTCCTGTCAGATCCACGTGAACAGGATTTTGACTCTCTTGTTCTCTGCCGGACCACCAGTGCCCAGTACCATGCCTGGCACTTTAGAGGCGCTCATAAATGTTTGCCAAACGAATGGAGGGCGGATTCAGGGAACAGACCCTAATCTTGGAGTGGGCCAGCCCCCATGGGAGCCGAAGTCCCGGTGTCCACCACGCACCGGGGTTTGGGCCTCACCCAGCTCATCCCAGAGCTGCCGGCACTTGTCCGTCATGCCCGCGCCCTGCTGCCGCCACAGGGCCAGGCGCGTGTCCTGCAGGAACTGCTCGGTCATGAGAATCAGCATGCGCGCCCCGTTGGAGTCCCGCATTCGCAGCATCTCCCGCACCTGTGCCGGGGACAGGGTGGTGAGGAAGGGCTGGGGCGTCCGCCGGGGCCTTCTGCACCCCGCGCCCCGCCGGCCCGCACGGCACCTTGCTGAACATGGAGCGCAGCTGCTGGCTGGCCCCGTAGTAGCCGCCATTGGACAGTAGCTGCTTCACCTGCTCCTGGATCTGCTCCTCGTCCAGGTGCCAGCAGTTGGCGTCCTCGATTCCTGCGCCGGCGGTGGGGTCTGGGGCACCTGCCGGGAGGGAGGGAAAGGAAGCTGAGGCTGGGGCTGGAGTTGGGGTTGGGTTGGGTTGAGGAGAGCTGTCCTTTTTTTTTTTTTTTTTTTTTGGAGACGGAGTTTGGCTCTTCTTGCCCAGGCTGGAGTGCTGTAGCACGATCTTCGCTCACTACAACCTCTGCCTCCCGGGTTCAAGTGATTCTCCTGCCTTAGCCTCCCAAGTAGCTGGGATTACAGGCACGCCCCACTACACTTTGCCAATTTTTTTTGTATTTTTAGTACAGGCGGGATTTCACCATGTTGGTCAGGCTGGTCTCAAACTCCTGACCTCAGGTGATCCACCCGCCTTGGCCTCCCAAAGTGCTGGGATTACAGGCATAAGCTACTGTGCCCGACCCATCCATCCATTCTTCCAAGTCACCCAACCCAGTCTAAAGTTCCATCCATCCCACCTAAACCCCACCCACCCATCTGCTTGTCCATCCCACCCGACCATCTATTCATGTTTATCCATCCATCCATCCCTCCATCAATCCATCTATCTTGTCCTAAACATGACTAGCTCATGCATCCATTTTCTCATTCATCCACTTAGTCATCTGATATGGTTTGGCTCTGTGTCTCCACCCAAATCTCATGTTGAATTATGATCCCCAGAGTTGGAAGTGGGGCATGGAGGGAGGTGACTGGATCATGGGGATGGTTTCTAATGGTGTAGCACCATTCCCTTAGTGTTGTCTCATGATAGAGTTCTCATGAGATCTGGTTGTTTGAAAGTGTGTAGTGTCTCCCCCTTCGCTCTCTCTCTCCTGACAGCCATGTGAAGATGTGTTTGCTTCTCCTTCACCTTCCGCCATGATTGTAAGTTTCCTGAGGCCTCCCCAAATGCAGAAGCCTGTGTAGCTTGCAGAACTATGAGCCGATTAAACCTGTTTCCTTTAAATTAACCTGTTTCAGGTATGTCTTTATAGCAGTGTGAGAACAGAGTAATACATCACCCATCCAATCCATTCATCTATCTTACCTGAAACACAACACACCCATACACCCATACACCCATCCATCCATCCATCCATCCATCCATCCATCCATCCATGCATCCATCCATGCATCCATCTGTCCATCCATCCATGCATCCATCCATCTTGTCCAAAACGCCACCAGCTCATCCATTTGCTCATTTATCCACTGAGTCATCCATCCAATCCATCTATCTCCCCTGTAGTAATATTCATCCATCCATCCATCCATCCATCCATCCATCCATCCATCCATCCATCTTGCCCAAAACACCAGGAGCTCATTCATCCATTTGTTCATTCATCCATTTACTTACCCATCCAATCCATTCATCTATCTCTCCTGAAACACTACACATCTATCCATCTACCCATCCACTCATCCATTTACCCATCCCACTCAAAACACCACCGACCCATCTGTTTACTCATCTGTCTCACCTGAAACACAACCCACTTATCCACCCCCACCCAAGTCATGCCAGCCTCTATCTACCTGGCCATATCCCCCATTTCACTTCATCCACATGTCCATACCCTTTAAACAACCACCTACCCCATCATGGGTCCATCATCCACCCTACCCATAATTCCCACCCATCCACCCATCTATATACTCATCTTATTGATCTATCTGCCCACTCACCCCTTTTATCTTTCCAATCCACGTGAACTAACCACTCAAAATACCCACCCGCCCATTTGTCCATTGACCCACACAAGTACACTATCCACCCCACCCAGTAACTATCATCCAATAACTAACCCTAGTTATCTAGGTGATAACTATTAGTTATCACCCAATAACTAATCCTAACTCTCTATGCTTCCATTAAACCACCCATTCATTATCAAACCATCCATTCATATGTACCTCTCAAAACACCCACTACCCCATTCGTCCATCCATCCACCCTACACAAAGCGCCCACCCACTCTGCCCACCCACGATGTTGATCCACATATGTGAACCTTCCTTCCATTCACCCATCAACTCACTCCCAATGCATGTACCCATTGGATCTTTCATTCTTTCACTAACTTCATCTGTCCACCACTGTCAGTCTACCTTAACTCCACTAGTCAAAGCCCTCCCCACCCAACCACTCATCCTCACCTCCAATCACCACCAGTTCTGTCCTTCCCTTCTTTTTTTTTTTTTGTTTTTTGAGTCAGGGTCTCAGTCTGTCATCAGGTTGGAGTGTAGTAGCACGATCATAGCTGACTGCAGCCTTTACCTCCCACGCTCATGATCCTCCCATCTCAGCTTCCCAAGTATCTACAGGCGTGTGTGTGCCATCATGCCCAACTACTTTTGTTTATTTTTTGTAGAGAGGAGGTCTCCCTATTTTGCCCAGGCCGGTCTTGAACTGCTGGTCTCGAGTGATCCTCCTTCCTCAGCCTCCCAAATGCTGGGATTATAGGTATGAGCCACCACACTCAGCTTCCAATTCCCATTCACCTAACGGCATTGTTAATATCCCGTCCAGGCTGGGTGTGGTGGCTCACACCTGTAATCCCAGGACTTTGGGAGGCTGAGGCAGGTGGATCACCTGAGGTCAGAAGTTCAAGACCAGCCTGGCCAACATGGGGAAACCCCTGTCTCTACAAAAATACAAAAATTAGCCGGGCATGATGGTGTGCATCTGTAATCCCAGCTACTCAGGAGGCTGAGACAGGAGAATTGCTTGAACCCAGGAGGCAGAGGTTGCAGTGAGCTGAGATTGCACCACTGCACTCCAGCTTGGGTGACAGAGGAAGACTCCATCTCAAAAAAAAAAATATCCCCCACCCACCCATTCGTTTTTCCACACCATCAGTTGCCCTCAGTGACTGATCATGAACGCTTTTTTTTTTTTTGGAGTCAGGGTCTCACTTTGTCTCCCAGGCTGGAGTGCAATGGCGCGATGTCAGCTCACTGCAACCTCTGCCTCCCGGGTTCAACCCATTCTCCCACCTCAGCTTCCTGAGTGGCTGGGACTACAGGCACCCACCACCACGCCCGGCTAATTTTTATATTTTGGTAGAGATGGGGTTTTGCCATGTTGTCCAGGCTGGTCTTGAACTCCTGACCTCAACTGATCCGCCCACCTCGGCCTCCCAAAGTGCTGGGATTACAGGTGTGAGCCCCTGCGCCCAGCCAATCACGAACACTTTCTGTACCCACCCAGCACCTCCCTCCATCATCCATCCATGCCTCCACCTACTACTCACCTTCCCCATCCTAGCTAGGCAACCCAAGCCCCTCGGAGCCCCCCAAACCCTCCCAGCCCTCACCACGCCTCCTGGTGTATCCCCTCACCCATAACACCTCTGACACCCACAAACGTCCCACATTCCCTTCACGCCCCCTCTTCTCCTCCCATACCCAGGATGCTCCATCTATTGACATACCCAGCCCTGGGGCCAGACCTCCCACTTGCCCTCTAACGCAGGATCTCCCCTCCTGCCCTCGCCCTCTGCCCGTAGGCTGATTTGCAACTACTCATCTGTCCTGTGTCCAGATATCTGGGATCTGCCACTCACCAGGTGGGTGACCTCAGATGATGCAGGCCATGGCGCGTTTTCCGCCCCCCGCCCCCACAACTTTCTGTCAGTAAGTGACCAGCACTGGGCACACAGCAAGTGGCGTGGCTGTGCGCTTGGGCATCCTCTCCCCACCGGACCCCCGGGGTGCCCTTACCATTCACCAAGTTGATCTCGGAGCCCAGCAGGAGGATCTCATCAGCCAAGCGCTGAGCAGTGGGCAGCACCTCAGTGTGATGGGCGCTGATGAGGTACTGCACGAACTTCTGCAGCTGGTCCCGGTTCATCTGGGAGAGCGTCTCGGAGATGGGCAGCCGCAGCTCCACCTGGTGGGCGTGCCGAATGCGGTACAGGGACAGGGCCACCACGTGGGCACAGTAGAAGAGGTCGCGGTTGTCACAGCCGCAGCTCACGGACGTGATCTTGCAGCGATCAAAGCTGATGGAGACATGGTAGAGGCGCTCGGGCTCTCCAGGACTCCCTGGCTCGCGGATGTTTCCGCTCAGGTGGAATCCTAGGATCAAAGCCAAACTGTCGCATCCGTGTCATCCCAGAGACAGGCGGTGTTTGTGGTACACAGCAAGACCCGGTTGCAAAGCCCAGCCGAGTCACTTCACTAGCACAAGTCACCTCACTCACTTTGCATTTTTTTTTTTTTTGAAACAAAATCTCGCTCTGTGGCCCAGGCTGGAGTGTAGTGCTGCGACCTGGGCTCACTGCAACCTCCGCCTCCCAGGTTCAAGCGATTCTCCTGCTTCAGCCTCCCAAGTAACTGGGATTACAGGCACACACCACCATGCCCGGCTAATTTTATTTATTTATTTATTTATTTATTTGGGACAGAGCTTTGCTCTGTTGCCCAGGCAGGAGTGCAATGGTGTGATCTCGGCTCACCGCAACCTCCACCTCCCAGGTTCAAGTGATTCTCCTGCCTCAGCTTCCCGAGTAGCTGGGATTACAGGCATGCGCCACCATGCCCGGCTAATTTTGTATTTTTAGTAGAGATGGGGTTTCTCCATGTTGGTCAGGCTGATTTTGAACTCCTGGCCTCAGGTGATCCGCCTGCCTCAGCCTCCCAAAGTGCAGGGATTACAGGCGTGGGCCACGGTGCCCAGCCTAATTTTTGTATTTTTAGAAGAGACAGCCCGGCGCAGTGGCTCATGCCTGTAATCCCAGCACTTTGGGAGGCCGAGGCTGGTAGATCACCTGAGGTCCGGAGTTCAAGACCAGCATGGCCAACATGGTGAAACCCTGTCTCTACTAAAAATATAAAAAAATTAGCCGGGCATGGTGGCGGGCGCCTGTAATCCCAGCTACTCAGGAGGCTGAGGCAGGAGAATGGCTTGAACCCGGGAGGCAGAGGTTGCAGTGAGCTGAGATCGCACCATTGCACTCCAGCCTGGGTAACAGAATGAGACTCTGTCTCAAAAAAAGGCTTAGAACGCTGTTGGTATGAAGTTAAGTCCTAAGTAAACACTTGCTTTTTTTTTTTTTTTTTTCTGAGACAGAGTCTTGCTCTGTCACCCAGGCTGGAGTGCAGTGGCGCTATCTTGACTCACTGCAACCTCCGCCTCCTGGGTTCAAGCGATTCTCCTACCTCAGCTTCCTGTGTAGCTGGGATTACAGGCGTGCACCACCATGCCCGGCTAATCTTTTGTATTTTTAGTAGAGATCAGGTTTCACCATATTGGCCAGGCTAGTCTTGAACTCCTGACCTAGTGTAGTCTTGAACTCCTGACCTAGTGATCCACCCGCCTCGGCCTCCCAAAGTGCTGGGATTATAGGCGCGAGCCACCGAGCCCAGCCCAACACTTGCTCTTATTTTAATTATGAATAGTATCATACCATGACATTGAAGGTGGTTTTCTGATTCCTTGGGTTACAATGAATATGGCCAGGGCTTCAGGAGCCCCTCAATTTCCTGAGAAAATGCCAAAGACCCGTGGCGCTTGGGGCGAGGGGCTGATGAAGTAAGCCAGGGGCCAGGTGTCCCCTTCACTCCCCCTGCCCCTCCCTGGGCAGCCCAGGTGCCAGGCTCATCTGACTGGTTCGGCAGCTCAGGCCCAGCCTGGGTCATGCAGGGAGATGGCTTCCTCATACCAGCTGGAGGTGGCAAGGAGCCCGTGGTCAGCGGGGCCATGTCCCAGCAAAGGGGCTCCAAAGCAGATAGAGCCGACGGGGCATCATATCAGCCCAGCCCCGACCTCTAGCTGGGAGAAATGGCCTGCTGCAGCCAGAGGTCTGGAGTCCCAGGCCTCACTTTTGTTTTCTGGCTCAGCCTCTACTGGTCCCTTTCTGAGTCTGGCTGCCTGAGATCCAAGGCCTTTCCACTATTCTCATTACATCTCTCCCAGTCTCTGCAGCCCTTTTGTTTTCTTAGCTTGAGGTCTGAGCCCACCCTTCACAGCTGATCTTAACCTGATACTTGGCCAGGCATGGTGGGTCACGCCTGTAATCCCAGTGCTTTGGGAGGCTGTGGCAGGAGGATCTCTTGAGCCCAGGAGTTCGAGACCAGCCTGGGCAACAGAGTGAGACCAGGTCTCTACAAAAAACTTAAAAACTAGTCAAGTGTGGTGGCCTGCGCCTGTGGTACCAACTACTTGGGAGGCTGAGGTGGGAGGATCACTTGAGCTCAGATGTTTGTGGCTGCAGTGAGCTATTATCGCGCCACTGCACTCCAGCCTGGGCAACAGAGTGAGACCCTATCTCCCTTTTTTTTTTCTTTTGAGACAGAGTCTCTCTCTCTTGCCCAGGCTGGAGAGCAATGACATGATCTTGGCTCACTGCAACCTCTGCCTCCCGGGTTCAACTGATTCTCCTGCCTCAGCCTCTCAAGTAGCTGGGATTACAGGCATGTGCCACCACACCTGGCTAATTTTTGTATCTTTAGTAGAGACGGGGTTTCACCATGTTGGCCAGGCTGAACTCCTGACCTTAGGTGATCCACCCGCCTCAGCCCCCAAAGTGCTGGGATTACAGGTGTGAGCCACTGTGCCCGGCCGAGACTCTATCTCTTAAAAAAAAAAATTTGGCCAGGCGTGGTGGCTCATGCCTGTAATCCCAGCACTGTAGGAGGCTGAGGCGGGCGGATCACTAGGTCAGGAGATCGAGACTATCCTGGCTAACACGGTGAAACGCCGTCTCTACTAAAAAATAGAAAAAATTAGCTGGGTGTGGTGGCAGGTGCCTGTAGTCCCAGCTACTTGGGAGGCTGAGGCAGGAGAATGGTGTGAACCCAGGAAGTGGAGGTTGCAGTAAGCCGAGATTGTGCCACTGCACTCCAGCCTGGGCAACAGAGTGAGACTCCATCTCAAAAAAAAAAAAAAAAAAAATTCTAAGCTGGGCATGGTGGCTCACACCTGTAATCCCAGCACTTTGGGAGGCTGAGGCGGGTGGATCACGAGGTCAGGAGTTCAAGACCAGCCTGGCCAACATGGTGAAACCCTGTCTCTACAAAAATACAAAAATTAGCCAGGCATGATAGCGGGTGCCTGTAGTCCCAGCTACTAGGGAGGCCGAGGCAGGGGTATTCCTTGAACCTGGGAGGTGGAGGTTGCAGTGAGCTGAGATCGTGCCACTGCACTCCAGCCTGGGCAACAGAGCAAGACTCCATCTCGGAAAAAAAAAAAAAAAAGAATTCTAAACTTCTACTCTACATTCCCACCTCAGCCCTGTTGCCTTAGGTCTAAGACCATTGCTCAACAATAGCTCTAAGCCTTTGAAATCCCAGCCTCTCTGCCTGAGGTCTAAGACTCTCACCTGTGGCTCTAAATCTTTGTGTCCAACTCCCACGTGGGCCCCACTGCCTGAGGTCTAGGATCATTCTTACCTCTGGCTCTAAACCCCTGGCCCAAAGCATCACTGGGTCCCTCAGCCCGAGGTCTGGAGCCTCCTCTCACTGCTGGCTGACAGCTGCTTCTCTGATCCTCAGCTGGGACCTGCTCTTCTCTCCGTCTCACTACTTCATTCCCCATTCCCCAGCTCAGCAGCCTGAGGTCTAGGGCTCTAGGAGCACTTTCCACCTTCAGCTCATAATCCCGAACCCAACCCCATCTGGACCTGAAGCCTGAGGTCTGGCACCTTCACCACCATGTCTCAACCTCTACCCTTGTCCCTAGAGTGGCCCTCACCTCTCTTCCTTTTTTTTTTTCTTTTTTCTCTTTGAGATAGCATCTCGCTCTGTAACCCAGGCTGGAGTACGGTGGTGCAATCATAGCTTACTGCAGGCTCGACCTCTCGGGCAAAAGCGATCCTCCTGCCTTGGCCTCCCATGTACCTGGGACCACAGGCACCCGCCACCATGCCCAGCTCATTTTTTGATTTTTTTGTGAAGACAAGGTCTCATTGTGTTGCCCAGGCTGGTCTTGAACTCTTGGCCTCAAGTGATCTTCCTGCCTTGGCCTCCCAAAGTGTTGAGATCACAGGTGTGAACCACCACATCTGGCCTCACCCCTCCTTTACATGGGCTCTGATGTGTAAGTTCTGGGATCTCTCCTCCCCTGTTTCTGGTTCACCATCCTCTCCCCCAACCCCTTGTCTAAACCCTGCTGCCTGGGTTCTAGGGTGATCCTTGAGCTTTTGCTCAAAACATCGTGTACAGGCTGGGTGTGGTGGCTCATGCCTGTAATCCCAGCACTTTGGGAGGCCGAGGTGGGGGGATCACGAGGTCAGGAGATCGAGACCATCCCGGCTAACACAGTAAAACCCCATCTCTACTAAAAATACAAAATACAAAAAATGGGGCCGGGAGCGGTGGCTCACGCCTGTAATCCCAGCACTTTGGGAGGCCGAGGCGGGTGGATCACGAGGTCAGGAGATCGAGACCATCCTGGCTAACATGGTGAAACCCCGTCTCTACTAAAAATACAAAAAATTAGCCGGGCTTGGTGGCGGGCGCCTGTAGTCCCGGCTACTTGGGAGGCTGAGGCAGGAGAATGGCGTGAACCCGGGAGGCGGAGCTTGCAGTGAGCCGAGATCGCGCCACTGCACTCCGGCCTGGGCGAAAAAGCGAGACTCCGTCTCAAAAAAAAAAAAAAAAAAAAAAAAAAAAAAAAAAAAAAAGAAATACAAAAAATTAGCTGGGCGCGGTGGCGGGCGCCTGTAATCCCAGCTACTCGGGAGGCTGAGGCAGAATGGCGTGAACCCAGGAGGCGGAGCTTGCAGTGAGCCGAGATCGCGCCACTGCACTCCGGCCTGGGCCAAAGAGCGAGACTCCGTCTCAAAAAAAAAAAAAAAAAAAATCTTGTACAATCCTATCTGGGCCTCGAAGCCTGAGGTCTGTAACCTCCCATCCCCTGGCCCCAGGCCTCCCTCCAACTCCCCCATTTCCAGGCCTGGTATGGACCTCCTGGCCTCCCCAGCAGGAGTGGGGGACAAAGACTCACCCACTTGCAACACGCGGTCCACGGCCCCGCTCTGGAGCAGGTGCAGCCCGCGGGTAAAGGGCACCCGGGCATCGTGCTCGCCCTCTGGGGGCGGGTAACCCAGCGACGAGTACATACATATTTCCCGTTCACTGCGTGGAAACGACCAAAACACGATGCGCTTCTGGACGGGCTCAGGCACCCGGGAGAACCGCTCCTCCACCTGTAGGAAGGGCCAGTGGGTTAGGAGCCTGGGGTTGATGTAATCCCAGCGCTTTGGGAAGCTTAGGAGGGAGGATCGCTTGAGGCCAAGAGTTCGAGACCAGCCTGGGCAACATAGAGAGGCTCCCATCTTTACAAAAAAACTGGCCGGGCACGATGGCTCACGCCTGTAATCCCAGGATTTTTGGGAGGCCGAGGCAGGCAGATCACCTGAGGTCAGGAGTTCAAGACCAGCCTGGCCAACATGATGAAACCCCATCTCTACTAAAGATAAAAAAAATTAGCCGGGTGTGGTGGTGAGCACCTGTAGTCCCAGCTGCTCGGGAGGCTGAGGCAGGAAAATCGCTGGAACCTGGAAGGCAGAGGCTGCAGTGAGCTGAGATCATGCCACTGCACTCCAGCCTGGGTGACAGAGCAAGACTGCATCTCGAAAAAAAAAAAAAAAAGATAAAAAAATAAAAAAATAAAAAAAATTAGCCAGGCATGGTGGCATGCATCTGGAATCCCAGCTACCTGGGAGGGTGGGGCAGGAGGGTCACTTGAGGCCATGAGTTTGAGGCTGCAGTGAGCCATGATTGCACCAGCGGCACTCCAGCCTGGGCAACAGAGCAAGATCCCATCTCAAAAAAAATAGGTCAGGGCAGTGGCTCATGCCTGCAATTCTAGCATTTTGGGAGGCCAAGGCAGTTGGTGCACTTGAGTCCAGGAGTTCGAGAGCAGCCTGGCCAACATGGCGAAACCCCGTCTCTACTAAAAATACAAAAATTAGCCAGGTGTGGTGGCATGCACCTATAATCTCAGCTACTTGGGAGGCTGAGGCGCGAGAACCACTTGAACCCGGGAGGCGGAGGTTGCAGTGAGCCGAGATTGCGCCATTGCACTCCAGTCTGGGCCACGGAGCGAGACTCCGTCTCAAATAAATAAATAAAAATAAAAAAACAGAGAAACCGAGGCTTGAATCCTAGCTTTACTATTTAGGAGCACTGTGACCCCAGGCAAGTCACTTGGCCTCAGTATTCTCAGGTGTAAAGTGGGGAGGTCCACGGCACCAACCTCTTGAGGATTGTGGAGACTAAATATGCAGTATGGATGTAAAGAGCTTAAAGAACTTACAATAACACCTGGCCCATAGTTAGCATTCTAGAACTTTCTTGCGGTTTCCCTCCTGGATCCTCCTAGCTGCAGGGTCTTGGGATTCTGTTGTGAGATCTTCCCACCCACCAGGCTTTGGTGGAGCAGGAAGAAGTTAGAAAAAAGTGATAATAATGATTAAGGTGCCCATCTTGGCTGGACACCTGTAATCTCAGCACTTTGGGAGGCTGAGGCGGCAGCATTGCCTGAGCTCAGGCGTTCCAGACCAGCGTGAGCAACATAGTGAGACCCCATGTCTACACACACACACACAGAATTAAAAATTAGCCAGGTGTGGTGGTGGGCGTCTGGAATCCCAGCTACTCAAGAGGCTGAGGCAGGAGGATTGCTTGAGCCCAGGAGTTTGAGGCTGCAGTGAGTTATGATTGTGTCATTGCGCAATCATTGTTTCACTGGGCTACTGAGCAAGGCTCTGCCTCAAAAGAAAAGAAAAAAGAAAAGAAAAGAAAAGAATGCACACACTATGCTGAACACTTTATGTATGTAATTTCCAAATTCTCACAGCCACCTAGTGTGAGCTTGTCCAACCCACGCCCCACGGCCCTGGCCCAGGAGAGCTTTGAATGCAGGCCAACACAAATTCGTAAGCTTTCTTAAAACATTATAAGATACGTCCGGGTGCGGTGGCTCATGCCTGTAATTCCAACACTTTGGGAGGGAGGCCAAGGTGGGAGGATCACTTGAGGTCAGGAGTTTGAAACCAGCCTGGCCAACATGGTGAAACCCCATCTCTACTAAATATACAAAAATTAGCTGGGTATGGCGGCTCACACCTGTAGTCCCAGCTACTCAGGAGGCTGAGGCGGGAGAATTGCTTGAACCCAGGAGGTGGAGGCTACAGTGAGCCGAGATCGTGCCACTGCACTCCAGCCTTGGCAACAGACTGAGACTCGTTTCAGATAAATAAATAAATAAATAAATACAAAGATTTTCTTTTCTTTTCTTTTTAAGCTCATCAGCTATTGTTAGTGTTAGTGCATTTTATATGTGGCCCAAGACAGTTCTTCTTCCAGTGTGGCCTAGGGAAGCTAAAAGATTGAACACCCTTGATGGCACATTGATACTAAATCATGAACCTGTTTTATAGCTGGGAGAATCTGAGACTTAGTGGGATGAATTCACTTGTTCAGGGTCCCAGAGCTGTGAGTTGTTTCAACTCCTAAGACAGACTCTGTCGTTCCTCAGTTTCCCTTCCATGCCCCATCCCTGGGAAGGGGCCCCAGGAGGGGAGGGGGTGTCCTGGCCACCGCTGTGGGCTCTGGGCAATACAGTGAGCTGGCTGAGCCTGCCTTCCAATCTGGACTTGCTATTCCCTGGCTGGGTGACCTTGGGCAAGTTTCTCAACTTCTCTGTGCCCCAGTTTCCTCAAAGTGGGAACAAGAACAACTGCCAAAGGGTTGCAGGGGATTCCATGAGCTTCTGTGGGTCAAGAACTCTGAGGGCTCGGCTTGGCCAGGGCAGGTTTGTGGGAGGCTCGGAGATGGTTTTCAGATTGTTCTGTGTGTCTCACATGCAATGAAGGGGCCCTCCTTAGCCCCTACTCCACCTGGGTTTCTAGGGGAAGTGGGAGAGGCAATGACCAGCCCAGGCCTCAGGGACAGTTGGCAAATGACTAAGGAGGGATTTTCCAGTCCATGAATCAGAGCCTGCCCATCCACACTTGGCCCAAACCCATCCGTCCAGGCCGACTTCCTAACTCCAGAGAGGCCGGGCAGGAAAGAACGCCCCCTGAAGCTGGACAGAGGATAGAGCCCGTGTGTGCTTCCTGTTCAAGTCTGGGCCATGTCTCCAGTTCCTTGGGGGCCCACACTGAAGCTGAAAAAGGGGACTTAAAGGGCCCCAGCTCTGGGACATCCTGTCAGTGCCACCAGAAGCCACAGAAGAGAGCTTCTAGGTGCACCTGTCCAGGGACCACCACCCAGGCTCCGCCCCTGCTGTTTTCCTATGGGAAGAGATAGGATAGGTCAGGGGGATGAGGTGGGGAGGAGGAGGGACCCTGGCATTTCAGTAATCCCTGCGGCAAGCCAGGAGAAGACGGGCAGCCCCGAAAGAGGAATCTGGAGGAGTAGAGAGGGGTCCCCAAGGAACAGGTGGAATCTGGAGGCTCGAGGGCAGGAATGAATGGGGAAAAAAGGGGTGTCTTGAGCTGGAATCTGGAGAGATGGGGGAGTTATTTACTTGGGGTGTACGGTAGGGATCTGGAGAGCAGGAATGGGGTAGTGTGAGTCTCTAGAGGCTACGATGGAGGGAGACAGGGTGTCCCCAAGCGGGGGGCCGAAGAGAGGATTGAAGACTGAATGGGGTGCCCTGATTGGCGAATAAAGATGCGGTAGGAAAAGAGGGGTACCGTTGGGGGATAAGGTGGGAAAAGAGGGGTACCGTTGGGGGATAAGGTGGGAAAAGAGGGGTACCGTTGGGGGATAAGGCGGGAAAAGAGGGGTGCCCAGGGTTGTAGGCGGGCCATGGGGGCCAGATCTCAGAGATCTGGGGTTGGTAGGAGAAGAAGGAAGTGTCCTGATTTGGGATCTGGGGCGCTGAGGGGCAGAGATGGCAGAGAAGGGATGGGGGTGGGTTACTGGGTTTGAAGGACAGAAACAGGAGGATGAGGGGGTGTTTCCAGGCAGGGTTAAGGGTCCTGGGGGTGGAATCTCAGGGGGTGTCTCTGATTGGGTTAGCTCTGGAGTCTGGGGATTGTGGGGGAGGAGAAGACAGGTGGGGAAGGTGCTGGGGGTGCGTCCCTGCCCCCGCCCCCTTCCCCCGCGGTCACCTGCTCGAAGGCCCAGCTCTCGGCTACCCGCTTGGCGCTGAGGTCCAGCAGCGCCTCGGGCCGGCCCCGGCCACGCGCGGCCCCGGCCCCGGCATCGCGCTCCTCGGGTCCCGCGGGGCAGCCCCGGCTCCGCTTGGCCGCGGGGGGTTCCATCCGGCCCGGCCGGGGCCAGGGCCGGGGCGGGGCCTCTTTGGGGGGCTCGGTCCGATGCCCGCTCCGCTTCGCCGGCTCCCGCGCCCCCTGCCCTCCTTCCCGTCCGTCCTCTGCGCTCGGCCGCCCCGGGACCCCTACCGCACCCACCCCCGACCCGCGCCGGGCCGGCAGGGTGATGCGGCCCCTTTAAGACTCTTCACAACAATGAAGCTGCTTCAGCCGCCGCTTTAGCTCCGCCGTCGTCCCGCCCCCACCGCCTGTCCCTATTGGCCCCCCCTCGGCCTCCTCGGCCCTCCCCCGCCATTGGCTGCGCCGCCAGACCCGTGTCCAAGCCTCGCTGCTCACTCGATGACTGCGATGCCAGTCTTTTCTTGTTTACCCAACCAGAGCGCACAGCGAGGGGCGCTGTCAATCACGGGGCGCCAGAGGCCAATCAGAGTGGGAGGACCCCCGCGGCCCAGGCCTTATGCGGAGTTTCGGGGCGGGCCCGGGGTTCATTCACAACATTCCTCCCCCGCCTCTCTTGGGCTGGACTGCGCGCCCCAGGCTTCTGGGGCTGCGCCCACACACGGCTTTGTTTACTGAGGGTCGCTTCCGGGCGCCGCGAGGGGACAATCAACATAGCCCGGCCGGTGAGCGAGACAGAGCAGCGGGATCCCTTGGCAGTGGCTCAGCCCCTCGTCCCTCCCAGCTGTGCGACCCGAGAAACTCACTCAACCTCTCTGGGCACCGGGTCAAGTTTTGGTTCTTGTGGGGGCGGAGGGGTCGCAGGCTCACTGAGGGAGCTCATGCGGGCCGCGGACCCCCTCTCCAGAAACAAAGCTCGGTTAGGGGGTTCATAGGTCATCCCTTGAGCCTCAAAACTAGTATAGTACCCCGCCCCTCCTTTCCATGCCCTAGATACTATCTTGGGTCATATGAAATTGCTAATTTTTTTTTACCATTTTTGGCCTGTTAAAATGGCAATTCCATGAGGTTCACCCTAACACTTAATCAAACCCCAGCACCTCTGAGCATTTTTTCTGACTCAGCTTGTGTAGGCCACCGTCTCTGGCCTGGAAGCTGGCCATGGCTTCCATCACCCGTTCCCGTCCCGGCTCCTTGCCAATGTCCTCAGAGGACCCTGCATTTTTCCTTCCTCATACTTCTCACCATTACCATTTATTTATCTGTTTCGGCGGTTTTTTTTTTTTTTTTTTTTTTTTTTTTTACGGAGTTTCACTCTTGTCGTCCAGGCTGGGGTGCAGTGGTGCGATCTCGGCTCACTGCAACCTGCGCCTCCCGGGGTCAAGTGATTCTCCTGCCTCAGCCTCCCGAATAGCTGAAATTATAGGCGCCCACCACCACGCCCGGCTAATTTTTGTATTTTTGGTAGAGACGGAGTTTTGCCATGTTGGCCAGGCTGGTCTTGAACTCCTGACCTCAAGTGATCCACCTTTGGTAGTTGCTTAATTTCAATCTCTCCCTCTCCACTGTGAGCCTCAGGAGGCAGGAGTTTGTCCCATCTGTGCTTTACTGTACCGGCAGCACCTGGAAGGTAGGCGCTTAACCTAGAACTTGTTGAATGTACCAACCAACACATGCTTTGCCTCCATTCAGTTAAATGATAGGCACAGCAGAAAAAAAAAAAAAACAGTGATTATCCACTCATCCATATGGAAGCCCTAGCTTTTTCTTGGAGAAACTTCGAGTCTCACAGCTGCACCCTCTGGCCAGTCTTCACCCACTCTCCCTGCCACCCCCTCAATTAGTTAAACTCCCCTGCAGACCTGCACTGTCCAGTATGGTCACCAATGGCCACAAGTGGTCTCTGAGCCCTTGAAATGGGACTGGCTGAAATTAGGTTGTGCTGGAAAGGTAAAATACAGAGTGGATTTTGGAGACATAGCAGGAAGGGAACAAGGAAAAATATTTCTTTTTTTTTTTTTGAGATGGAGTGATCTCAGCTCACTGCAACCTCTGCCTCCCAGGTTCACGTGATTATTCTGCCTCAGCCTCCCAAGTAGCTGGGGCTACAGGCACCCACCGCCACGCCTGACTAACTTTTGCATTTTTAGTAGAGACGGGGTTTCACCATATTGGCAGGCTGGTCTCAAACTCCTGACCTTATGATCTGCCTGCCTTGGCCTCCCAAAGTGCTGGGATTCCAGGCGTGAGCCACCACGCCCGGCCTAAAATATTTCATTAAGAATGTTTTCCATCCTGGCTAACACAGTGAAACCCCTTCTCTACTAAAAATACAAAAAATTAGCCGGGCATGGTGGCAGGCGCCTATAGTCCCAGCTACTAGGGAGGCTAGGGCAGGAGAATGGTGGGAACCCAGGAGGCAGAGGTTGCAGTGAGCCAAGATTGCGCCACTGCACTCCAGCCTGGGGGACAGAGTGAGACTCCAAAAAAAAAAAAAAAAGAATGTTTTGGCCAGGCGCGGTGGTTCACGCCTGGAATCCCAGCACTTTGGGATGGTGAGGTGGGAAGATCACTTGAGCCCAGGAGTTTGAGACCAGCATGGGCAACATGGCGAAAACCCATCTCTATTAAAAAATAAGAAAATCAGCTGGGCGTGGTGGCACAAGCCAGTAGTCCCAGCTACTCTGGAGGCTGTGACAGGAGGATCTCTCGAGCCCAAGAGGTTCAGGCTACAGTGAGATATGATTGTATCACTGTGCTCCAGCCGGAGTGACAGTGTGACCGTCTCAGGAAAACAAACAAACAAACAAAAAAACAGAAAACGAGGCCGGGCAAGGTGTCTCACACCTGTAATCCCAGCACTTTCGAAGACTGAGACAGGCGGATCACCTGAGGTCTGGAGTTCAAGACCAGCCTGGCCAACATGGTGAAACCCCGTCTCTACTAAAAATACAAAAATTAGGGCCGGGCACAGTGGCTCACGCCTGTAATCCCAGCACTTCGGGAGGCCGAGGCGGGCGGATCATGAGGTCAGGAGATGCAGACCATCCTGGTTAACACGGTGAAACCCCGTCTTTATTAAAAATACAAAAAAATTAGCCTGGCGTGGGGGCGGGCACCTGTAGTCCCAGCTACTCCGGAGGCTGAGGCAGGAGAATGGCGTGAACCCGGGAGGTGGAGCTTGCAGTGAGCTGAGATCGCGCCACTGCACTCCAGCCTGGGCAATAGAGCAAGACTCCGCCTCAAAAAACAAAACAAAACAAAACAAAACAAAAATCAGCTGGGCGTGGTGGCGGGCGCCTGTAATCCCAGCTGCTTGCGAGGCTGAGGCAGGAGAATCACTTGAACCCAGGAGGCGGAGTTTGCAGTGAGCCAAGATTGCACCACGGCACTCCAGCCTGGGCAACAAAGTGAGACTCTGTCTCAAAAAAAAAAAAAAAAAGACAGAACAAAAGAAAGCAAATGTTTAGTGTTGTTAACATGTTGAAATTATATTTTAGATAAACTTGGTTTAATAAAATACATTATTAAAATTGATTTCATATATTTTCTTTTACATGGTTTCAGGACATTTAAATTACGTATGTAGGCTGGGTACAGTGGCTCAGGGCTGTAATCCCAGCACTTTGGAAGGCCGAGGCGGGCAGATCATCTGAGGTCAGGAGTTTAAGACCAGCTTAGGCGGGGCGCGGTGGCTCACTCCTGTAATCCCAGCACTTTGGGAGGCCGAGGAGGGCGGATCGCAAGGTCAGGAGTTTGAGACCAGCCTGGCCAACATAGTGAAACCCCGTCTCTACTAAAAATACAAAAAATTAGCTGGGCCTGGTGGCGGGTGCCTGTAATCCCAGCTACTTGGGAGGCTGAGGCAGGAGAATGGCGTGAACCCGGGAGGTGGAGGTTGAAGTAAGCTGAGATCACAGTGTTGCACTCCAGCCTGGGCGACAGAACGAGACTCCGTCTCAAAAAAAGAAAAAAAAAAAAAAAGACCAGCTTGGCCAACATGGTGAAACCTGTCTCTACTAAAAATACAAAAAATTAGCCAGGCATGGTGGTGCGTGCCTGTAATCCCAGCTACGTGGGAGGCTGAGGGAGGAGAATCGCTTGAACCTGGGAGGCAGAGGTTGCAGTGAGCCAACATCGCACCACTGCACTCCAGCCTGGGTGAAAGAGTGAGACTCCATCTCAAAAAAAATATATATATATATATATAAAATAAATAAATAAAGTAAAATAAAATAAAATAACATATGTGGCAGGGCACAGTGGTTGGTCCCTGTAAACACAGCACTTTGGGAGGCTGAGCGGAGAGCAGCACTTGAGTCCAGGAGTTTGTGACTGGGCTAGGCAACACAGTGAGATGCTATCTCAAAAATAAATAAGTAAATAAATAAATAAATAAAAGTATATATGTGTCTCAAGTTGTATTTCTTTCTTTTTTTCCTTTTTTGTTTTTTGTTTTTTTTTTTTTTGAGCCGGAGTCTCGCTCTGTCACCAGGCTGGAGTGCAGTGGCGCGATCTCGGCTCACTGCAACCTCACTTGAACCTTGGGTTCAAGCAAGTCTCCTGCCTCAGCCTCCCAAGTAGCTGGGACTATAGGTGTGCGTCACCACACCCGGCCAATTTTTGCATTTTTAATAGAGATGGGGTTTTACCATGTTGGCCAGGCTGGTCTCGAACTCCTGACTTCAAGTGATCCACCTGCCTTGGCCTCCCAAAGTCCTGGGATTACAGGCGTGAGCCACCATCCCTGGTTAATTTTTTTTTTTTTTTGAGACGGAGTTTCGCTTTTGTTGCCCAGGCTGGAGTGCAATGGCGTGATCTCGGCTCACCGCAGCCTCCACCTCCCGGGTTCAAGCGATTCTCCTGCCTCGCCTCCCAAGTAGCTGGGATTACAGGCACCCGCCACCATGCCCTTCTAATTTTTGTATTTTTAGTAGAGACGGGGTTTCTCCATGTTGGTCAGGCTGGTCTGGAACTCCCGACCTCAGGTGATTTGCCTGCTTCTGCTTCCCAAAGTGTGAGGATTACAGGTGTGAGCCAGCATGCCTGGCCAATTTTTTTGAATTTTGATAGAGAGGAAGTCTTGTTGTGTTGCCCATGGTCTTGAATTCCTGAGTTCAAGCAATCCTTCCGCCTCGGCCTCCCAGATTGCTGGGATTACAGGCGTGAGCCACCACATCCGGCTTGAGTTGTATTTCTGTTAGACAGTGCCCGTCTTGAGAAACCACAGCCTGCCACAGTGATAGCAACAGAAATAGCAATAATAATAATGTGTTGAGTGCTCATGCAATGCCCGTAGCTATGGAGATAAACGCTGAAGTATAAGCCGTCAAACAGTGTTGCAAAGTGGGGACTGTCACTTCCATTTCTTAGAGGAGGAAACTGAGGCTTGGAGAGGCTGAGCCACTTGCTTGAGGTCACCCAGCAGTAGGAGCTGGACTAGTGGAAGTCAACTGGGGGCTGCTTTGGAGCCCTAGACTTACTGGGGTATCTCCTTGCATAGGATTTAGACTTATGGGGAGTGAGTAACTGGGGTCAGAGGAGACACAGGGAGGAGTTCAAGCAAAGGATGGCCGGGTGCAGTGGCTCACACCTGTAATCCCAGCACTTGGGGAAGCTGAAGTGGGAGGATTGCTTGAGTCCAGGAGTTCAAGACCAGGCTGGGCAATATAGCGAGACCCCCCTCCCCCATTTCTAAAAATTTATTTGATGTTTATTTATTTATTTATTTTTTAATTTTTGAGATGGAGTCTTGCTGTGTAGCCCAGGCTGGAGTGCAGTGGTGCGATCTTGGCTCACTGTAACCTCTGCCTCCCGGGTTTAAGTGATTCTCCTGCCTCAGCCTCCCGAGTAGCTGGGTTTACAGGCATGTGCCACCACACCGGGCTAATTTTTTTGTATTTTTAATAGAGACGGTGTTTCACCGTGTTAGCCAGGCTGGTCTCGAACTCCTGACGTTGTGATCCACCCACCTCGGCCTCCCAAAGTGCTGGGATTACAGGCGTGAGCCACTGCACCTGGCCTATTTATTTATTAGTTTATTTATTTATTTTGAAATGGAGTCTTGCTCTGTTGCCCAGGCTGGAGTGCGGTGGCGAGTCTCAGGTCACTGCAAGCTCCACATCCTAGGGTCAAGCAATTCTCCTGTTTCAGCCTCCCGAGTAACTGGGACTATAGACGAGCGCCACTATACCCAGAAAATTTTTGTATTTTTACTAGAGACGGGGTTTCACCATGTTGGCCAGGCTGGTCTCAAACTCCTGACCTCAGGTTATCTGCCTGCCTCGGCCTCCCAAAGTGCTGGGATTACAGGTGTGAGCCACTGTGCCTGGCCTAAATTTTTTTTTTTTTTAATTAACCGGGTGTGGTGGTGCGCATCTGTAGTCCCAGCTACTCAGGAAGCTGTGGTGGGAGGATTGCTTGAGCCTAGAAGGTTGAGGCTGCAGTGAGCCATGATTGCGCCACTGCACTCCAGTCTGGGCGACAGAGCCAGACCTCGTCTCAAGAAAAAACAAACCAAGACAGAACAAAAATGAAAAGCATGTCTTTCTGGTGCTCCCCTTGCAAACAGGACCTCAGGGCTGGCTTTTCCCAGCAGCCCTCTTCAGCATCTGATACGTGGCTATGTCGGCTAAGTCTAGCTTTGAAAGGGCTCCAATGTACGTCCTGTAATGCTGAATCAGAGAAGTCACTCTAGGCCAGTGGGTAGACTTTAGGAGGAACACAGAATGGGGTATCAGAGGGTGAGAATGTCTTATTTAATTCTCTAACAATAGATACTAACATATATATATAGAGAGAGAGACAGACAGAGAGAGAGTCTTGCTCTGTTGCTCAGGCTGGAGTGCAGTGGAGCGATCTCAGCTCACTACAGCCTCCGCCTCCCGGGTTCAAGCTATTCTCCTGCCTCAGCCTCCTGAGTAGCTGGGATCACAGGGCAAACCCGGCTAATTTTTGTATTTTTAGTAGAGATGGGGTTTCACCATGTTGGCCAGGCTGGTCTCGAACTCCTGACATCAGGTCATCCACGCTCCTCCGCCTCCCAAAGTGCTGGGATTACAGGTGGGAGCCACTACGCCCTGCCTTCAAACAGCTAACCCTGTTTTGAGACAGGGTCTTGCTCTGTTGCGTGGGTTGAAGTGCAATGGCGTGATCACGACTTGCTGCAGCTTCAACCTCCCGGGCTCAAGTGGTCCACCTGCCTCAGCCTCGTGAGTAGCTGAGACTGCAGGCGTGTAGCACTATGCCTGGCTAATTTTTTAAAACAATTTTTTTAAAAGAGATGGGGTCTCACTATGTTGGCCAGGCTGATCTTGAGCTCCTGGGCTCAAGCGATCGATCCTTCCACCTTGGCTTCCCAAAGTGCTGGGATTACAGGTGTGAGGGGCTGTGCCCAGCCAGTCCCATCTACTTGAAAGGCAGAGGAGGTAGGATCGCTTATGCCTCGGAGTTCAAGACCAGCCTGGACAATATAGCAAGACTCTTGTCTCAAAAAAAAAAAAAAAAAAAAAAAAGAGGAAAAAAAGGAGTTTGATGGGGGTAGTTCCAACCACCTGCGTCCTTCCTTCTCAGTAAAGCCAGC